>NC_000009.12:128534369-128848187 GCF_000001405.40 Homo sapiens
AAAAAGAAAGAAAAAATATATATACATAGTCTTTTATGTAAACTGGAGAGCCTTTGGGATTTGTGAACTTAGGTGCCAGTAGTCAATGTAGTTTAGTGGAAAGGATACTGGGGTCTTGGAATTTTATCCCTGCTTTGTCATTTAATACCTTTGCAAAAATGGACAAATCATTTAGTCTTTTTGAGCATCTTTTCCTGATTTTTAAATGAGGGTAATGACATCTATTACCTCCTGTGAATTTACCTCATGGCTTACATGAAGCTCAGATTTGATGATGGATATGAGTGCTTGGTAAACAAAGTATTCTACAGATGTAATAATATGTAATAATATATATACATATTTTTTATTTTTTTTATTTTTTTTTGAGACAGCGTCTCGCTTTGTCACCCAGGCTGGAGTGCAGTGGCGTGATCTCAGCTCACTGCAACCTCTGCCTCCTGGGTTCAAGTGATTATCCTGCCTCAGCCTCCCGAGTAGCTGGGACTACAGGCGCCCACCACCACGCCCAGCTAATTTTTATACTTTTAATAGAGATGGGGTTTCACCATGTTGGCCAGGATGGTCTCGATCTCTTGACCTTGTGATCTGCCCGCCTTGGCCTCCCAAAGTGCTGGGATTACAGGCGTGAGCCACCACGCCCGGCCTGTAATAATATATTAATAGTAATGCTGAGTGTAATAATATATTGTTATTTTTTAGCCATAAAAAGTAATCTCTGGGCCAGGTGCAGTGCCTCATGCCTGTAATTACTTTAACAATTTGGGAGGTTGAAGCAGAAGGATCGCTTGAGCCCAGGAGTTCAAGACCAGCCTGGGTAACATAGTGAGACCCTGTCTCTACAAAATTAGCCAGGTGTTGGCTGGGCGCGGTGGCTCACGCCTGTAATCCCAGCACTTTGGGAAGCCAAGGCCGCCAAAGCGGGCGGATCACCTGAGGCCAAGAGTTTGAGACCAGCCTGGCCAATATGGGGAAAACCCGTTTCTACTAAAAATACAAAAAATTAGCTGGGCATGGTGGCAGGCACCTGTAATCCCAGCCACTCAGGAGGTTGAGGCAGGAAAATCGCTTGTACCCAGGAGGTGGAGGTTGCACTGAGCCGAGATCATGCCATTGCACTCCAGCCTGGGCAACAAGAGTGAAACTCTGTCTCAAAAAAAAAAAAAAAAGGCCAGGCGCGGTGGCTCACATTTGTAATCCCAGCACTTTGTGAGGCTGAGGCGGGCAGATCACCTGAGGTCAATAGTTCAAGACCAGCCTGGCCAACATGGTGAAACCCTGTCTCTACTAAAAATACAAAAAATTAGCCAGGTGTGGTGGCAGGTGCCTTAATCACAGCTACTCGGGAGGCAGAGGCAGAAGAATCGCTTGAACCCGAGAGGCGGAGATTGCCTGAGATCGTGCTATTGCTTTCTAGCCTGGGCGACAAGATGGAAATTCCATCTCAAAAAAAAAAATTAGCCGGCTATGGTGGCATGTGCCTGTGGTCCTAGCTACTCAGGAGGCTGAGGCGGGAGGATCACTTGAACCTGGGTGGTGAAGTTTGCAGTGAGCCTTGATCATACCACTGTACTCCAGCCTGGGTGACAGAGACTCTGTTTCCCAAAAAAAAGCAATTTATCTCTAATTTGTCACCCTTATTTTGGCCTTGTCCCAGTGAATTTTTTCTTATTTCTTTTTTTTGAGACACAGTCTTACTGTTACCCAGGCTGGAGTGCAGTGATGCAATCTTGACTCACTGCAACCTCCACCTCCCAGGTTCAAGCAATTCTCATGCCTCAGCCTCCCAATTAGCTGGGACAAACAGGCATGCACCACCATACCCAGTTAATTTTTGTATTTTTAGTAGAGATGGGGTTTCACCACATTGGCCAGGCTAGTCTTGAACTCCTGGCCTCAAGTGATCTGCCCACCTTGGCCTCCCAAAGTGCTGGGATTACAAGCGTGAGCCACCACACCCGGCCAAATTTTTTCTTCCCGTATAGGATGCTTGGTTACCAAGTAAAGGATTCCAAAGTGGAGCAGCAAGACAACTTTCTAAAACGCATGTCAGGGATGATCCGTCTCTACGCTGCTATCATCCAGCTCCGGTGGCCATATGGAAACCGACAGGAGGTAGGTAAAAGAGGCTTACTGTCAATAATGAGAGGTTAGACCACAGTCCATGTGTATTCCTCCCACAGGAAATGTTGGCCTTCTTTCAGAGAGCCAGTCTAGTTAAAGGATAAACTATATGGCAGTTTCATGGGTATTATGTAGAGGACTGAATGTTGATTATTAGGGAACTTTCTTGGATCACCTGGTACTTTAAAGAGCTGGTTTTGTAACAGAGTCTACCAGAGGAGAGTCTGTTATAAATCAGTCATTAAGGTTAGAAGATTTTCTTACAAGAGGAATGAGCAAGAAATTGTCATCTTAGAACTAGTTGAGACCTTAGAAGCCATCTAGATCACATACCTTACTTCACAGATGGACAGAACAAGCTCAGAAAGCTGCAGCTGGGGTTCAGGGCTTTGACTTGCCAGCCCAATTAATTTCTCAGGGAATACAGATTAGAAGGACAGAGAAATTAATAGTTACGGAGACCTAAAGAGAAAAAATAGAAGTTGATTAAATCCAAGTTTTTATTGTATGCCTGCTGTGTCCCAGGTTCTGTGCTAAAGGTACCAAGAATAATAAATAAAATGTCAATAAGGCTAATTGTTACCCTATGGAATGCCTGAAACTGAAGCTGACACATGCATATTGAAGGGAGCCTATAAAGAATGTGTGGGAACCAATGTATTGAAACATTAAAAAATAGAAGGCGAGGTAGCTTCAGGCCTGATATCCCAGCACTTTGGGAGGCTGAGGTGGGTGGATCACCTAAGGTCAGGAGTTCAAGACCAGCCTGGCCAACATGGTGAAACCCCGTCTCTACTAAAAATACAAAAATTAGCTGGGCATGGTGGTGGGCACCTGTAATTCCAGCTACTTGGGAGGCTGAGGCACGAGAATCGCTTTAACCCAGGAGGCAGAGGTGGCAATGAGCCGAGATCACGCCATTGCACTCCAGCCTGGGCAACAAGAGCAAAACTCTCCCTCAAAAAAAAAAAAAAAAAAAAAAAAAGAATGTGTGGGAACCAATGTACTGAAACATTTAAATACAGAAGGCTGGGCGAGGTAGATTCATGCCTGTAATCCCAGCCCTTTAGGAAGCCGAGACAGGTGGGTCATTTGACTCCAGGAGTTTGAGACCAGCCTGGGCAACAAGGTGAAACCATGTCTCTAAATAAAATACAAAAAAATTAGCTGAGCACGGTGGCATGTGCATGCCTGTAGTCCCAGCTACTTGGGAGACTGAAGTGGAAGAATCACTTGAGCCCAGGAGGTGAAGGCTGCAGTGATCCATGATCGCACTATAGCACTCCAACCTGGACAACAAAGTGAGACCCTGTCTCAAAAAAATAAAAGAAAAACAGAATTTGTTTAGTTTGTGTTATTTCTGCCCTGTGGCAGGTGCTAGGGCTGGATGATCTGGGGTTCATTTCCACTTGGTAATGGCTGGATGATACACTGGGAGTTTAGATTTCTAAACAAAATGAGATCAATGATAACCAAGCTTCTCTACTCCCAGATTCACCCTCATGGCTTAAATCATGGATGGCGCTGGTTGGCACAGATCTTAAACATGGAGCCCTTGTCAGATGTGACAGCCACCCTCCTCTTTGACTTCCTGGAGGTACGTAACTCAGTTATCACACAAGAGAAGGCCAGTGGTTGAGGTAGCCTTGATCCACTGGGTGACATGAATGGGGAAACAGCATAGCATTTGGGCCTGATAGTAAAACAGCATGAGGTTCCAGTGTCATACATTTTTCCCAAGCTGTAGACCAACCTTGCTTTCACTTTTACTCCATACTATATTTACTTGGCTTCTCTGGATTTTTTTCATTATAAAGAACAGAAAATTGTACATTCTAGCAAAAGTGAAAAGAGGAATTTGTTTTAGGGATATAGAAGGGACTCCCAGGCCGGGTGCGGTGGATCACACCTGTAATCCCAGCACTTTGGGAGGCCAAGGTGGGCGGATGACATGGGGTCAGGAGTTCGAGCCCAGCTGGTCAGTATATTGAAACCCTGTCTGTACTAAAAATACAAATAAAGGCCGGGCACGGTGGCTCACGCCTGTAATCCCAGCACTTTGGGAGGCCGAGGTGGTTGGATTACCTGAAGTCATGAGTTCAAGACGAGCCTGTCCAACATGGTGAAACCCCGTCTCTACTAAAAATAAAAAATCAGCCGGGTGTGATGGTGCACACCTGTCATCCCAGCTACCGAGGAGGCTGAGGCAGGAGAATCGCTTGAACAGGATCTCACTCTGTCAGCCAGGCTGGAGTGCATTAGTGTGATCATAGCTCACTGTAGCCTCAAACTCTTGGGCTCAAGCGATCCTCCCACCTAACCCTGCCAAAGTGTTGAGATTACAGGAGTGAGCCATTGCACTCAGCCAAGAAGACACTTCTTATAGAAGAAAGCCTTGGGGTACATGCCATAACAAATCTGGAACCATTTGATCTATAGTGCCAATAGTTCCTAGTTACCTTAATAGCTCCTGACGTCAGCCAGGTGCAGTGGCTGACAGCCTTTGGGAGGCCAAGGCAGGCGGATCACTTGAGCTCTGGAGTTCAAGACCAGCCAGGGCAATATGGTGAAACCCTATATCTACCAAAAAAATACAAAAATTAGTGGTGTGTGCCTGTGGTCCCAGTTACTGAGGAGGCTGAGGTTGGAGGATCACCTGAGCCCAGGGAGGTTGAGGCTACAGTGAGCTGTGATCATGCCAGTGTCCTCTAGCCTGGGCGACAGAGTGAGACCCTATTTCAAAAAAAAATAAAAAGCTCCTGAAGTCACCATACATGAACAATGATCCTGTATCATTTGAGAACACAAGTGGTATTCTGTATACTCTCCTTACTAAGTTTGGGAGGTATACCATACCTTTAGGAAGGCGTCCATTCATTAGAGGAAAAGAAGAGTAGTTCATTAAGACCTGATTGGTTAAATGGAGATATTGCCATATAAAGAGAAATGCTTTAGAAGAAAGTTGGGTGTTTCCATTTATTCCCTTGTTAGCAAGTTCAGTGGCATTGTGGTTGAAATTTTTGATAGGTGTGAAAGATGAAGGGCTGATTGTGCTTTATGAATCTGTCCTGTGAGTGTGAATTTTCATTTTCTGCTCTGACAGTGCCTGTCTTTCCCTCTAGGTGTGTGGGAATGCCCTCATGAAGCAATACCAGGTTCAGTTCTGGAAGATGCTAATTCTCATCAAAGAGGACTACTTTCCCAGGTATCAGGCTTGTTGAGCAGACAGCAGGGGATTAAGTAACTCATAACCAGGCCTCAGATACCCAAGGGTGCTATTACCTGCTGGTTTTGATTCAAGTTAAAAACACCTGTACTAAGTATGACATCTTTCCTACTCCAGTCCCTCTCGTTGATATTTGAATAAATGCTTTTGAACCTTAATGAGAGTCTGTCTTAAATATCATTGCCCAAACAAAAACACAAATTAGGGGCTGAGCACAGTGGCTTATGCCTATAATTATGCCTATAATTGCAGCTCTTTGGGAGGCCACAGGAGGAGGATCACTTGAGCCCAGGTGTTCAAAACCAGCCTGGGCAATATAGCAAGACCCCATCTCTACAAAAAAAAAATTAGCCAGGCATGATGGCATGCATCTATAGTCCCAGCTACTAGGGAAGCTGAGACAGGAGGATCGCTTGAGCCCAAGAGTTCAAGGCCTCGGTGAGCTATGATCGCACCACCGCGCTGCACTCCAGCCTAGGTGACAGAGTGAGACACCGTTTCCAAAAGATAGGTGTATATCATAGGTGTGATTCATGTGTCTTTCTCTCCCTGTAGAATTGAAGCTATCACAAGCTCAGGACAGATGGGCTCCTTCATACGCCTCAAGCAGTTCTTGGAGGTAAGATGCCCTTAGACCAACATGCCCCACACTGTTGTTGGGCTGGAATGCACCTATGTCTGACAAGTCTTGGACCTTCCGATGCTCTGATTGCACTCTCTTCCTTAGTTCTTCCAAACCCTTCTTTTTGTTCCTAATTCCCTCTTAACCTTTGGAGTAAGGGCTGCCATTTCCTCTTCTTTATATGTATCATTCTCTATACTGCCTGTGAGAAAGCTATGCTGAGATGAGTAAAATATATTTAGTGTATCTCCTCTCATTAATATATATTTTTTTTGCATGTTGGCCAAGGTTATTTTCTTAGTCTCAGGTCTGGGGAATTGGTAAGTGTCATCACTTTTCTCCATGAGATCAAACTGCACTTTCAGTTGGACTCTTCCCCTACTTCCAAGTGCCAAGAGATTGTAAAAGGTTAATTTTGACAAAGAATTTAGAACACTATAGTGGGTTTGCCAAGATAGCCTGCTGACTTTTCAGCTTCTCAAAGCTCGATTGTGAAAATAGTGATTGTGAAAGATGAGGTTAGCCTGTAGGGAGACAAGAGTGGGACAGGAATAATAAGAGCATTTCATTTGTTGTCTGGAGCAGATCATGCAGAAGTGGACATCTTATACAGAACCATCAGTCTTACTGGCTTTTTCCTTTTTGTTCACTGTTCCATAGGGCTGAAATATGGTGTTCCTCAAAGCTTCTTTTAACCATTAAGTGTTGGGAACACTGTTATCAGAAACTCATTCTGTTTTCTTCATCTTTCCCTGACCAGAAATGTTTGCAACACAAGGACATTCCTGTCCCCAAGGGCTTTCTGACTTCCTCCTTCTGGCGCTCCTGATGTCACTCCATCACCCACCATCACCGCTGCTGCAAAGAGGCAATAATAAAGGAACTGAAGACAGCTGTATTTGGGAGAAGTCATGTCAGATTCAGAAATTTGCCATTATGTATTTTTATGTATTTATGCCTTGTGACTAGGAGAGGAGATTTTCATGGGTCACAAAATTCTTGGAGGTCCCTTAGTAGATTTGGTAGTTCCTTAAGAGATCCACGTGATAAAATAAATGGAGTTGGCCTTTCTTGTTTTTTGCAAAAGTGATAAAAGGTCTTTAGCACTTGGTCTCCTCCCTTGTCTCTAGTGTCTTTCAGAAAGTTGGCAATACCTTAACAAATGCACTCTGAGCTGGAGGGAGCCCACCATTTGCACCCACCTACCCACCCTCACCCCTGTTCAGATGAATTTCCAGAAAGAGCTAAGGCTCATAAGGTTCCCTTTTAAGTATTATTTAATAGTTGAGGCCAGATACTTACATGCAAGTCTGGGTTATGGTTGTTTTGCCTTTCTCAGCTTGTGAAGTCATTCTAAAGCTAGAGGAAGTATGTGATATACACATGGACTAAGGCTCAGGTGACACTATGGCTAGATTAACATCTGGGATTAGGACTGGAAACACATGTCATTTTGAACTAAGGGAAACTCTTTGTCATCCTAATTTGGAATTTGGTCCCTGGATGGCTAGGGATCCATGAACCAGGCAGGTACCTTTTTTGTTTTTGTTTTGTTTTGTTTCTTTTCTGTTTGAATTAAGATGGGCTAAGATGGGGCTTGCAACATTAAACATGAGCTGAGCATCCATAAGCATTGAATTGGGATTAAATAAAGATGTTGGGCAGGAACTGAACACTGCTAATATGATGATAAATATGCCTGACTAAAGCCACTACAGAAATCCAGAGATTGGCTGTTAAAATTTGTTTTGTGGAAAGACTAATTCTCTTTGATACTGCAGAGGCAGTGGCCATGGATCTGTTCCTCTGTGCTAAATGTCTTGTGGCAGGGTGTGTTTGTGGGGGAGTGTTCACTGGTACTCTTGAGTGGCCTGAAGTGACCCATTCTATGAATTGTTAATTAAGGTGCCAAAAAAAATTAATAATAAAGCTTGGTTTTTTGAAAAACCCATTGCTGATATATTGGTTCAATATGATCAATTTCCTCTGCCTTGAGCTATGTAAATCATGATAGTATACAAGTCCAGGTATAGAGCGGTATGCATTTATTCCTTTTGGTCTTCTTGACCTACACCTTGGGAATATTACTTCTTTTTCTGTCATTTCCTTTTTTGGAATTATGTACTAATAACTGACCCTATTTTATCTAGCAAGAGATGTGAAAGTGTATTAAAATCTTTGAAAGACACAATAGGCCGTGCTTAGTGGCTCATGCCTGCAGTCCCAACACTTTGGGAGGCTGAGGTGGGAGGATTGTTTAAGTCCAGGAGTTCAAGACCAGCCTGGGCAACATAGTGAGACCCCCATGTCTAAAACAAATTTTTTTGGCCAGGCGCGGTGGCTCACGTCTTACCAGCCTGGCCAACATGGCAAAACCCTGTCTCCACTAAAATTACAAAAATTAGCTGGGCATGGTGGTGTGTGCCTGTAATCCCAGCTACCCAAGAGGCGGCTGGGGCAGGAGAATTGCTGGAACCCAGGAGGCAGAGGCTGCAGTGAGCCGAGATCACTCCAGCCTGGGCGACAGAGTAAGACTCTGTCTCAAAAAAAAAAAAAATTTTTTTTTAAATTTTTCAGGCATGGTGGCACATGTCTGTAGTCCCAGCTACTCAGGAGGCTAAGGTGGGCAGATCACTTGAGCTTGGGAGGTCGAGGCTGCAGCGAGCTGTGATCATGCCACTGCACTCCAGCCTGGGTGACAGAGCAAGACCCTGTCTCAAAAAAATAAATAAATAAATAAGGTAGACACAATGGAATGAACACTGGGGACGGAGTCAGGAGACCCCGGCTCAAATCACTTTTAGGTTTTTTGGCCTTGGGAAGGTCCTTCACCCGCTCTGAACCTCAGTATCCCCACCTGTAAAACAAAAGAACTGGACATGTCACTGTAGTTTTCAAACTATGCTTGATAGCAGTTCCTTAGCGAAGAGCTTCCCAGCTGGTGTGCCTTGGCATGATGACCTCATTAGCCCTCCCAGACAAGGCCTGTGGTGGGTGAGCCCCCAGGAGCGGTTCCATTCACATTTCCTCTCCTTACCTTTGCCTTAAAAATGGCATAATTCATCCGGGTGTGGTGGCTCATGCCTGTAATCCCAGAACTTCGGGAGGCCGAAGCTAGTGGATCACAAGGTCAGGAGTTCGAGACCAGCCTGGCCAACATGGTGAAACCCCCCCATCTCTACTAAAAATACAAAAATTAGCCGGGCATGGTGGAGCACATCTGTAATCCCAGCTACTCCGGAGGCTGAGGCAGGAGAATTCGCTTGAACCCGGGAGGCAGAGGTTGCGGTGCGCCGAGATCGCGCCACTGCACTCCAGCCTAGGCGACAGAGGAAGACTCTATCTGAAAAAGAAAAGAGAAAAAAAAAAGGCATCATTTTCTAGGTACCGTGACAGGGAATAGGTTGGGAAGCAATGACTTCAGGACAGGGGGATGTTGAGTGAATGGGGCTCAGCCCTGTAGCCAGTCAACATACAGAGGCTTAAAGCAAATTTCCAAAAGGCATCCCTTTTCCTTCAAGATACTACCACCCTCTATTGGACAACTGCCCTGTTAATAACTGTACAAATCTATGAGTGTTACAGCTCTTTTAGAATTTGTCTAGCAGGTTTTCCAATCTTCACTGAAAAGCTTTAAAAAATAAAGTAAAATTATGATGGAGGTCATGGTACCTCCCAGAGTTGTGCAGCTCATGTTTTGCACAACCATTTAGGGGTTCTAATGGAGCTCTGGGATCCTCTCTGCCACAGCCTTTTTGTTTTATGTGCTGTATGATATATTATGGTTCCATGTAAGATTATGTATGGAAAAGTTCATCTGTCAAAAACAAAATGAAAAATCACTGGATGAGATGATCTATAATTTCTCTTCCACTTTGGATTTGTATTACTTCATAGAAAATACCTCTTAGGCTGGGCATGATGGCTCATGCCTGTAACCCTAGCACTTTGGGAGGCCAAGGTGGAAGGATTGCTTGAGCTCAGGAGTTCAAGAGCAGCCTGGGCAACATAGTGAGACCCCATCTCTATTATAAATTTTTAAAATTTTAAATAAATAAATTAAAAAGAAAATTTATGAAATACCTCTTACGATTTTTGAATTATTTGAATATTCTTCCTCTAGTGGTTAGTGGTCTTGCATATGTCATTTGATGCTGGTATTCCTAATGGATTTCAATGGTAAACCAAGAAAGGAGAGCACTGGGAGTCCAGGTTTTTGATACTGACGGATAGAGATAATGATTACTAGATGAGAGATGCAGCTCCTGATGGAAAGTAGCATCAGACTCCTTACAGCAGAATACTAAGGACTGCCTTCGGCTTTAATTCAAATACTCACTTGTCTCCTTTCTTGCTTTCAAACTTGACCTCATTTATCAGGCTGAGGATCCATGTTTTTGTCACATTATTGTCCTGCTAAAGCAAATCTGATGACAAATTAAAAATTCCAAGAGGACAGAAACTCTACACCTCCCTTACATAGAAGAATAGATTTCTGAGGATTTCCCACCCATGTGCTAGGAGCTTTCCCCCTACTTCTCCAGCTTTCTATGATGATAGCAGTGACAAAATTAGGCTTGGACATCTTCTATCTCAGTGTCAGGAAAACCAAAAGCTCCACTAAGAGCCACAGAGCTTCTTACAAGTGCCTATGTCACACCTGGTAATCCCCTTCACTTTTCTTCATCCTGCCTAATGAATTCCTGACATTAGATTTCCAGTGGACCTACAGAGAGTAGATTAAGCCAGGTGCAGTGGTTCACACCTGCAATCCCAGCGACTTGGGAGGCCAAGGCAGGAAGATTACTTGAGCCCAGGAGTTTGAGACCAGCCTGGGCAATACAGTGAGACCCCATCTCTTAAAAAAAAAAAAAAAAAAAAACAAACAAAAACAGCCGGCCGGGTGCAGTGGCTCACGCCTGTAATCCCAGCACTTTGGGAGGCCGAGGCGGGCGGATCATGAGGTCAGGAAATCCAGACCATCCTGGCTAACACGGTGAAACTCCGTGTCTACTAAAAATACAAAAAAAGTAGCCAGGCGTGGCAGCGTGCGCCTGTAGTTCCAGCTGCTGGGGAGGCTGAGGCAGGAGAATGGCGTGAACCTGGGAGGTGGAGCTTGCAGTGAGCCGAGATCACGCCACTGCACTCCAGCCTGGGTGACAGAGCCAGACTCTGTCTCAAAAAAAAAACAAAAACAAACAAAAAAAACAGGTCACACGCCTGTAGTCCCAGCCACTTGAGAGACTGAGGCAGGAGGATTGCTTGAGCCCAGGAGGTTAAGTCTGCAATGAGCCATCATTGTACCACTGTACTTCAGCCTGGGCAACAGAGTGAGACGCTATCTCTAGGGGGAAAAAAAGCAGATTAGAACTATAGTCTTCCTGGCTATGTGATGCATTTACAAAAACACCCATTATAAAGGGATTTATCCTTTCATTTAAAGCCAGCCTCCATTTAAGAAAGTATCAGTTTTTTCCAGAAGGATGTATTCAAGAACTTTTTTTTTCTTTTAGTTCTTTCAGGATATTTATACTCAGTGCAGCATGTGATCCTAGATTGGAACCTGCACTAAAAATAAAGATATTTCTGTGGGTGTGTTTTTTGCTATAAAGGACATTGGAACAATTGGTAAAACTTGAATAAGGCCTGTATATTAGATAATAGTACTGTGTCAACATGCATCTCTTGACTTTGATCATTGTACTGTGGTTATGAAAATGAATGTTCTTATTCTTGGAAAATATACATTGAGGTAAGTGGGCATGATGTCTGCAACTTATTTATTTTTTTGAAACAGAGTCTAGCTCTGTCGCCCAGGCTAGAGTGCAGTAGTGTGATCTCGCTCCCTGCAATCCCTGCCTCCCGGGTTCAAGCGATTCTCCTGCCTCAGCCTCCTGAGTAGCTGAGATTACAGGCACCCACCACACCTAGCTAATTTTTGTATTTTTAGTAGAGACGGGGTTCCGCCATGTTGGCCAGGCTGGTCTTGAACTCCTGACTTCAGGTGATCTGCCCACCTCGGCCTCCCAGAGTGCTGGGATTACAGGCATGAGCCACCACACCCGGCCTGCAACTTATTTTCAAATGACTGGGGGGAGGGGATATATATGTGTATACATATATATGTATACACGTGTGTATGACAATGTATATGTATACAGCTGTTATGTGTGTCTATATATGTAAACATAGAATAATAAAGCAAATGTGGTCAAAGGTTAACAAATGGGGGAATCTGGGTGAAGGGTATATGGGATTTCTTCCCAGTATTCTTGTAACTTTCCTGTAAATTGGAAACTATTTCAAAATTAACAGATACCTCTCTTTTCACCCTGCAAAAAAACATGCTTACAATTCTGATGAGGTGACAAAATCAACCTCTGGAACCTACAACCCTGAAAACAGGACCCTGGTGACTAAGGTTACCTTGAAGCCATCGACCTGTAGCAAGGATGGAATGTTGACTCTAAACATGTTTTCAACATAGGTGACTTGAAGGTAGAATTTTAATTCAATCGAGAATGCGATTTAAGCACCTGGAGCACTTGATGGGTTGAGCTAAAAGTTACAGGAGCACAGATAGACTTATTTCATCTAGTCTAAGTCCAAAGGCCTGACAGCCAGTCAGCTGATGGTTTAAATCCCAGAGTGCTTTTCTGCAGGGTTCAAAAAAAGGGCTTGATAGTCAAATAAGTTTGGCAAGTAATTTTTTTTTTTTTTTTGAGACGGAGTCTCGCTCTGTCGCCAGGCTGTAGCGCAGTGGCACAATCTTGGCTCACTGCAACCTCCACCTCCCAGGTTCAAGCGATCCTCCTGCCTCAGCCTCCCACGTAGCTGGGACTACAGATGCACGCCACCACACCCAGCTAATTTTTGTATTTTTAGTAGAGACGGGGTTTCACCATGTTGGCCAGGATGGTCTACATCTCTTGACCTCGTGATTTGCCCACCTCGGCCTCCCAAAGTACTGGGATTACAGGTGTGAGCCACTGCGCCCGGCCTGAAAATACTATGTTAAAGGTGAAGTAATCAATGATTACTTACCTACTTGGCAGAATGGGCCAGGTGTGGTGGCTCATGCCTGTAATCCCAGCACTTTGGGAGGCCAAGGCGGGCAGATCACCTGCGGTCAGGAGCTCAAGACCAGCCTGGCCAACATGGTGAAACCCTGTCTCTACTAAAAATACACAAAAATTAGCTGGGTGTGGTGGCAGATGCTTGTAATCCCAGCTATTCGGGAGGCTGAGGCAGGAGAATCACTTGAACCCGGGAGGCGGAGTTTGCAGTGAGCTGAGATCATGCCATTGCACTCCAGCTTGGGCAACAAGAGCGAGACTCAGTCTCAAAAAAACAAACAAGAATGGCAGAATGTTGATAACTGTTGGAGCTGGGTGACAGGCCTATGGAAGTTCACTGTATTAGGGTCCCCAGAGAAACAGACCAATAGGAGACGGATGGATGGACAGGGATATGATGAGATTTAATTACGAGGAATTTATTCATGAGATTATGGAGACTGAGAAGTCCCACAATCTGCCATCTGCAAGCTGGAAACCCAGGAAAGCTGGGGTTGAAATTCTAGTCTAGAGACGAGGTTTCATCATGTTGGTCAGGCTGGTCTCGAACTCCTGACCTCAGGTGATCCACCCTCCTTGGCATCCCAAAGTGCTGGGATTACAGGCGTGAGCCACTGCGCCCAGCCTATAATTCTTACTTAAATGGACTGAGTACCATTCATGTAACCTAAAATTCAGTAACACTTCAAATATTTTCTCAAGTCAATAAGTATTATATCATGAATATAGTCTTGAATTTATGAATCGTAATTAATCATTTTTCACTTGGTGACTAGGTTATGCCTAATATATTTTTTTAAATTATTAACATTCTTTTTTTTTTTTTTTTTTTTTTTGAGACAAGGTCTCACTCTATTGCCTGAGCTGGAATGCAGTAGCACAGTCATGGCTCACTGCAGCCTTGACCTCCCGCGCTTAGGTGATCCTCCCACAGCCTCCTGAGTAGCTGGGACTACAGGCGCAAGCCACCACATCTGGCTAATTTTTGCATTTTTTTGTAGAGATGGGGTTTTGCCATGGTGCCCGGGCTGGTCTTAAACTCCTGGGCTCAAGTGATCTGCCTGCCTCAGCCTCCTAAAGTGCTGGGATTGCAGGTGTGAGCCACCACGCCCGTCCTGAATGAAAATGCATCTTGTCCTGCTTAAGGCAGATTTCTAGATGTAACTAACATTGCTGGGTCAAATGGCATGCAAATTTTATATTTTGATCCACATTGCCAACTGCTCTTCCAGAAAGGTTCTACTTACATATACTCAAAATGGGTAAGATTTTCAGGCAGAAAGGAGGCATGAGTGTTGGGAAAGGATGTTCTAATTGGAGGAAAAAATTGTTCACAAAAGCATGGAGTTGGAGAAATAACATGTTTTGGAAAGAGGCTAACCTCAGACCAGTAGAGCAGAACTGTAGGGAATGATGCTGTGAAAAGGTAAATTGGAACAAGATTGTGGAGGCTGCAAATTTCGGCCTATTCCGTAGGCAATGGGAAACAACTGAAACTTGTTGAGAAGGTTTGACGTGATTTGTGAAACTAACTGTAGTAGTGGGTTCAAGGTAAGCAGGAGGGACACGGACTGACCAGGCCTAGCAGGCAGCCCTGCAAGGGAACAGATGTGAAATGACCGGAGCCAGATTACAAGGTCGGATTAGGGGAGGGGAGGGAGGAGTTTACATCTCTGCTGTCACCTGGAGTCTTAAAACCCTGGTAAGGCCACACTCCCAGAGCCTATCAGGCTGCTTCTCTAATGTGGTGCTTGATTTTAGAAGCAGGGGCTTGTGTTTTGCTTTGTCTTTTGATTGTAGTAAAATATATAGAACATAAAAAGTTTAACCTTTTTTTTTTTTTTGAGACGGAGTCTCAATCTGTCGCCCAGTCTGGAGTGCAATGGCGCGATCTTGGCTCACTGCAACCTCCGCCTCCCGGGTTCAAGCGACTCTCCTGCCTCAGCCTCCCGAGTAGCTGGGATTACAGGTGTGCACCACCACACCCGATTAATTTTTGTATTTTTAGTAGAGGCAGGGTTTCACCATGTTGGCCAGGATGGTCTCAAGCTCCTGACCGCAAGTGATCCGCCCGCCTCAGCCTCCCAAAGTGCTGGGATTACAGGCGTGAGCCACCAAGCCCTGCCTAACCATTTGTAAGTGTACAGTTCTGTGGCATTATGTACAGTCACAGTGTTGTGCAACCATCACCACCATCCTCTCCAGAACTCTCTTTCACCATCCCAGACGGAAACTTTCCCACTAAACAATAATAACCCATTCCTCCCTCCCCTCAGACCCTGGTAACAACAGTTTTTTCTGTCTCTATGAATCTGACAATTTTAGGGATCTCATATAAGTGGAATGGTCATACAGTATTCATCCTTATGTGTCTGGCGTATTTCACTTAGCATAAAGCCTTCAAGGTTCATCCAGGCACTGTGATTTGAAGAGCTGTGTTATTTCTTGCCAGCTCTGACACTGCAGAATGTCATATGGGAAGTGCAGTCCACTTGCCAGCATGACTCTTCCCAATCAGCTCCCTTCTAGGGAAGAAAAATAGTGGAAGTGCTTGCCTGTTATCTTTGCAGGGGGTGAGACAGGGTGTGGAGGGGAGGGGAGGGGAAGGGGTCTCTCCCAGGGAGAGTGGGCAAGTGACTTTCCCTGGCTGGAACATATGGACACATCACCACAATTAGTGTGTTTTCCAACAGTTGACCTTTTCAACAACCTGAAAAAGTATTGGGACTATCTAGACGCTTAAGCTTAGGGTGCCTATCAAACCTTCTGAGGATTGCTGAAACTAGAAAAAGGAGTTGAGAATTCAGTCCAACCCTCTGCTTTTTAGGAGGCCAGGAGAGGTGTGACTGAGAACATGGAGTTGATTGGTTACAAAGTCGTTACACTGTCCTGTGCTTTTTCTGTTGTTGTTTTTTCCCCCAGCTTTCCACACCTACTAGGGTGTTAGGCATATGGTGAAACTGGTGGGAGGTGAGGTAGGCAGACAACAGAACAGTGAAGAATGGCTGGTTTCAAGTGCCAAGTGCAGAGAAGGCAGGGTGAGTGGGTGGGAGGTGGAGAGCGCTGGGGATACTGTTTCTTGGTCATGTCTCAGATCACACAAAGAATCAAATAAGATTTTAGTTTCTCTATCAATACAGAGCTCTCTCTTAGGTCTCCATTTTGCATCCAGCAAAAGCAGCAGAACCCCCAGTTCACTATGGGGCCAGGGTGATTTAATAGAAAAACCCTCCCTTTTGAACAGCTCCTGCCCCTCAGTCCCAAGGTGCTTTCTTTGCTGGAGCAGAAGGTCTTGGAAATTTTAGGGAGCTACAATTGTGTTAGCCATTTTGTACCCAGAGCTGAATATCTGATCAAACATTTTACTGCAACCTGCTGGAGAAGAGGCCACGGATACCATCAGCTGTTCTCAGAAATGCACACTCCAGGGAGGAGTTGCTCAGCGCTGTTTTCTCTACATAGAAGATTGCAGGAAATGCCTCTCAGCTCCTACGTTTCTCCTACACAGATTCTCTAAAGCAGCTTCTGGGGTGTGGTCACTGCTTTTCTCTCCACTCCAATGGAGTGAGTGGGTAGGGAAATTTTTCCTCAGTATCATGGCTACAGCCAGGACAGCTTAGAAACCGTATTGCAGGTCCCAGGCACGGGGAAAGAAGCCAAACTGCAGAGGGCCAGGAAGCTCAGGGCCAGGTCTGGGCCCAGATTCTGGTGCAGTGTCCAATGACTTTATATTTATTTAAAGAGGAGAGCTGCTTGGTAACCAGGAGGCTGAAGCCTTCCTAAGCTGCAGAGCTCCCCGTCTGCCTGACTGCACAGGAATGATCTGGGTGTTACTCCCAGTGGCTGCGGCCCAGCTGTCACCGGAATGGGGATAGGGAAAGGGCTTCCTAATCCAGGGCTTCTGGCTACAGAGTTTAGAGCCAGGACCTTAAACTGCTAGGACTTTAAGTATCAGAAATTCTGAGAATCTTATTTTTCTCTTTCTGCACCCCAGCAGCCACCCGCATCAAAATGCCTCCCTTTCCTATTTGAAGGCAATACACATACGGTTGCAAAGGGAAGGTTCTGACTGCTGAGATGTAAATCCTAGCTCTTCCAATTGGTAGCTGCCTGACCTGGGCCAAGAGACTTAGCCTACATGAGCATTATGTAAGAGTGCCCATTTGTAAAATGGGAAAACATCTCATAAAATTATTGCAAAGATTAAGAAATGAAAAGGTAACACGAAATACTTAGCATAGTGCCTAGTACACAAGGCAAGTTCGATTAATTGTGCCAGAAAGAACCTTAATGTCTTGTTTATGAAATAGGATGAATGTAGCCTATTCCACTGGCGACCTGTGAGAAAGCTTTTGTTGCAGGAATGTAAGAAATTATTATTTTGCCGCTGCCGTTTCCTCCCCCATAATCTCCAAGAACATAAGAAATTAACTCTCCAAATCCCAGAATGACAGCTTTATGCCCCAAATTAGTCGACTTAATTTTTTTTCTGATTCGGATTTGGCCTTTTCCTCTCACCACCTCCTCAAACCCGGGGCCCCAAATCATCCGCGTCTTCTTGACCCCAGCCCCCACCGAATTAGGCTGACTTGGGACCCCAGCGCCAGCCTCCTCCTCGGGAAAGTGAGCAGGAAGAGACGCACTCGGGTGATCTCACCCTTTGGGACTGGGCGTTTTTCCGGCCGGGGCGCGCAGCATCCCCAGCCAGACTGCAGCGATACCCCCGCCCCGCCCTTCTCCGCAGTCCTGGAAGAGCTCCCAGGGCGGAGTGGTGCGATGCAGACGACTGTCCGCAGGGCGGGCGGTGGCGGGGCGCAAGCTGCGGGGAGGGAGGTGAGGCGGGAGCGTCTCTACCGCCAGGGCGTAGGCAGTGACCTCACTGCACCATCACCCCTCACCCCTTGCGCGCGCCCCATTTCCCCATCCTCCCGCGGCCCGCCCCTCGCTCACCTCTTCCCCCGCATTGTCGCTTCGGCTCCTTCCGGGATCGCTCGGCCCTTTCCGCCGGGCGGTCGGGCGGCGAGCCGGCGGGAGCACCGCCCCCTTTGCTCCGCCGGCGCGCTCCCCCACCCCTCGCGCAGCGCCGGGGCGCTTCCCCCGGCGCTCGCGCCCGCCCGCCGCGGGAGCGCGCGTAGCCGCTTATAAAAGAGGCGGGGCGCGCGCGTCGCCGCCACTACCCGCTGCGGAGTGAACGGTGTGGAGCGGAGGCCGCGGAGGCTCCTCGGTCCTTCAGCACCCCTCGGCCCGACGCACCCACGCCCCTCACCCCCCGAGAGCCGGTGAGAGGGGCAGCCGGGGAGCTCCGGGAGGGAGCGGGGCCCCGGGCAGCCGACCCCCGGGTGGGAGCTGGGCAGCTCTTCAGGCGGGGCGGGGCCGGCGCGCGGACAGGTGAGCCGGGCGGGCCGCGGGGCTGCCTCCATTCGGCTGAGTGGGGGAAGCCGCTGCCGCTGCTTTTGTGGCGCGTGGGCTGCGGAGGAGCAGCCGGGCCGAGGCTCGGCGCCGCCGCTGGAATGTCACTGACGGGGGGAGGGGGCGCGAGGCCGCCGGGTCCCTCCCAACCACCCCCAAGCCTGGCTGCGGCGCGGCCCTGCCCTGCCCCATCCGGCTGCGGCAGGTGGGTGGGGGCTCCCTCGTCGGGATCTTCGCCAGCCGCCTCCCTGCAGAACGCTCCCCGCACCGCCCCCGGTCCCTTCCCTCGGCCGGGAGCGACTTCTGCAGCTCGTTCTTCCGAATCGCACCAGCAATGCCGGCCAGCCGTAGAGGGAGGAAGAGCCCGGGGAGCCCGAGCATAGCGTAAACGGCTCTCTGACCTTAATTTCATCCTGCATGGCGAATCTCTGCCGTCTCTCTGAACGCAGAAGGGTCTGAGACTGGCCGTCTCCTTTTCTTTCCTTGTAATAAACATTTTTCTTTCTTCCTAGTTGTGATTTGCTTGTAAATAATAGGTAAATGCAGTGCTTGCATGGTATGTGGCTCAAATCAAATAACTTAATAGCTTAGCGTTCTTGTTTGTGTGTGTGTTTCCTGGGACTGGGTCTTTCGAGTCGAGATACAGTGTCAAAAATTCTACCATACCACTGTTGAATGATAGAACAGTCTTTTGTTTGAAAGCTGTCCCTGAGAATTTGATTAGACGCTTCCCCTAGAACATCGCTTTCAAAAGTCTCTGATGTACTAGAGTAAAATATATTTTAAATAAGCGCCTTGTTAAAAGTTGAATATGTTTTAAATGAAAAGCCTAAATAGCTCAGAAAGCTGGGTTGAGATGATGCTTGAACTGTTCCAACATCTAATCAGATCTCTTTTATATAATAGATCCTAAAATATTTAAGCCCTTTGTTCTGTCTTCATCATGTTATTTTAGAAAAACTTACCATCATGGCTGTTCGGGAAGAACAGGAGAGAGGCCATATGAAGTATTTTCATAATGTGTTGAGAAATTGCGTCGTCATAGCAATTGGCCTTAAGTAAAACAGAATGTATCAAAGATGGAAGGGTGGGGGTGTCTTGGAGCCAGGAAACAGAAAATCTTGGAAATAGCAGGAGGAACACTCAGCTATATGAAGCCATTGAGTCAAGGTTCCGACTCCTTAACTAGTCGTTTATTTTCCCTTTCATTGCAGCTAACTAATGTCTTAGATTTTGAAAGGTCAAATTGAATGTGCTGCGGAGGAAAAAAAAAGTGCTGCAGTAAAGGCCTCTGTGCAGGAAATTAACAATAAGCCTTTTTTAGTAACTGGGCCAATAATTACTCAAAGGGACCCTCAAAGTGTGTTAACTGTTATCCAGGGACCTTGATGGAGAGACTGGAAAGGAGGATTTTTGCTTCATCCTGGACAAGTGTGAAGCAGTTCTTATGGCAAACCATCAGCCTAGTAACTGATTCTCTGATATGCTTTGGTCTTGGCAGTGTGTTTTGTAGTCATCTAATAATTGGAGAAATCTGGTATGTCACAGGCTGCAGTGTAAGCCTGTCAAGCAATATGATGAAGAGGTGCACATGGGGAGAGCTGTTTTAAGTATGTCTTTTGGTTCCCTGGGTTAGAATTTTTTCTGCTTTTTCTTACCTGCCTTCATCCAAAGTTGGGGGTCAACTGCAGATCCTGAAAAGTGGATCTCAGGAATAGTCCCCCATGTCCTGTCACTGCTGAATCTACACTAAGAATGGACAAGTGTGTTCAAGGCTGGCCTGCCTTTGTAATCAGTCCTCCGTGGGCTATGCAGGGATCCCACTAGTTACGCACTCATCTGTTGCAGCATATCAGCTGCGGCTGTACTGTAGAAGAATGCAACGCCCTAGTGGCAAATGCTGACTCCAGGAATGCGGAGGAGGAGGAGGACTGCATAGCTCATCACTGGGGGCCACTTGACTGGAGCAGCTGTGCTGCAAACCATCACCTCTCTTCCACCTTTTTTGCATATTCCTCTTGTACCAATTTTGAACAGGAAATAGTATTTTGTAAAGTAAGTGTACTGGCAAACTAGGCCCAAGTCAGATCTTTGTGGCTTGAGTTCTACTTTGTGGCAATTTCATGAAGTCATGCTCTTTTATTGCTGAATGGAAGGGGATTTAGGAATCATCTTGTCCTGGGATCCTCAGGAGGAAGGCATGTTTAGTTTGAAAAAGTATATTCGGTATTATTACTTTAACAAGTGGGGAAATTGAGGCCCCAAGGAGAATGAGACTTGACCAGGGCAGCATATCTAGAAAGTAACTGCCAAGACCTGGGAACCTTGGTTCTCCTTCCACATTTTAAATCCCTTGTGGGATTTAGACGCTATACAGAATGTCAGAGAGAAGACACTGAAAAAATATCTGAAATTGGATTTTTAATCTGTATTCATATTTTTTAAATAATCTGTTTTCTTCATGATTTTGTTCCGTTTGCCCTTAGAAGCTTGTTATCTTGCTCTTCCCCCTCCCTCTTTAGACTCCACATTCCTCCATCATGTTGTCATCGTTTCGTAAACGCAGAGTCCAGGTATTTGACGAGCATGCAGAAAACGGGTTGCCTTTTTGGTTTTGCCTGGCTTGCAGTGAAGGCATATTCGTGTCAAAGAGGTTGAATGATCCAAAGAAAGGGGGAAAAAAACCCTGCCTGCATGACGTTTCTGTTAAACAAATTGGTTAGGATTTGTTTGGGGTTTTTTGGTGTTAAATTATCAGAAGTATTAGTAAATTTACTTGAAAATTTGCAAAGCCTTTTTTTTTTTTTTTTTTTTTTTAACCTCCCTCTCTTTCTCTTTAAGGCATGAATATATTAATTTCTTACCACCATTCTGGTGTTTGCATGTAGTGTTTGCTGACTTTTTATTGGTGGCTACTTGGTTTTTAAGAACCAAGGGACTAAACATATTATCCTAGATATTTGGAGAAAATAATCTGAAAATACATAGTAAAAATTGTGTTTTTAAAATTTGACAAATATTGTAAACTTGGGTTTGTTTCCTGTTGCATTGACTTCTTCCACCACAATTTCTATAATAGAGCTTACCTTTTCATGTTTAAAAAATAGCTCTCGGGCTGGGTGCGGTGGCTCATGCCTGTAATCCCAGCGCTTTGGGAGGCTAAGGTGGGTGGATCACTTGGTCAGGAGTTCAAGACCAGCCTGGCCAACATAGTGAAACCCCATCTCTACTAAAAATACAAAAAATTAGCCGGGTGTTGTGGTGGGCCCCTGTAATCCCAGCTACTTGGGAAGCTGAGGCAGGAGAATCGCTTTAACCGAGGAGTTGGAGGTTGCAATGAGCCGAGATTGCACCATTGCACTCCAGCCCAGGTGACAGTGCGAGACTCTGTCTCAAAAAAAAAAATTAAAAAACAGCTCTCTTTATATGTTTTCTTTGTGTACAGTCTTTGTTTTCTAAGTCGGACCTTTTTCACAAAAAAAAAATTTAGTATCTTGATATCCCAAAATAAAAAATATAAACATTGGAAATTTCTAGTGTTTATAGGTGATAAATCCAAGGCAGGCCTTTTTATAAATCAGATGAGTTATTTACTTAAATGAGGTTTATAAAAATGGGCCACATTATAACCATTTCCTGTTTTGAGTCATAGTAACAATAAGGAACTTAAATACCTCTCATCTGAATTTTGCAGGTTAAAAGGTAAGTAGCAGCAAGATAGTATTTGGGAAGCAATCAGAAGTAAGTTTTCTCAATATTGCTCTGCATTTCTGGATTTTGATGCAATGCAGTATGAATCTTTTGCTTTCTTAAAGCTAAGTCCCTGCTCACCTCTGCAAAATTGCGCTAACAAGTTGAAATGAATTAATCAGTTTGAAGGCTGACATGCTGATCCACAATCCTGATTGGAATGTGGTTTAAGCAAAAATATTTGTTGTTTTTATTTATGGTGTTCAGTCATCCTTTATGTATTATTGACCTCTCTGCTTACCATCAAATCTGCCACTAAAATCTGCAGCTAAGCTGGTTTTGAGTTAATTTTGTTTGATCTGAGAATCAACTGGTATACAATTTTATGAGTGCTAATCAATTCTTTGGTGGTTTGTTCTTAGGGAAGCCCTTCCACATCCATGGATATAGTTCTCTTGCTTTGCAAATCTGAAATTTGGTAATAGGCTGGCATCCTAAGCCACGGAAAAAAGACATTGTTGGTTCTGCACATTTGGGTTCTGACTAAGCAACAAAAGCAACTGATGAATGGTTTCTATGATCTTTTGCTTTGGGTGATGTTTATGAATTTTTCCATAACCAAATGACCAAACGACCCGTTCATCCTGTTAGTCCCTAAAAATCCCTTTCTTGCAAAACTGTATGTCTAGTGGTGTCCTGCCTGAGAATCAGAATTCATTTTGTAGTATTCCAAATGTCTCTTACATCCAGTGCATTCAACTTGCTGAAAGAATGGCAATCCCAATGCTTTGTTTTTAATAGAGACTCCTTTCAGCTTCACTATAATTTTTTTCTCTCTTTTGGGATTCCATAGAGAAACTGACTGCACTCACTGCAGGTGCCAGGTTTACAGAGTCCAGAGCATTTGACCTTTGGTTCGAAAATGTTTGTATCTGCAGTCTTTTGTGTTGCTTAACGCAGTGGGATTCCCACCCACTGCCTCTGCCTGTACAAGAAGATAGAGCTATATATCCCATAAATACCCCCCAATTTTTTTTATTTTTATACTCCCAAATTTTATGCCCCCAAATACCCCCAAATTTTTATTTGGGGAATGAAAATTCCCCAAATACCAAGAACTGCCTCAAACAGCTGTCTCTTGGCGTTCATCAATAAGACAAAGATATTCATGTCTAATCTATTTTGTAGGAATCCATTTTCAGTTGATACTGTGTATAAGTTTGTGTTTGATATCCTGGATCATTCTGAAGCATGCTGTATCTTTGGATTAAATTAGAAATTTCTTTTTTTTTTTTTTTTTTTTTTGAGACGGAGTCTCGCTCTGTCGCCCAGGCTGGAGTGCAGTGGCGCGATCTCGGCTCACTGCAAGCTCCGCCTCCCAGGTTCACGCCATTCTCCTGCCTCAGCCTCCCGAATAGCTGGGACTACAGGTGCCCGCCACCACGCCCGGCTAATTTTTTGTATTTTTAGTAGAGACGGGGTTTCACCGTGTTAGCCAGGATGGTCTCAATCTCCTGACCTCGTGATCCATCTGCCTCAGCCTCCCAAAGTGCTGGGATTACAGGCGTGAGCCACCGCGCCCAGCTGTATATTAGAAATTTCTAGCCAAGATTCATATATTCAGACCCCACTCTTCTTCCGAGATCTGGTAGTATTGTAAGAATGCTGACAAGTTCATTTTATTCATTTTATTTATTACAATAGAGGACATAGTTGTAATTCCTGCTTTATCCCCCTGAGATTCGCATTACTTGCTGAATGATGCAGCTAACGTTTGACTGCTGCGTTGCAGCATTTATAAATAGCCTACGTCTTCAGTCTCCTCTAATAATATTTTGCAAATATATACCTTTTTTTTTAAGTTACCTTAAATGGGAAGTTGTCCTTAAACATATAGAGAATATACTTAGCACTTCATTTCCCCTCCTTCAGTCTCTATGTGAACAGACTTGATTGGCAAAATCAGAGACAGTTGGCTCCTTTGAGATAAGCAGTCAGTTGATTGCATTCCTAGGAAGTCGTCTCTGTTGTGGTTTTTAGGCAGTTAGTGGAACTGATAGATAGGCTGGTAAGATTGGAGTTTGTTTTTTAATGGCACGTTTCCCAGATTTTTCCTTTCTGGTGCTCTCAAAAGGCGTTAATCCCATATGGCTGGGAACAGCCTGGAACGTTCTCTGTGAAGTCGGCCTTATCAGTCTGCTGCATATGCCAGGGAAGGGGTGGGGTGCTTGCAGCATGCAGCCTCGGTTGTGGAAGGAATGTGGCACGCCCAGGCCGAGCTGAGCTGACATTTCAGTAACTGACAGTTTCGGGTGAGAGGCTGTAGCACCTTTGGATGGCAGGAATTCTTAATGATATTTATGAGAATTTTCCTGTGTTTAATGTAGTCTGCAGAAATGACCCTTTTAGGAGCAAAAAGAAACTGGAACTCGTGTAGATAAACAAGAGACAGCTCCCTGTCAGGTTAAGAGGGGGGAAACTCTCACTAACCCATAATGTTTTTTGGTGTCTCCTGTAATTGCACAAATGAAAATTCTGAATGCTGACTGCAGTGGGAGCACATTGGTGACTTTCAGATACCCAGC
This sequence comes from Homo sapiens, assembly GCF_000001405.40. NCBI lineage: Eukaryota > Metazoa > Chordata > Mammalia > Primates > Hominidae > Homo > Homo sapiens. The sequence continues at coordinate 128,559,102 of NC_000009.12, forward strand.
TCCCCAGAGACAGCCTGTTGTGGCTTGGCAGACCTCCCACCTACTGACGTCAGCTGATCTACTGCAGGAAAGAAAAGTCCATTATTGCCTGACCAAAGCACTTGGTATAGAATTGACTCGTTCTACTTCACTGGGGTGACAAAGAGGGCCTTTTAGGTTGGTTAATTTCAGCAGGGCCTTGCTGAACTGTCTCTCTGGATTGGCAGGATCAAATCAGCAAGCTGGGCCCAAGCAGGGGGACTTGCTCAGATGGAACCTTTGCGATATTATGATGGAGATTTTCTTATCATAAAGGGCTGTTCCCAAATGTGATTTAATTTCTGTAGCAGGTAAAGGATTTTAGAAATGCAGTGACTCCTGTGATAGGAGGCAGAACAGCACCATACACTCGAATCCTGGAGACTGCCATCTCTTTCAGGAGCTCGTGTGCAGTGTCGTTATTGTTCCATGTGTAACTATGCCTTCCTTGGAAAATTTCTTTACAAGAAAATTTTGGAAGCAAACAAATTAGATGCATAATTTCTCAATGTTTTTCCATCTTAACTGTTTCCTGAGGGTTGAGAACAAAGGAAATATATAAATAAATAAGTCTAACCCTAATTGTTTACCAAGACTCAATCTTAAATAATTTTGATTTTTTTTTTTTTTGAGACGGACTCTTGCTTTTTCGTCGCCCAGGCTAGAGTGCAGTGGTGCGATCTTGGCTCACTGCAACCTCTGCCTCCCGGGTTCAAGCGATTCTCCTGTCTCAGCCTCCCAGGTAGCTGGGACTACAGGCGTGCGCCACTATGCTTGGCTACTTTTTGTATTGTTAGTAGAGATGGGGTTTCACCATGTTGGCCAGGCTGGTTTCAAACTCCTGACCTCAGGTGATCCACCCGCCTTGGCCTCCCAAAGTGCTGGGATTACAGGTGTGAGCCACCCTGCCTGGCCGATAATTTTGATTTTTAAGAAATGATTAATACATCCACATCCACCTCACCTTTTTTTTTTTTTTTAAGAGACAGAGTCTCGCTCTGTCGCCCAGGCTGGAGTGCAAAGGCGTGATCTTGGCTCACTGCAACCTCAGCCTCCCGGGTTCTGGCAATTCTCCTGCCTCAGCCTCCCAAGTAGCTGGGATTACAGGCGCACGCCGCCACACCTGGCTAATTTTTTGTATTTTAATAGAGACGAGGTTCCACCGTGTTGCCCAGGCTTGTCTCGAACTCCTGAGCTAAGGCAATCCACCCCCTTCAGCCTTCCAAAATGCTAGGATTACAGGTGTAAGCCACCGTGCCCGCCTTTTTTTTTTTTTTTTGACACGGAGTCTAGCTCTGTCACCCAGGCTGGAGTGCAGGGGCTTGATCTCAGCTCACTGCAAACTCCGCCTCCCAGGCTCAAGGGATTCTCCAGCCCCAGCCTCCTGAGTAGATGGGACTACAGGCATGTGCCACCACACCCAGCTAATTTTGGTATTTTTAGTAGAGACAGAATTTTATCACGTTGGCCAGGCTGTTCTCAAACTCCTGACCTCAGGTGATCTGCCCGCCTCGCCTCCCAAAGTATTGGGATTACAGGTGTGAGCCACTGTGTCTGCCTCACTGTTTTTTCACTCCAAAGTGCAGATGTGAAAAGGAACTAATAAAGAGGGAGTGAAGGCCGGGTGCTGTGGCTCACGTCTGTAATCCCAGCACTTTGGGAGGCTGAGGTGGGTGGATCACCTGAGGTCAGTTCGAGACCAGTCTGGCCAATATGGTGAAACCCAATCTCTACAAAAGTACAAAAATTAGTCGCGTGTGGTGGCGGGTGCCTGTAATCCCAGCTACTGGGGAGGCTGAGGCAGGAGAGTCACTTGAACCTGGGAGGCGGATGTTGCTGTGAACCCAGATAGCATCACTGCACTCCAGCCTGGGCAACAGAGCAAGACCCCATCTCAAAAAAAAAAAAAAAAAAAAGAAGTGAAAGGAACTAATAAATAACCAAACAGCCATCAATAAATAATATGTCGGCCAGGCACGGTGGTTCACGCCTGTAATCCCAGCACTTTGGGAGGCCGAGGCGGGCGGACCACAAGGTCGAGATCAAGATCATCCTGGCCAACATAGTGAAAGCCTGTCTCTTAAAAAGAAGAGAAATACAAAAATTAGCTGGGCGTGGTGGTTTGTGATTGTAGTCCCAGCTACTCGGGAGGCTGAGGCAGGAGAATTGCTTGACCCTGGAGGCGGAGGTTGCAGTGAGTCAAGATCGCACCACTGCAATCCAGCCTGGCGACAGAGCAAGACTCCATCTCAAAAAAAAAAAGGCCAGGCGCGGTGGCTCACGCCTGTAATCCCAGCTCTTTTGGAGGCCGAGGCAGGCAGATCACGAGGTCAAGAGATCGAGACCATCCTGGCTAATATGGTGAAACCCCATCTCTGCTAAAAATACAAAAAATTAGCCGGGCGAGGTGGTGGATGCTTGTAGTCCCAGCTAGTCGGGAGGCTGAGGCAGGAGAATGGCATGAACCGGGGAGGCGGAGCTTGCAGTGAGCCGAAATTGCACCACTGCACTCCAGCCTGGGCAACAGAGCGAGACTCCGTCTCAAAAAAAAAAAAAAAAAAAAAAAAAAGAATATGTCAATATGTCAACTCTAATCATGTTAAGAATCACTGTGTCTATTGTGCCATATTCTGGGAACCGGAGGATCCCAGGTCATCCTGGCCTTTGCAACTTGCTTACTAAATTACCTGTCTCCCAACTACTTAATTATAAAACGATGGCAGTTTCTTTATTTCCAAGCTCTGAATATAATTGGATCTATAATATGTGCCAAGTCCTGAGTTCTGTGCCCAGAGAGTAAGAGTAAAATATGGTCTTCTTTAGAGTTCCTTAAAGGACTTATGAATGTGGTAGGGAGAACACAATAATTTCATGGCAGAATGTGGCAGTGTTATAAGATGAATGATAGAGGTGGGTGGTCAGGGAGTGGAGACTTCTGATTCAGAAAGACTTCATAGAGGACGAGGCATTTGCTTTGGACTCAGAGATCTGTATGATTTGTTTTTTATATTTTTTATTTTTTTGACAGGCTGGAGTGCAGTGACGCGATCTGGGCTCATCACAACCTCCGCCTCTCAGGTTCAAGCGATTCTTCTGCCTCAGCCTCCCGAGTAGCTGGGGCTACAGGCGCGTGCCACCACACCCGGCTAATTTTTGTATTTTTAGTAGAGATGTGGTTTCACCATGTTGGCCAGGCTGGTCTGGAGCTCATGACCTTGTGATCCACCTGCCTCGGCTTCCCAAAGTGCTGGGATTACAGGCGTGAGCCACCGCGCCCAGCCGAGATCTGTATGATATTAGATGGTAGGGTTGGGAGTGGGAGAGGAGAGTGCACTCCTGGGAAAGGGAACTTTTTGAGCTTTCAAATGGACCCTGTCCAGGACCTGTAATTGGTGTTGGTGAGGGAGCTTGACATGAGATACGGCTGGAGGAGACAACTGGAAGGTGACTGAGTGAAGTCTTGTTTACCTTGTAGTAAATGTGATTATAGTGATCCTTGTCAGGGTCCTCATCAGAAATCAGCCTTCTCCAAAATAGGCTGACAGACTTAGGGCAGCAGTGTAAACTATGACTGCCTGTTATCATTAAATATTACAAAACTTTGGGAGGCCAAGGTGGGCGGATCACGAGGTCAGGAGATCGAGACCATCCTGGCTAGCACGGTGAAACGCCATCTCTACTAAAAAATAGAAAATATTAGCCGGGCGTGATGGCAGGCGCCTGTGGTCCCAGCTACTCAGGAGGCTGAGGCAGGAGAATGGCGTGAACCCAGGAGGTGGAGCTTGCAGTGAGCCGAGATCACGCCACTGCACTCCAGCCTGGGCGACAGAGTGAGACTCCGTCTAAAAAAAAATATATATATACATGTATGTGTATATATATATATATATATATATATATATATATATGTATATATTTTATTACAAAAACTGCTCTGAGCAGACATTAAGCTTTTCAAGGTCACTCCCAGTTTTTGGTTTTAAGGACTTGACGTCTGTTTTAAGAATAGAAAATAGGCCAGTGCAGTGGCTCATGCTTGTAATCCCAGCACTTTGGGAGACTGAGGCATGTGTATCACTTGAGTCCAGGAGTTCGAGACTAGCCTGGGCAACATGGTGAAACCACACCTGTACAAAAAATATAAAAATTATCCAGGTGTGCTGGCACCTGCCTGTACTCCTAGCTACTCAGGAGGCTGAGGCGGGAGGATCGCTGGAGCCCAGGAGGCAAGGTTGCAGTGAGTTGAGATCGTATCACTGCACTCTAGCCTGGGCAACAGAGTGAGACCCTGCCAAAAAACAAAAAACAAAAAAACGCCACTTTCTCAGAGTATACTGCCATGTGGTCAATCCAAGATTGGTAATTCAGATTTAGTCATTAGGTTGACACCTAGTTGTGTAGCTTTAGTCAGCACATTCTTTATTTGCCATTCTTGTCATCAGTCTAGCACTTAACTGGATAGAATTCCAATTTTACAATATGCAAACTGAAAGATTCGTTATGGAGCTCTCTCCCTACCCCTTACAAATGAATTCAGGTCTGCTGCACAGCATCTGCAACATTCAGCATGGACTTGATCATTTATTCAACCATTTCTTTTTTTTTTTTTTTTTTGAGACAGGGTCTCATTGTGTCACCCAGGCTGGAGTACAGTAGTGTGACTACGGGCGCATGCCACCATGCCTGGATAATTTTTTTTTTAGAGCCAGGGTTTAGCCATATTACCTAGGCTGTTCTCGAACTTCTGGGCTCAAGCAATCCGCCCACCTCAGCCTCCCAAAGTGCTGGGATTGCAGATGTGAGCCATGGCGCCCGGCCTATTCAACCAACATTTCTTGATGACCTCTGTATGCTAGAAATCAGGGATACAGGACCGGACATGGTGGCTTACACCTGTAATCTTAGCACTTTGGAAGACCGGAGGTGGGAGGATCATTTGAGCCCAGGAGTTCAAGACCAGCCTAGGCAACCTATCAAAACCCTGTCTCTACAAAAAAAATTTAAAAATTAGCCAGTCATGGCTGTGCGTGGTGGCTCACGCCTGTAATCTTAGCACTTTGGGAGGCCAAGGCGGGTGGATCACGAGGTCAGGAGTTCGAGACCAGCCTGGCCAACATGGTGAAACCCCGTCTCTACTAAAAATACAAAAATTAGCTAGGCACCATGATGGGCGCCTGTAATCCCAGCTACTTGGGAGGCTGAGGCAGGAGAATTGCTTGAACCCGGGATGCAGAGGTTTCAATGAGCCAAGATCATGCCACTGCACTCTAGCCTGGGTGACAGAGCAAGAGTCCTTCTCAGAAAAAAAAAAAAAATTAGCCAGTCATGGTGGTGTGCACCCATAGTCACAGCAAGTGGGAGGCTGAGGTGGAAGCATCACTTGAACCAGGGAGGTCGAGGTTGCAGTGAGCCGTGACTGCACTCCAGCCTGGGCAGCAAAATAAGGTCCTGTCTCAAAAACAAATAAATAAATAAATAAAAATCTGGTATACAAATATTAGGTTGCTCGGTGTAATCATACCTTAGGATGTATGTACAATTGCTTTGCAAATCTATAGAGAAGTGTGATTACGTCTGAGAAGGAGGGAAGGAAGGAACATTGGGTACAGTTTAGTAAAGAGTCAGGATCCTGCAGTTTACCCATTTCAGCTGGGTGTTGAGATATAAATAAATAAGCGCTATCTAGGCAAAGAAGAGTCATAGGACATTCTAAACAAAGGAAGCATGTGCACATGGCTTGGAGTTTTAAAGGGAATTACACATTTTAGAGCAGAAAGAATACTTCTATCCGCCACAAGGGTAGGGGTCACGGGTGAGAGATAATACCAGGCAGGCATGTTGGGCCAGATTGTGAAGGTCCTGCTCAAGAGGTGGGTTCTTTCTTCTGTCTGAAGGAAGCCATAGGTCGGGGGCAGTGGCTCACACCTGTAATTCCAGCCCTTTGGGAGGCTGAGGCAGGCAGATCACGAGGTCAAGAGATCGAGACCATCCTGGCCAACATGGTGAAACCCCATCTCTACGAAAAATACAAAAATTAGCTGGGCGTGGTGGTGCAGGCCTGTAGTCCCCGCTACTCGGGAGGCTGAGGCAGGAGAATCACTTGAACCCTGAAGGCAGAGGGCAGTGAGCTGAGATCATGCCATTGCACTCCAGCCTGGTGACTGAGCGAGACTCCGTCTCAAACAAAAAACAAAAAAAAGCCATAAAAGATTTGGGAGTGGCATGGCGAAGAATGTTTCCTTTTATAGTATAAAACATTTTGGACTGTGGAAAAACAATAATACAACAAAAATACATGGTTGATATGTGGAGAATAATTTAAAGGAATGGTGATATGACTAAAATCAGCTCATCTACACTTCTCCAGGAAGGTGGTCTCTTAGAAAGGCAATCTTCAGATCTGATCAGGCACAGACAGTGCCTTCCTACCACCAATGAGAACTGCTTGAATCCCTACAGAGCTGGGGCACTAGCTAGAAACTCTGACATCAGCCATCTCCTTCTGTTTACCTGCTAGGTGGATGTGGGGCAGCACTCTTGACAGGTTTCATTCCTAACTCTTAGCCTACTCACCCTTTTCTTTCTGTCTTGGGATAGACGACAGGATAAAGGAAAGAACTCCCAGATGTTTCCAGGGTAACACAATTTTATACCTTTTATTATACATTGTAGAACAATAGCTGGAAGGGACCAGCAGGCTTATCTGTTCTGCTTCCTTAGTGAACTCAAAAACCTCTCTATAGGCTGTAATTTTGAAGTTCGAAGAGACTTGAGAGCACGTCGTTTTTCCTGACATTTTTAGTCACTTTAGGAAATTGAGGCATGGAGAGGGAAGGTGGCTAGTGTGAGGTCACATGTTGCTGACAAATTCAGAAGCTTTTTGGCGTTAATCTGTATCTGTTTCCTTCTGTGTTCCTTAATTAGTTAGAGGATAAAATGGCATATTCTTTGTTTTCGGTTTTTGTTTTGTTTTGTCACCCAGGGCGGAGCGCAGTGGTGCAATGATGGCTCACTGCAGTCTTGAACTCCTGGGCTCAGGTGATCCTCCTGCCTTAGCCTCCTGAGTAGCTGGTACCATAGGCACACACCACCATGCCCAGCTATTTTTTTGTATTTTTAGTAGAGACGGTGTTTCACCTTGTTGCCCAGCTGCTCTCGAACTCCTGGAGTCAAGCAGTCTGCCACTTTGGCCTCCCAAAGTGTTGGGATTACAAGTGTGCGCCACCGCACCCCCTGCTTGAAAGGACTTCTGAATGGACTTAGCAGTGATTATTTGAATACCACAGTTGCTGTTTCCTCTGAATCCTTGAAGCCTTTGTAGAATTGACAGTACAAACCATAGTTCTCCCATTCACAGTTTTCATTTGGTTTCCTTGCCGTGTGTGGGTTAGGCATCTTCTGAGGGCCCTATGTAGGTAGGTGTTGCAGGGGAATGGATGGCCGTTTTTAATAAAGAAATAGGATCTGGGCTTCATTGTTCCTAAGAAGGGGCTGTCTTCTCAATTCATTTGTCTCCTGGGTTTATCTGATAATTATTTCTTTCCTTCAGAGAGGCTAATTACTTTTCATCTATTTTGGTGCCTATTGGTACTTATCTCAGCGCATTTTGTCATTTCAGAAAATGGACCCAAGTGGGGTCAAAGTGCTGGAAACAGCAGAGGACATCCAGGAGAGGCGGCAGCAGGTCCTAGACCGATACCACCGCTTCAAGGAACTCTCAACCCTTAGGCGTCAGAAGCTGGAAGATTCCTATCGATTCCAGTTCTTTCAAAGAGATGCTGAAGAGCTGGAGAAATGGATACAGGAAAAACTTCAGATTGCATCTGATGAGAATTATAAAGACCCAACCAACTTGCAGGTACGTCTGATCTCCTGGGATTCCTGCCAAAATTCAAGAGCCCAAATGTTCTTACCCAAAAATCAGACGAGGAAAGTTACTTAATTATGACCTTGAGAGATTGGACAAGAAGAATATAATAAGGAAGGACAAACTCATTGTTTTCCTGTATTAGTGAGGGTGAATGTGGAATCTTAGAGGTATTAATTGTCTTTTCTGGATGCTTTAAACTGATGGTTCTCAAACCTCTGCCTTGATACTACTGGTGAGCTTTAAACATTTTTCAGGGAAGTTCTGGGTTAATCTCTTGGAATGAGGTTTTTTGTTTTGTTTTGTTTTGTTTTTGTTTTTTGAGGCAGAGTTGCGCTCATGTCGCCCAGGCTGGAGTGCAATGGTGTGATCTTGGCTTACTGCAACCTCCACCTCCCAGGTTCGAGTGATTCTCCAGCCTCAGCCTCCCAGGTTGCTGGGATTACAGGCGCCTGCCACTGTGCCCAGCTAATTTTTGTATTTTTAGTAGAGATAGGGTTTTGCCATGTTGGCCAGGCTGGTCTTGAACTGACCTCAGGTGATCCACCCACCTTGGCCTCCCAAAGTGCTGGGATTACAGGCGTGAGCCACCACACCTGGCCTGGAATGAGTTTTTGAGGAAGGCATAATAGTGATGTTGCTGGCAAAAATTTATAGTTATTCTGGAGTCAGATATCAAAGAATAAGTACTTAAAGTTATGAGTCCCTTTCAGAGACTTGGTAAATCTTATCAAAAGCAAAGCCTGAATCTTATGGTACGTAAATTATATATTTAAAACTTTTTTTTTTTTGAGACGGAGTTTTGCTCTTATTGCCCAAGTTGGAGTGCAATGGTGCAATCTCAGCTCACTGCAACCTCTGCCTCCCAGATTCAAGTGATTCTCCTGCCTCAGCCTCCCGAGTAGCTGGGAATGTAGGCACGCGACACCACGCCCAGCTAATTTTTTGTATCTTTAGTAGAAACAGGATTTCATCATGTTTGCCAGGCTGGTTTCGAACTCCTGACCTCAGGTGATCTGCCTGCCTCAGCCTCCCAAAGTGCTGGGATTACAGGCGTGAGCCAATGCACTCGGCCAAAACTTTTTTTATAAAAAGGGAAAGCCTTTCTTCTCACTTATTTCAGTGAAAGATTTTTAAAGAAAATTGTTTCGGTAGCAAGTGGAACAGTAGTTGGGCCCATGGATTTTTTAACTATAAAAAATTGATTACAGTAACCTAAGAAGAGAATGAAGAACACTGCTTTAGGTACAATCCCTGCCTGGCAGGCCCCTTCCCATCTTAGTATTTGATGAAAAAGAGGTATTGAGAAATGGAGTGTAGGCAGGGTCAAAGAGTCTGGCCTCTAAAGCAAGTGAAAGAAAGTCTCATGTGTGAGTGAATATGGATGGATTTTTCAAGAGTAAGCACTGAATGTTGAGAAAACTGTTGGTATGGTTCTGTATTTCTAGAAGGGACTGGATGTTCACATAAAGGCTAATTTTCTGATAGCAAAAACAAAAAATTATTAATAGGATATTTTGTAGCATCTTCCATTGACAATGTTAGTTCTCAATGGTGAGTGAGGACCATTGATGGCCCTCGCTGGCCAGGCTTTCAGAGGACCAGGAGAAATGCAGTCAGAGTATTTGAGGAATTGAGCAGGTAAGAGAATGGGCAAGGTGCCAAATGATGTATCCCTAACTAGAGGGAGCAGGATTGAGGAGGGGAGGAACACGGGGAACAGCGGGGACAAAATGCTGATGCTGTGTGGTTGCGTCTGAGGCTCACTTCAAGGTCCGCCAACAGGGAAAGCTTCAGAAGCATCAAGCATTTGAAGCTGAAGTGCAGGCCAACTCAGGAGCCATTGTTAAGCTGGATGAAACTGGAAACCTGATGATCTCAGAAGGGCATTTTGCATCTGAAACCATACGGGTGAGTATGAGTAGCTCGTGGAGTGGATGGCTTCATCTGGGTGGAGCATTGTAGATTCATGCATACATGTCAGTTTGGGTTCCCAAAAAGATAGACTTTTCCAGCTTTTAAAAGAATTTATGAAGTCTCCTTAAGAAGTTACCCGAATCCTGCCTTTGTAATATGACAGCATGAATGCAAGCGTTTGTATACTCAGTGAGGAAATTAATATTCCTTTTGCAGAGCAAATTAGAATGTGATTATACTTTAAAGAAAACTGTGAATTTAACATTTATAAGTGGCAGTGAGATGGCAGAGCATATTAGTGAAATTGGCAAATTTAAGGACTCAGATGCAAAGATAAATAGAAACAAGCACAGACACTATAAAGAAGGTTATCTGTGGGAAAGCTTGCTGTCTTGAATCTTGGCTTGCCCTGGGAGGGGTTTACGTCTAGGCAGCAAGCCTGTTAAAGCTCCAGCTCTAAGGAATGATGTGTGGCACCTATTGGTCAATGACCATGGTGATGGGACTGACTTTGAGGCAGGAGTCCTGGAACTCTTTGGTCTGGCTGATTTTAGTGCGAGTTTATTGGAGCTGAGGTAGTAATTGATCTTTCTCTGCTTCGTTTCACATATCTAGTATGAAGATATTAAGGGAAAACAAACCTCTTGACAGTGAGGTGTGCACGTTGAGTTTCTTATAACTGGATGTACTTATCTATCTTTGATATACATCATGTCTAGCTGTGTGTTCTCTTTGGTTCTTTGTCATCCAAAGCCACATTGCATTGAGGCCCAGCCTTTTCTAGTCTTTTACCTGTCAAAGCAGTCCTGAAGATTTAAATGAAAGCTGCACCCTTAAGCCCCAGCTAGAACTGTTTTGTCTCCTACTCTTCCTTGATAACTGTGTGGAGGTTTCGTTCACTGAGGATCCAGTCTACTCATTTTCAACAATAAATGTTTGTTGTCTCACGTTTGCTTGGCAATACTCTACAGTCTCATATTAAGGACTTACAATTAGCCCTAAGATGTATGATGAATAATTATTAACTATTACTAATAATGATGATTGTAAATAGGAAATAAAAGTGAATTCCAAATGTCATATGACTAATAACATTTAACCCATTTGGGCAATGTAATATGTGTTTGCAATTAAATACAGATATTTATCTTCCCATCTTCACACTATTTTATATACAGTCTTAGAGTAAATGAAATCAGTCTGCGTTATTATTTCCTTGATAGAAGTTGTTTTCCCAGAGTGAATGAGGCACCTCTGTAGTAGAATATGTAACCAGCTTACAGATGGGGAACATTGGACAGAGATCAAGTGTTTGGCTTCAGTAATTAAGGCGGAAGGGAGGAGGACCTAAAGCTGACTTTATTCATGTCTATTAGTACCCTCTGCCCTGTTTAGACAGCTTATATATATATATATATATATATATATTTTTTTTTTTTTTTTTTTTTTTTGAGACGAAGTTTTGCTCTTGTTGCCCAAGCTGGAGCAGAATGGCAAGATCTCAGCTCACTGCAACCTCCACCTCCTGGGTTCAAGCAATTCTCCTGCCTCAGCCTCCTAACTAGCTGGGATTACAGGCGCCCACCACCATGCCCGGCTAATTTTTGTATATTTAGTAGAGATGGGGTTTCATCATGTTGACCAGGCTGGTCTTGAACTTCTGACCTCAGGTGATCCACCTGCCTCAGCCTCCCGAAGTGCTGGGATTACAGGCTTGAGCCACCGTGCCCAGCCCAGATGGCTTATTTATTTATTTATTTATTTATTTTTGAGATGGAGTTTTGCTCTTGTTGCCCCGGCTGGAGTGGAATGGCACGATCCCGGCTCACTGCAACCTCCACCTCCCAGTTTCAAGTGATTCTCCTGCCTCAGCCTCCCGAGTAGCTAGGATTACAGGCATGCGCTGTGCCACCACAGCCAGCTAATTTTGTATTTTTAGTAGAGACAGGGTTTCTCCATGTTAGTCAAGCTGGTCTCAAACTCCCAACCTCAGGTGATCTGCCCGCCTTGGCCTCCCAAAGTGCTGCGATTACAGGCATGAGCCGCCGCTCCTGGCCTAGATAGCTTATTAAAGCAACATTAACAATACTGTTAACTGGCCGGGCATGGGGCTCACACTTGTAATCCCAGAACTTTGGGAGGCCAAGGCTGAGGCAAGAGGATCACTTGAGCTCAGGAGTTCAAAACCAGCCTGGGCAACATAGTGAGACCTCGTCTCTACAAAAAAAATTTAAAAATTAGTGGGGCGTGGTGGTGCACACCTGTAGCCCCAGCTACTGGGGAGGCTGAGGTGGGAGGATTGCTTGATCCTGGGAGGTCAAGGCTGCAGTGAGCCATGATTGCACCCCTGGAGTCTAGCCTAGGCAACAGAGCAAGACTGGGAAAAAGAAAAAAAAAAAGGCCAGGCACAGTGGCTCATGCCTGTAATCCTAGCACTTTGGGAGGCTGAGATGGGCGGATCATCTGAGGTCAGGAGTTCAAGACCAGCCTGGCTAACATGGTAAAACCCCGTTTCTACCAAAATACAAAAAATTAGCCAAGCGTGGTGTTGCGTGCCTGTAATCCCAGCTAGTTGGGAGGCTGAAGCAGGAGAATTGCTTGAACTCAGGAGGCGGAGGTTGAAGTGAGCCGAGATCCTGCCATTGCACTCTGGCTTGGGCAACAAGAGCGAAATTCTGTCTGAAAAAAGTAAAAAAATAAAATAAAATTTAAAAAACCTATTAAATATAGTTTGTTGAGTAGGTATTAGGAGCTATTTATGTACAGTTACTTTGCTAACCTCTGATCTTCACAGTAAGTGTGCAAGGTGGCCATTATTTCCCTATTATGTGAGAGTAGAAACTGAGTCTCAGAGAATTTGAGTAACTTGCCCAAAGTCACACAGTTGATAGATGACTGAACTGGAATTTCCTCTATCCCCTTCTTTGTCCAGTCACCACTATTTGTTTTATTTTAATTTATTATTATTTTTGAGACAGGGTCTTGCTGTGTCACCCATGCTGGAGTGCAGTGGCACAATCTCAGCTAACTGCAACCTCCTTCCACCAGGCTCAAGTGGTTCACCCACCTCAGCCTCCCGAGTAGCCGGCACCACAGGAACGCACAAGCACACTGAGCTATTTTTTTTGTATTTTTAGTAGAGATAGGGATCTTGCCATGTTGCCCAGGCTGGTCTTGAACTCCGGAGCTCAAGCAATCCGCCTGCCTCGGCCTCCCAAAGTGCTGGGATTACAGGCGTGAGCCACTGCACCCAGCCTGTGTGCTTTATTTTTCCAACCTGTACTTCATTCCTGTCTTCTTTGCTTAATGTTTCCACCATCTGCTTCTCTGAAGGCTCCTGTTGCTTGCTTATGTCCCTACTGAGAAATCCACCTGAGTCAGAACCAGGCTTGCTTGTCCACCCCGTCAGCTTTCCACATGTTTATGAAGTGCACCTGCCTCCCTGCCCACTCACGCTCTCAAATAATAGTAAGCCTGTGAAGCCAGACTCTCTCTAACCTGCAGTATTTACAAGATCAGACACATCAGCAATGGGACAATGGTTCCAGTACTGGGACAGGCCTTGCCCTAGTTCTTTCTTGAGGGTGTAAAAATGAAATATGTGAGATGGACAATTGACTTGAATGTGAGAGGATTTTCTCTAGTCTTCTGTGGCCTCATTTTTAATTTGAGCAGGAGCTCTCATTTAATCTTTTACTTTCATGCTCACAGTTACTATGGTGATCTTGGCTTGGTCATTTATTTGGTCCCCTAACTCAGTACCTTAGTTTGGCAGAAAGTGGTAGCAGAGGAAGGTGGGTGGCATGTGAGGGCATGTCTGTGTCCTGGATAACCTGTCTGTCACTGGTTTAGACTTTCACACCATACCGGACAGCGTGGCGCCCCATAGTCACCGCCACCCACATCGGGTCCCACATCCGAGTAGGTGGAGTATTGACTTGGTTGCCTTTTCCCCCTTGCTTTGGAGTGCCTTTCACTTCTTTCTCAGTGGTGGGGTCACAGTTTTGCCAACAGTGGTGGAAGTGAATTGTGTGAGCATGTATTCCTCTGCTGCTTTCTCCTTTCAAGTAAAACATCCACACTTGTTTCTAAGAGAATCCACCCATGTTGACTGTCACATGGTTTTCAGGTTTTCATTTTGCTAGGAGTGACATCTCAATCATGGGTGGATCCCAGACTTCTTTTCTGTTAGTGTTTAAACCGCTTTGTTTGTTTTACTTATGTCTGTCAGTGTTGTACAGAAACTCCCAGTATCTTGGGTAGGCATAATCAAGGCATTGAGGTTGGATTGGAATACCAGAATGCATCATCTAAGCTTGAATTGATTACTAATTTCCTCCAATTCTTGATAAGTCCTTACTGGGCCTGTGTTATGAGAACCCAAAGATGCTGGGAAGTGAATACGTTTGACCCTGTGGCTGCCACTTGGGTGAAGTTTGGAATAAACCTCACTTGAGATGTACCACAAACTGTCTTTTCACAGAAGGTCCAAAGTTTTTTCTATCAGGGATCCTTTTTGATAGCTGATGACTTTTCAGGACCCCATCTTTTCTACTTTTTTATTTTTCCCGAGATGGATTCTTGTTCTGTTGCCCAAAGCTGGAGTTCAATGGCACAATCTTGGCTCACTGCAACCTCCACCTCCCAGGTTCAAGCAATTCTCCTGCCTCAGCCTCCCGAGTAGCTGGGATTACAGGTGTGTGCCACCATGCCCGGCTAATTTATGTATTTTTAGTAGAGACGGGTTTCACCATGTTGGCCAGGCTGGTCTCGAACTCCCGACCTCCTGATCTGCCCACCTCAGCCTTCCAAAGTGCTGGGATTACAGGAGTGAGCCACTGCGCCCAGCCCTTTTCTACTTTTTTTTTGAGACGGAGTCTCGCTCTGTCGCCCAGACTGAAGCACAGTGGCACAATCATGGCTCACTGCAAGCTCCAACTCCCTGGGGTCAAGTGATTCTCCTGCCTCAGCCTTCTGAGTAGCTGGGATTACAGGTGTGCGCCCCCATACCCGGCTCATTTTTGTACTTTTAGTAGAGATGGGGTTTCACCATGCTGGCCAGACTGGTCTTGAACTCCTGACCTCGTGCTCTGCCCGCCTCGGCCTCCCAAAGTGCTGGAATTACAGGCATGAGCCGCTGCACCCAGCCTCCCCTTTACTACTTTTCCACCAAGATTTTCCTGTTGTGCCTCATAGTTTTTACATTGATGATGCCTATAAGACCTCTTCTTTTGTTTTTTTCCCTTTATCTCCATGAATTTGGAATACATCCTTCAGTAATTTCAGCTCAGTTTACACATTAATTCCTCATTTTTCCTTTCCCAGTAGTCTTCTGGATTAGGAATTCCACTCTAATAATTTAATAATAATTAATAGTATCAATTGTGTACCTATTATTATATAATACTAAAATATATAACTATACAATATAAATATATCATAAATATAATTATAAATGAAATATAAAGATATTATTAATAATATAAATGATAATGATTTTCCTGATGTAAACTAGAGTAAATCTACCTGTGAAAGAACTAGAGTAGATCTACCTACTTGTAACTTGAAGACCACCAAAAAACCACTGTGAACTGTGGACTTTTCCCTACTGCCAGTTAAATTTACTATTTCCTCTCAGTTTAGGGATTATCTTTTAAAAATATTTTTATTCAGCGCTCCATAAGGTCTCTAACTTGTCTAAACTCTATGGAAGAGCCAGATCCCACAGAGCCAGTTGTGATCTGATTAAAACTCTGATTTGAAACTTTCAGACCCGTTTGATGGAGCTGCACCGCCAGTGGGAATTACTTTTGGAGAAGATGCGAGAAAAAGGAATCAAACTGCTGCAGGCCCAGAAGTTGGTGCAGTACTTACGAGAATGTGAGGACGTGATGGACTGGATCAATGACAAGGCACGTTTTGGGAAGAAGGGTTTGCTAAGCTTTACTCAAAGAAAAGGGAAGAGACTCCTCTGTGATCTGTAGTGAGACCCAGTGTTAGCACAGATACGGCCATTTTAAGTAAAAGGGTGGAAGTGGGGTTGCTGTCTCTCCAGCTGCTCTCTAGGTGTATGTGCTATTCTGTAACTCTGAAGCCTGGAGTCGCTGAGACAGAAATGCCGTGAACTCAACCTCTTAACTTTCTGTGGGAGGAACTAAAATCACAAACCACAGACAAAACTGTATCCATTAAAGCTAACATGGCTCCGTCCCTAATGTGTCTGTTTGATGTTTCTGGAAGCCATTGTTAACAAATGTTGGTTGGTGACTCTGGCTCTCTTATGGTCCCTGAATAGGAAGCAATTGTTACTTCTGAAGAGCTGGGCCAGGATCTGGAGCATGTAGAGGTTTTACAGAAGAAATTTGAAGAGTTTCAAACAGATATGGCTGCTCATGAAGAAAGAGTTAATGAAGTGAACCAGTTTGCTGCCAAACTCATACAGGTAAATAGCAAAGTGCTGTATGCTTCTCACAACATTATTATGTTAACTTTTTAGTATATTCAGGATAAAATTTTGATGATTGGTCCCCTAATTTCTGAGTGAGCAAGTTTTTGTAAGCATGTCTGAGAGTTTTGTTTAGATGTGAGGCACAATACTGATTACTCCTAAATTGGAAAATGCTTTTCAATGTGTTGCCTTGGGCAGGAAGGGCAGAGTTCATTTGATCTGTTTCCTCTACCCACTTTTGGGTAGGGCTGGGTGAAGCTTTTATTGGACTGCTGAAGCTAGGTCTCAGGGTTTCTCAGACGAGGGTGTGGTGGTGAATGCTAAGTTAGTATTGGCAGATGTCCACCAATGCATTAGGGCTCTTGCCTTCCTTTTTTATTTGAAGCTTCCCTGGGCTCTCTTGGGAGCCTGGGAGAACCTTGTCGTGAATAGGCTCTCCACTCTGGCGCTGGAGCCCATTAAGAGGGAATGACAACCCTTCCCCAGTGCCCACGTGTACAATCCTGTAAGCTGCTTCCACTACGAGTCCAAAGGGTTCCAAAGACATCAAGTACTCGGAACCAGAGAGTTTTTACTTTTAGGGAAATTTGATTTGGGGGGTACAAATTTTAAGTGTATAAATCTGCTTATAGGCTGGTACTTGTTTCCATTTTCTGGCCAGTGATTAAGAGAAAGATACCCGGCATTCCTCAGAAATATCTCACCCTTCCACAGTGACAGATGTGTTGCTTTTCCAAACCCTAAGCTTTCCTGCGGTTGAGCTTGAGAAAAGTAGTCAGGCCAAACCCATGGTATCCCAGATGGATTCAAGAACCCTGAAATGCTTCATTTTATTACTTTGTATCATATTTTTTAAAACACCAAAATGTGGTTGGTAGGGAAGGATACTTTTAAAGAAATGTCTCTAAGCTTGATGCAGTGGCACCTGCCTATAGACCCAGCTACTCTACTCAGACTCAGGCTGACAAGACAGGATCACTTGAGACCAGCCTGGGTAACATAGCAAGACCCTGTCTCAAAAAAGAAAAAAAGAAATGTCGTCAGTCTAAAGCCAGGGACAAACTCTTGAGCCCCGAAAATTATGTTTATGTGCAAGAATGCTTAACAGCCTCATGAACATCTGAAATACCAAATTTTCAAGCAGTTAGGGTAGATGAGTACATTGATAAAGTTACCACACAGTTGTTGCCAAACTATTTATTAACATAAAGGTTTTTGGCACTTTTGCACATAACCACCTTATAGACTAACCACACTACTCCAAAAGATAGAGAATGGCTCTCCCCTTTTTACATAAGAAATAGAAACTCTTTGGAGTTGTAGTTCACTTTGTATCATGTTGACCATTATTTCTTGTGATTCTCTTCAGAGTGGTGATTTGCTGAGATGCTTCAAGGAACCAACCCCAGGGTAACTAGTTGGAGGAGCCAGAAGTTGTGTACAAATCCAGTCTCTTCTCTTCCTTGTTTAGGAGCAGCACCCTGAGGAGGAACTGATCAAGACTAAGCAGGATGAAGTCAATGCAGCCTGGCAGCGGCTGAAGGGCCTGGCTCTGCAGAGGCAGGGGAAGCTCTTTGGGGCAGCAGAAGTTCAGCGCTTTAACAGGTGTCAAGCCAGAGTGGGCTTTGGGGAATGGGTCTCAACCTGGAGGGGAGTTGTGAAGCACAGGGCATGTGCTGGTGAGCTGTCGAGGCTGACTAGGCCTTGGTCCCATGGGGTGTTCCTAGTTCTAGGGAGTCATCATTGCTGTGGATTAACTGGTGCCTTTGTTCTGTAGGGATGTGGATGAGACTATCAGTTGGATTAAGGAAAAGGAGCAGTTAATGGCCTCTGATGATTTTGGCCGAGACCTGGCAAGTGTTCAGGCTCTGCTTCGGAAGCACGAGGGTCTGGAGAGAGATCTTGCTGCTCTAGAAGACAAGGTGGGTTTTACAAGCAGCTGATTCTGTAAATAAGTTACCAAGGGTCAGGAGAATAGTTCTGACGGAGTTCATTTCTAGGTCAAAGCCCTGTGTGCTGAGGCTGACCGCCTGCAACAGTCCCACCCTCTGAGTGCAACACAGATTCAAGTGAAGCGAGAGGAACTGATTACAAACTGGGAGCAGATCCGCACCTTGGCGGCAGAGAGACATGCACGGCTCAATGATTCATACAGGTGCAAATAATGCTCCAGGTCTTAACCAGTATCATTTGGCTTCTTTTTTGGAAGCAGGAATAGCAGAGTTAAGGGTCTGTTCTGTGTTCTGTGAAAGTGTCAGGTATCACCTACAAATGCAAATCACTTCTTACCTATGTTCTCTCTGTTTGGAGACTGGCAACTGTATCATGTGTAGTATACGTATGGTATTTACAACTTCATAAATTCTTCTATTCTGCATCACTGCATTATGATTGATAGAATGGGAATGTCCCTTTAAGTATCTGAGTATCACATGAAATATCTTATTAAAACCAGGATTAGAAAGGAAAAGAATCCTTGCTAGCCAAGGGTTGAACCTGGGAATAACAAGGAAGTTGAAAATGTGGGACAGGATTGGGGCATTATAGTGATGGAGAGAACCTAAGTTTTAAAGGGTTGATTTCAGCCTTCTCTTGCTTTCCTTCACAGTCTAGATTGGGAAATTTTCATATTTCCCAGAATTAGAATTTATATAGTTTGTTAGACATTTGAGAACATAGAATTCAGAGCTTTAGGGAGGCCATTTTCCACCCTGGAACCTCCGCTGGAAACATAATGTCTTCCTTTGGTTTTCCCTAGGCTTCAACGCTTCCTTGCTGACTTCCGTGACCTCACCAGCTGGGTGACTGAGATGAAAGCCCTCATCAATGCAGATGAGCTTGCCAGTGATGTGGCTGGGGCTGAAGCCCTGCTAGATAGACACCAAGAGCACAAGGTAATGGTATCTCTAGAATCTTCCAGAAGTGAAGATTTTAGCTTATAATGCACCAGTTTATCAGTGTTGGGTGAGGCCTATAGTCGGCGTTGGTACCATGTTATTCACAGGTGTTTCTCATCATGAGGATTATGGTTGGTTTTGCCTTTGGAGACCTGGTCTACCTGCTTCTGATAGAGGCTTAACTGGGTTCAGTGTCAAGAGGTTCACTGTGGTCCATAAAAGCAAACAGACAAGCTCTGGCGAGATAGAAGTGCTACTACTTGGCACATTGATCCTTTGTGATGTAAAAAGTATTTGTTGGGCCAGGCACGGTGGCTTATGTCTGTAATCCCAGCACTTTGGAAGGCTGAGGCGGGTGGATCATGAGGTCAAGAGATCAAGACCATCCATGCCAACATGGTGAAACCCCATCTCTACTAAAAATGCAACAGTTAGCTGGTCATGGTGGCACGCGCCTGTAGTCCCAGCTATTCAGGAGTCTGAGGCAGGAGAATCGCTTGAACCCGGGAGGCAGAGGTTGCAGTGAGCCAAGATCACACCATTCCACTCCCGTCCGGACAACAAGAGTGTTTCACTCTGTCTCAAAGAAAAAAAAAAAAAAAAAAACCTTCTGAGAGGTTTTAATGTGCTAGATACAAAATCAATATACTGAAAGTCAAACATGTTTCTCTACACTAGCAACAGAAACATAATTTTTAAAAATACTACTTATTAGAGCAGAAAATATAAAGTACTTAGGAATAAGTCTAACAAAAGAGTGTAAGACACTTCTGGAGAAAACTATAAAACTTTGTTAAAAGGCATTAAATAAAAACTGAATAGATAGAATGATTTATCTAGTACACAGATGGAACGATCTTCTGTGAAGGTGTAAATTCCCACCAGGATATATACCGTTAATGCAGTTCCAGTCAAGTGCTCAGCAGGTATATGTGTGTGTTTCTTTTTGCAATGAGATAAGCTGATTCCAAAACTGATTTGGAAGAAAAAAATTCAAAAAAAGCTGAGACAATGTTGAAGATCATAATGGGGCCAGGGAGGGACTCGCCCTACCAGGTTCTATAAAATCATAGTAAACAAGTCCATTTGGCACAAAGAAGACAGAGCCCTGGAATGAAAGAGAGCTCAGACCCATGTGAATGTGTGGAACCTTGACAAATGACAGGTGACCTGAAAAGCCATTTGGAAAGGATTTCATCAGTGAGTGATACTCTCACATTTGATGACCTAGACTGATTATGTATTAGGAAATCTGGCCTAATCTTTCATTTTGTTTCTCATTTTAGATGTCATAGTCTGGCTTATAATGCTTATGTAAAATTCAGCACCTTGTTTTTATTTTGTAAGATGCTGGGCACAAATCATGGCTTTGTTTTTTTCTCCTGTAGGGTGAAATTGATGCCCATGAAGACAGCTTCAAATCTGCAGATGAATCTGGACAGGCACTGCTTGCTGCTGGTCACTATGCCTCAGATGAAGTGAGGGAGAAGGTAAGAGAAGAGAAATGGAGCTTTTGAGGAGCAAATTACACCTTTCACTAAGTCTCTGAAAGCTATTATTCATCCTTAAATATCCAGAGAACGCATTCACCATGATATGTGAGAAACTTTCCTTTCTCTGCAGAGGTTTAAAAAGAAGGTATATGTATAGTGTGCTGATTTCCTGAGAGACAGTCCTCCTTATCTGGGGCATGTGTGGCATGTTTCCTACTTACAGGGACTTTCTGTAGGGAGCTGAGTCTTGCATTAGGAGTTGGAGCAAAGAGGAAACAAATTTTTATAAAATGATACATAGGCCAGGTGTGGTGTGACCCCAGCACTTTCAGAGGCCAAGGCAGGAGGATTGCTTGAGGCCAGGAATGGGAGACCATCCTGAACAACATAGTGAGACCCCCATCTGGACAAAAAATTAATAAATTAGCCAGACATGGTGGCACATTCCTATAGTCCGAGCTACTTGAGTTCAAGGTTATAATGAGTTATGATTTGCACCACTGCACTCTGGCTTGAGTGACAGAGTGAGACCCTGTCTCTAAAAAAAAATAAATAAATAAAAATAAAATATGTATATATATACATATTTTATTTTACTTTTTTTATATGTGTATATATATACACATATGTATATAAGTTTTGAAGTATCTTCGAGTATAAAATTGCCTAGGAACATTAGATAAATAATGATTTATATGATTTATATGTTTTTTAGTATTACATAGAGTAAAGACATTTCAAAGACTTGTCATTAGTAGCTTCGGAGCCTAAAGTCTAGGGAGTTTCTGAATTTATTTTCCATATGTTATGGAGCACCCACTCAGTTGACATTTCTTAGTGGAGAGTCCCTACTCCATTTATACTCCATTAAACTCCATTTATACTGCCTCACTTTTAAATGGATGCCCTATTTCTTCTACCTGGGAGTTTACTTACTGTTTTTACCTAAAGTCATTTGTGATCATTTGGCAATAAATTAATTCTAGATTAATTAAAACAGGCCATCCCTTTTATATTGAACATGCACATACAAGTGAATGTTGTTTTTCCCCTTTTGCAAATCGGAAAAAAGGCCTGAAGATTAGCACTAGGATTAGGAATTCCAGGATAGCTGTTCTGTCTGCCTCGGAGGCATTGGGGCTGACCTCATCTCCCTGACCATGTCTCCTATGCCCCCAAGCTGACCGTCCTTTCCGAGGAGAGAGCGGCGCTGCTGGAGCTGTGGGAGCTGCGCAGGCAGCAGTACGAGCAGTGCATGGACCTGCAGCTCTTCTACCGGGACACTGAGCAGGTGGACAACTGGATGAGCAAGCAGGAGGTAATCTGTGAGCAAAGCCTTGCCAGTGGTGGGAGAAGAAGGGCCTGTGTTTTGCCTCCTCGGGTAGTGTGCTTGTTTTGTTTTAGGACATCAGTACCATGTTAGTTCTGAATCCATTGAAGAGGGGGAATTGAGCAAGCTTCTCTCAGCTCTGCCAGCATCTCTCCCTGCTGAGATTGCAAGGCCTTCAGAAAAGGCCCCAGCTTTTCAGATTAGTGTGATGTAAAATGTTTTATTAAAGAGATTTTTTTCTTAGAACTTAGCATTGCTGGGTGCAGTGGCTCCCTGCTGTAATCCCAGCACTTTGGGAGGCTGAGATGGGAGTATCCCTTGAGCCCAGGAGCTCAAGGCTGCAGCAAGCTATGATCGTACCACCGCACTCTAGCCTGTGCAACAGACCGAGATCCTGTCTCACAAAAAAAAAAAAAACAAACAAAAAAAACAAACCTTAGCATTATGTAACATCTGAATCTAATAGAAGCAACAAAAACTATGTAAGAGAAGTTTCAATAGAATGTGGAATAGGATTTCATGATATGGCTGGATTGATTTTAAGAAAATCCAAAAGGACTTTAGACTTCCTAGAAGAGATCTTAGAAGTTTAGCAGCCATAAAATCTCTTTCCTTCTTTTTATATTTTGGCCAAAATACCCTTTGCTTCACAGTCTTAGAAGATCAAAGGAATAGGACATTATTCTGAACACTTTGTTTCCTTTGGCAAGGCGTTCCTGTTGAATGAAGACTTGGGAGATTCCTTGGATAGTGTGGAAGCGCTTCTTAAGAAGCACGAAGACTTTGAGAAATCCCTTAGTGCCCAGGAGGAAAAGATTACAGTAAGACCCCTTCTTGTCAGTGCTTTCAAATGACCCTTATAGTAAGCCAGAGTCTTTTTCCCTGGAAGGATTCCAAACAGATTTGATGAAAGATTCATATGCAGAGTACTCCTGTGGGTGCTTAAACTTTCACAAGGATGACATGCTATCTCGTTGAAGACATAATACAACTTTATGGAAAAATGATTTACTTAATGGAAACCTCCAAACTTCTTTAAGTTTGTACCCTTCATTAAAAGTAGGTCAGGGTTAATATTAAGAGGTACTCTTCCCATTGAAAATACATCTTAGAAATAAGAATTTGGAAAGCTGTTAACCTGTGTTTGACCCCTGCCAGGAGATCGTGCCACAACTAATGTCTCCAGTCTTGAATGGAGGTAGTGCAGTCTTATGATATCTGACTGGTGACATCAAGCAAAATCTCAAAAGTTATGAGAAAAAATGTCATCACCAACCTTTGGGTGAAAACCTTGACCTATGTTAAAGTTTGGTGTGTTTTATGATCTGTTCAGCAGTTACTTTTCTCCAGAGGCCAAGCTTGGGACTAGTGTGCTTACCAATGAAGAACTCTTATCTTCCTTCCTAGGCATTAGATGAATTTGCAACCAAGCTAATTCAGAACAACCACTATGCAATGGAAGATGTGGCCACTCGCCGAGATGCTGTAAGTTTGTAGGTTCTTCATGCTCCTCCTTTTTGGTACATGAATGTCTCTTCTAAGATGTTCCAGTTAAGTCTCTTCAACTGGATATCCCTTTGGGAGTGAACACTAGAGACTCACAGGGGATCCTTGTCTTTCAGCTGTTGAGCCGCCGCAATGCCCTTCACGAGAGAGCCATGCGTCGCCGGGCCCAGCTAGCCGATTCTTTCCATCTGCAGCAGTTTTTCCGTGATTCTGATGAGCTCAAGAGTTGGGTCAATGAGAAGATGAAAACTGCCACAGATGAAGCTTATAAAGTAATGTACTGTTAGTGTTGCCATGTAGCACTCGATTAGTAAGCTAAACACAGCTCTCACAAATAAATTGTAGCTAAAGGACGAAATAAGGGATTCCAGAAACCCCACTACTTAATGTAAGCCAACTGTTTTATACATTCCTCCATAAAGATAAGTATGAAGGTAGTGCAAGGGAACTTGACGTTCTCAGGTTCAAGATAGAAAGAACCCCCTTCTTTTATTCACAGGATCCATCCAACCTACAAGGAAAAGTACAGAAGCATCAGGCTTTTGAGGCTGAGCTCTCAGCAAACCAGAGCCGAATTGATGCCTTGGAGAAAGCTGGCCAAAAGCTGATTGATGTCAACCACTATGCCAAGGATGAAGTGGCAGCTCGTATGAATGAGGTGATCAGTTTGTGGAAGAAACTGCTAGAGGCCACTGAACTGAAAGGTAAGAGATGTTCCATTGAATTGTGACATGCATGTTTGGGGAACTAAATACCCCTTTCTATTAAGTATTTTAGGGACATATACCCCCCAAGAAAGGTGAGGTGGATGACTTTGGCGTTAGGGATAATTTCCTGTGTAGGAATTACTTGGCTTAAGTTCTTGATAATAATTTGGTAAATGTGGTCGAGCATACTGGTTGGTGAGGGAGTCTGAGTGAGAAGGAACTGAATTGGGCCTCATTGCTGAAAATCAAAGTTCAGCTGAGAGCCAAGGGCATTTACTAATTCTCCAGTGTCCTTATATCTCAAGGGGGTTAGAATGCTTCCAGTTCAACCTTGAGAAGGTAGAGCAGAGGCTGCAATTGATATTTTCTTTCTCTTTGTGACATAAGTGAAGGAATAAAATTCTGACCTGTATAGTCCTTCACTAAGATACTACTGTTCATGGGCAGTGTTGGCAGAAGGGTAATGCTAAGCAGTACAAAATTAAACTTGTTTTCTTCCATAGGAATAAAGCTTCGTGAAGCCAACCAGCAACAGCAATTTAATCGCAATGTTGAGGATATTGAATTGTGGCTATATGAAGTAGAAGGTCACTTGGCTTCGGATGATTACGGCAAAGATCTTACCAATGTGCAGAACCTCCAGAAGAAACATGCACTGCTAGAGGCAGATGTGGCTGCTCACCAGGTAGTGTGAACTGGGGGCTGTGGTTGGGCAAGTGAATGCAGAAACTATAGGAGGGAGGAAAAGCCAGTAATTTGAGACTAAATGAATTTTGGGAGGGATGAAATGTGTTGATTTTCTTAGATCGCTCTGTGCTGCATGTGCTTCTGCTCAAATTAAATATCATCCCTTAGAGCTTTCTAGGAGCCCCAGATGAAGGAAGGAGATAGCAGAAAGAATCCTCTCAGGAATGGAAAAAAGACCTTATCAATTTTTCTCTGTATACGATAAAACCACACCCAAAGTAAAGTCTGCTCTGTCCTTTTGCATTCCCAGGACCGAATTGATGGCATCACCATTCAGGCCCGCCAGTTCCAAGATGCTGGCCATTTTGATGCAGAAAACATCAAGAAGAAACAGGAAGCCCTCGTGGCTCGCTATGAGGCACTCAAGGAGCCCATGGTTGCCCGGAAGCAGAAGCTGGCCGATTCTCTGCGGTTGCAGCAGCTCTTCCGGGATGTTGAGGATGAGGAGACGTGGATTCGAGAGAAAGAGCCCATTGCCGCATCTACCAACAGAGGTCAGTCTGCTTCCCTCAGGTAGGAATCAACTTGGGAAAGGCTGTGCTATTGTAGCATAAAGGGGATGCATGTCAGGATGGGCAGGGTCGAATTTAAATTATTGAACTGGAACCATGGTGGTAGCTAAGAATGACAAATCAGTGCTGACTTTTCTCTTCATGGTTGGATAACTGGGGACTGGTGTCTGCTTTCAGGTAAGGATTTAATTGGGGTCCAGAATCTGCTAAAGAAACATCAAGCCTTACAAGCAGAAATTGCTGGACATGAACCACGCATCAAAGCAGTTACACAGAAGGGGAATGCCATGGTGGAGGAAGGTGAGTGATTGGTATCAGTGACATGGCTTGGTGCTGCTCCTCGTGTCTCCCCTTCTTGCCGAGGGCATGGCCACGTGGGCATCACAAACCAGGCTCTGGGGCTGAATACCATCCCCATTCTTTCCTAACTGTATGACCTGACCAGACCTTACCCTTTCTGAGCCTGAATTTCTTTTTTTTTTTTTTTTTGAGACGGGGTCTCACTCTGTCACCCAGGGTGGAGTGCAGTGGCGCGGTCTCAGCTCAGTGGAACCTCTGCTTCCCTAGTTCAAGCAGTTCTCCTGTCTCAGCCTCCCAAGTAGCTGGGACTACAGGGACACACCACCATACCCAGCTAATTTTTGTATTTTTATTTTTGTATTTTTAATAGAGACAGGGTTTCACCATATTGGTCAGGCTGGTCTTGAACTCCTGACCTCAGGTGATCCACCTACCTCGGCCTCCCAAAGTGCTGGGATTACAGCCATGAGCCACCGCGCCTGGCTCCGAGCCTGAATTTCTTATCTGTGAAACGGGGATGACAGCACCTCTCCTGACACTGTAGTGGGGAGTAAGTGAAACCAAGTAGGAAAAGAGCTGATAGAGTGCCTGCACGTGCCAGTCTCAGTAACTGAGCGCTACAGTGGTACTGTTACTAGTCTTTATGATACTATCACTAATGCCAACTTGCGATATCTGCTTCTTAGAGTCTAGATAGAGGTCATGGTTTGAGGAGGCAAAAAATGAAACAGTCCATTAGAGGGTTAGAACCTGAGCCTCTCAAAAAAAATGGAATTATGAAAGGGCACAGCTCACCAAAACATAGTAATGAAAGTGCCGTGAACACACAGAGAAAACTTATTTTTGTCCTTCTGTGATGTGTCAACGTAGTTTTTGTTATCCTCTTTCCCTACCCATCTTCCAGGCCATTTTGCTGCAGAGGATGTGAAGGCCAAGCTTCACGAGCTGAACCAAAAGTGGGAGGCACTGAAAGCCAAAGCTTCCCAGCGTCGGCAGGACCTGGAGGACTCTCTGCAGGCCCAGCAGTACTTTGCTGATGCTAACGAGGCTGAATCCTGGATGCGGGAGAAGGAACCCATTGTGGGCAGCACTGACTATGGCAAGGACGAAGACTCTGCTGAGGTAACCAGGCGTGGGAAGCGTCTCACCTGCCAGGGAAGTGGAACAGGGCTTGTACTGAGAAGGAAGTTAGGAGAAGTAGTGATGCGCGGGAGGTGTGCATTACAGTGATTGTTTTTTAAAATGTTTTGGAATCCATTTTTCACTTGGTTTTTTTTTTTTTTTTTTTTTTTTTGGAGACAGAGTCTCACTCTTGCCCAGGCTGGACTGCAATGTTACAATTGTGGCTCACTGCAGCCTCAAACTCCTGGGCTCAAGCGATCCTCCTGCCTCAGCCTCCCAAGTAGTTGGAACTATAGGCAGGTACCACTACCTGCCTAGCTACGCTTTTTAATTTTAATTTTATTTTTAGTAGAGACAGGGTCTCGCTATGTTGTCCCATCTGGTTTCAAACTCCTGGCCTCAAACAATCCTCCTGCCAAAGCCTCCCAAAATGCTAGGATGATAGGAATGAACCACCCCTTCTGGCCCATTTTTCACTTTTTATTATGAAAATGTAATCATACCTAAAGGAGAGAGAAGATGACTTCTCACTCACCTTCAACCGTTAACATTTGTCACTCTTGTTTCATCTATGTGAAACCATATGTGTGCTTACATACATACTAACATACCAACATGCACACATACATATATACATACCTACAAACATACCAGCATACACATGTACATACCAGTGCGCACATATACCCACATACCAACATGCACACATACATACATAGATGTACTTGGTTTTTTACTGGTTATCTGTTTTTTGACTAAAATTCTCAAATTTTATTCATAAAGGTCTAGGTATAGTTCCTGTACCTAGCTCTTACCACTCTTCACAAAAACTAGAATGAGTTGAATTTTTCCTTTTCTTTTTTTTTTTCTGAGACAGAGTCTCACTCTGTCATCCAGGTTGGAGTGCAGTGGCATGATCTCGGATAACTGCAACCTCCACCTCCTGGGTTCAAGCGATTCTTCTGCCTTGGCCTCCTAAGTAGCTGGGATTACAGGCGCCCGCCACCACGCCCAGCTAACTTTTTTTGTATTTTTAGGAGAGATGGGGTTTCACCACATTGGCCAGTTTGGTCTTGAACTCCTGACCTCAAGTGATCTGCCTGCCTCAGCCTCGCAAAGTCCTGGGATTACAGGCGTGAGGCACCGCGCTCGTTCTGTCGCTAGGGCTGGAGTACAGTGATGCAATCACGACTCCCTACAGCTTTGACCTCCTGTGCTCAGCAGTCTTCCTGCCTCAGTCCCCTGAGTAGCTTGGACTACAGGCACGCACCATCACATCTGGCTAATTTTTGTATTTTCTGTAGAGATGAGGTTTCAGTATGTTGCCCAGGCTGGTCTTGAACTCCTGGGCTCAAGCTGTCTGCCTGCCTCAGCCTCCCAAAGTGCTGGGATTACAGGCATAAGCCTCTGTGCCTAGACCAGGATGAGTAAGCTATAATCATAATATATATGATTGTCCCAAAAGATGAGAATCCTGAAAAACTTTGAAAATGATATTAGCACTGTAAGAAGGGCAGGAGGTGATTACGTCATTGTGCAACTGAGAAAGGCTGTTGAGGCAGGATGGCAGGTTGGCGAGGCAGTGGAGGATGGGAGGCTTCAGCCCCTGCACAGTGCTCCATGTGTGGTTTTGGTTTCAGGCTCTACTGAAGAAACACGAAGCTTTGATGTCAGATCTCAGTGCCTACGGCAGCAGCATCCAGGCTTTGCGAGAACAAGCACAGTCCTGCCGGGTAAACTTGTAACAGTTTATGGGTTACTGGAGGGAGGCCTTGAAGGACTCAGATACTGTCAGCAGGTGTTCCTATCATAGGCCCCATTTGACTCTGCTATTAACTCTTGTGACACAAAGATTTACAGAGTTTAAAATAAGATTTATTTATTTATTTATTTATTTAGAGACAGAGTCTCACTCCGTCGCCTAGGCTGGAGTGCAGTGGCACAACCTCGGCTCACTGCAACCTCCGCCTCCTGGGTTCAAGCGATTTTCCTGACTCAGCCTCCTGAGTAGGTGGGATTACAGGTGTTCACCACCATGCCCAGCTAAATTTTTTTTTTTTTTTTGAGATGGAGTCTTGCTAGAGTGCAGTGGCACTATCTTGGCTCACTGCAACCTCTGCCTCCCAGGTTGAAGCAATTACCCTGCCTCAGCCTCCTGAGTAGCTGGGATTACTGGCGCCCGCCACCACGCCCAGCTAATTTTTGTATTTTTAGTAGAGATGGGGTTTCACTATGTTGGCCGGGCTGGTCTTGAATTCCTGACCTCATGATCTGCCCGCCTTGGCCTCCCAAAGTGCTGGGATTATAGGTATGAGCACTGTGCCCGGCCCTACTTTAAAATGAGATTTTTTTTTTTTTTTTTTGAGATGGAGTTTCACTCTTGTTGCCCAGGTTGAAGTGCATTGGCCTGATCTTGGCTCACCGCAACCTCCGCCTCCCAGGTTCAAGTGATTCTCCTGACTCATCCTCCCGAGTAGCTGGGATTACAGGCACGCACCACCACGCCTGTCTAGTTTTGTATTTTTAGTAGAGATGGGGTTTCTCCATGTTGGTCAGGCTGGTCTCGAACCCCCGACCTCAGGTGATCTGCCTGCCTCAGCCTCCCAAAGTGCTGAGATTACACGTATGAGCCACCGTGCCCAGACAAAATGAGATTTTTTTTTTAAAGATACCAAAAATTTAAAGTTCTTGGATCAGATTTTATTGGTAGCTTCAGTGAAGAATTCTCATGAGTGTATATTTGGTACATTTGGTACAGCTGGTGGCATTTGAATCTGCTCTGTACTTAGATGACTCAGCGCGGACGTGTTTTTACCATGTTTGCCCTTCCTTTGGATTTTTAGCAACAAGTGGCCCCCACGGATGATGAGACTGGGAAGGAGCTGGTCTTGGCTCTCTACGACTATCAGGAGAAGAGTCCCCGAGAGGTCACCATGAAGAAGGGAGATATCCTTACCTTACTCAACAGCACCAACAAGGCAAGGCACAGAGAGTGGCTGTGTGTTTGTTCCACGCTGGCACCTCCACGTATGCTCAGTTGGGTTTCTGTGGGTTGCATGTCTCCCTGAAATGAGAAGGCTTAGAATTCAAAGACATGAGTTTCCTCACCAATCCCCCACGTGACATACATTTATGCAGTACTGTGTATGACCAAGAAGTTAATCTGTCTTCTTGAATACCTGCAAGAAGCATAGATAATCACACTCAGAAGGATAGCTTATTTTCACCATTGAGTGTCTCTAGGTGGAATTTTTGTCCTGTCAAGCCAAAGTTTGCTTTCTGTATAACTTGGACCTGTTGGTTCTTTTTTTTTCTTTTTCTTTTCTTTTTTTTTTTTTTTTGAGACAGAGTCTCGCTCTGTCACCCAGGCTAGAGTGCAGTGGCACGATTTCAGCTCACTGCAAGCTCCGCCTCCTGCGTTCACCCCATTCTCCTGCCTCAGCCTCCCGAGTAGCTGGGACTACAGGCGCCCACCACTGCACCTGGCTAATTTTTTGTATTTTTAGTAGAGATGGGGTTTCACCGTGGTCTCTATCTCCTGACCTCGTGATCCACCCACCTCAGCCTCCCAAAGTGCTGGGATTACAGGCATGAGCCGCCGTGCCCGGCCTTTTTTTTTTTTTTTTTTGAGACAATGTCTTGCTCTGTCGTCCAGGTTGCAGTGCAGTGGCATGATCTCAGCTCACTACAAGCTCCACCTCCCAGGTTCACGCCATTCTCCTGCCTCAGCCTCCCGAGCAGCTGGGACTACAGGTGCCTGCCACCACGCCCGGCTAATTTTTTGTATTTTTAGTAGAGACGGGGTTTCACCGTGTTAGCCAGGATGGTCTCGATCTCCTGACCTCGTGATCCACCCGCCTCAGCCTCCCAAAGTGCTGAGATTACAGGCATGAGCCACCGCGCCTGGCCGACCTGTTGGTTCTTACTCCAGACTACAAGCTACATCTCAGCCCAGCAGATCATTGAAGACAGCTGTGACCTCACCCCACAGGCTTTGTCTTCTTTAGGCTAAATAATGACAATAATAAATCCATCCTGGTCCACCAGCCTTTCTTCCCTAACACACTCTGAATTGACAGTGGTGTTGAAGCATGCACAGATTGACTGATCCTGAAAGAGGCCTGCCTTCTGTTTTAGTTAAGGCTGGAGAAATGTCCTTGGCCATTTTTAAGAGCAAGTTTATTCCCATTCCCACACCTTATTTATCCTTGTCATGATAATTTGAGGAAACCTGTGATTCTTATCTTTCTATTGAGTCTAATTTAAACCTAAACCAACTTGTGGTCTAACTTTGGTTTATTCAAGAGCAGCATTGCCCAGTAGAACTTTCTGTGATGGTGGAAATGTAAGTGTCTGTGCTGCTTCTGCAGTAACTACTAGCTACGTGTGATAGTAAGCCCTTAAAATATGGCTAGTACAACTGGGTGTTTTATTTAATTAAATTATAACTCGATGAAGCCGGGCATGGTGGCTCACGCCTGTAGTCCCAGCACTTTGGGAGGCCGAGACAGGAGGATCGCTTGAGCCCAGGAGTTCGAGACCAACCTGGGGCACATAGCGAGACCTCATCTCTATTTATATTAAAAAAGAAAAAAAAAAAAAAGGGCCAGGCGTGGTGGTTCACGCCTATAATATCAGCGCTTTGGGAGGCTGAGGTGGGTGGATCATGTGGTCAGGAGATTGAGACCATCCTGGCCAACATGGTGAAACCCCGTCTCTACTAAAATACAAAAAAATTAGCTGTGCGTGGTGGCGTGCACCTGTAGTCCCAGCTACTTGGGAGGCTGAGGCAGGGGAATCACTTAAACCCAGGAGGCAGAGGTTGCAATGAGCCAAGATCGTGCCACTGCACTCCAGCCTGGCAACAGAGCAAGACTCTGTCTCCAATAAAAAAGAGTTCTAACTCAATGAAAGTTAAGTGGGCACATGTGACTGGTGGCTACAGTGTTAGCACAGCTCTGGAGCATCTAAGCAGAGAGAAGGCCAGCCTTGGTGGCAGGCGGCATTGCTCTTCTGCCTGTGACCCTCTGCAGGTATGGCAGGTGAGGAAGGGACTGAATTATCAGACCTTATAGAAAGTGATTTTAATATCATTTTGGACCTTTTTTTTTTATGAGACAGAGTCTCGCTCTGACGCCCAGGCTGGAGTGCAGTGGCGCAATCTCAGCTCACTGCAAGCTCTGCCTCCTGGGTTCATGCCATTCTCCTGCATCAGCCTCCCGAGTAGCTGGGGCTACAGGTGCCCACCACCATGTCCAGCTAATTTTTTTTGTATCTTTTTTAGTAGAGACGGGGTTTCACTGTGTTGGCCAGGATGGTCTCCATCTCCTGACCTCGTAATCCACCCGCCTCGGTCTCCCAAAGTGCTGGGATTATAGGTGTGAGCCACTGTGGCCGGCCGTTTTGGACCTCTTAAAACAACGCTCTCGTGTGTGTGTATACACGTGACCTCCTTGGATTCTCCCTCTCAGAGAAGGAATTTACTTTCAGTTCTCCCTCTTTTTTCCTTAGGATTGGTGGAAAGTGGAAGTGAACGATCGTCAGGGTTTTGTGCCGGCTGCGTACGTGAAGAAATTGGACCCCGCCCAGTCAGCCTCCCGGGAGAATCTCCTGGAGGAGCAAGGCAGCATAGCACTGCGGCAGGAGCAGATTGACAATCAGTAAGGATGACACTGGGGGCCGCAAGGGCTAGGCGTCCCATAGGCATACTCTGTTCCACATGGGCCGAAGCTTAGGCGTGTCCTGAGGCTCCTGGAGCCCACCTGCACGCCTCCTGCTGTCTCCACCCCACTTTGAGCCCACAGACCTCCCTGTGTGGGTCTCAGACCCCTGACTGATGACTTATATTGCTTTGTTTTTTTTCCACCAGTGTTCATGAGTTTTTCCTAACCAGAATTTTTCTAATCATTGCCATTTGCCTTTTGGTTCGAGATGCTTTTTGAAATTGGATTTTCAGATACTCTACGCCCCTACAGCTCTGTCCACTTTGAAAAGCTGCTTTCAGAGCTTCTCTGTCTGCCATAGCTTTGAGTTCTGAGAATGGAATTTTGTAATGAAATGGCTCTGTCCTCTTTCCTCTAGCTGAGCCCCCATATTGCCCTGTGTCCCTCCTTTAGGGTATTTCTGACTCCACTAGTGGAATCAGCAGTTTTGGACACTTGGGAAATATCCAGGAAATACATTCCCACTAGAGTTTGGGTAGAATAGTGAAATTTTTGGGCTCCAGTGATCCTCAGTAAGATCAGAGTTATTTGTCCACTTTATAGATTCTGTTACTATAGAGATAAGAATGGGAGGTTTTGGTTTGTGTTCTTTTTTTTTTTTTTTGAGACAGATTCTCGCTCTGTCATCCAGACTGGAGTGCAGTGGTGTGATCTTGGCTTACTGCAACCTCTGCCTCCTGGGTTCAAGTGATTCTCCTGCCTCAGCCTCCCAAGTAGCTGGGACTGCTGGCACATGCCACCATGCCCAGCTAATTTTTGTATTTTTAGTAGAGATGGGGTTTCACTGTGTTGGCCAGGCTGGTCTCAAACTCCTGACCTCGTGATCCGCCCGCCTTGGCCTCCCAGAGTGCTGGGATTACAGGCGTGAGCCACCACGCCTGGCCTTGGTTTGTATTCTTACCAGTAGTCTGGGTCATAAATATAAGAGGAAAAAGATCAAATACGTGGCTAAATTGCCTGTTAGCACTCAGTAAAATTTCTTTCTAAGGGTAGTCCAGTCTGTTCCCTGACCTTGCTCTGTGAAGTTACCAGTGTTTTCAGCACAGGAAAATCTGCCTTAAGCATGGCAGACCCGCCAGGAAAATGAAGGTGAACTAACCCTCTAATTTTCCTGCTATTTCTTTACTGTCATGTCACTCATGACTTAGACTGCTCCTTAGACCTGTTGAATAACTCCATAGTTTCCCAACATTAAGCATCCACCATCATGGCACCAGTCGGAGCTGCTGCCTTTCATCCCTGTGGATTAACCCCACTAATTCGTGCATGCTTTTGCTGTGCCCCCTCTGTGCAGGACACGCATAACTAAGGAGGCCGGCAGTGTATCTCTGCGTATGAAGCAGGTGGAAGAACTGTGAGTAGGCTGAGAGTCTTGCAGAGCACCAATGTCCACTGCTACCCTATCCATTCTCCCTCTGCCGCTTCTCTTGAAGGCCTTTGTCCATCCAGAAAGATGAGGTGGTGGGAGGAACTGCCTGTCCGTGCAGCAGCTTTGGCTCACAAGGGAAGAGGTCGCGGTGCAGCTGTGTCGGTCGATGACTGCTTATCTCATTGGTTGCTTCCATGTGCAGCTGTGTGTTCAGAGTGGTGTTGGTTCTCCCTCCTGTTGGTTTTTGTGGTGGACCAGCCACTATCAGCAGCAAACCTGAAGGCCTGTTCTATAGTTTTCCTTAGTAGGAAGGAAATCATATGCTTCTCTTAAAGTGCTCTGATTCTTGGTAACTCATTGCTTTTTTATTTTACTTTGGGACACTTAGATTTGATGATGATTCTAGTTTTTTTTAATTTTTAGTTTTTTATTGTTTGTTGTTTTCGTGTTCAAAGATAATATTTCAGCCTTTTGTATTTTAGTTCCCGAGGGTTAGAATATTCTTTGATTCTTAAGAAATCTTTCAAGTAACAGAATGGCACAGATACTCAGTACTGTGCCTGATTTTCCTTCTGAACTTGCCAAAACTTTCTGAGAGCTGAATGTATCATTTTAGAAATGTCCTACTAATATGGAGATAAAACATCCTATATGAGGATATTTTAAAGCTCAGTGTACCCTCCCCCACCTCACCCCAGCCTGGGGGCTCTTCAGAGAATTATAAAAGACAGAAAAACCCTCTGTATACATTCTGCCCAGCAAGTTCATCTCGTCTCTCCACTGTAGTTGCATGAGCCCTGTGTTACTGTGCTAAGCGCTTGGTTTCAGTCCCTTGTGGTTGTGTTGTTCTAAGTGCAGAATCGGCCTGGGGATAAGTGTGCCTGGCTGTTCTAGCCACCTGGTTGTGAACAGTACAGTGTGCGCATATCTCTCAGGCTGTGGCGTGGGTACTTGGGATCCTCGTCTTCATCTGATAACTCTGTTACTAGGGCATCATCATTACAAACTCGTAGCCTGGAATCCACATCTTGGAGACACCTCGTGGTTTGCCTTTATGTTAGCATCTACAGCTAACTGCCTTCCTTGTCCCTCTTGTCACCCTCTTGAATTCCATCAGATATCATTCTCTGCTGGAACTGGGTGAGAAGCGTAAAGGCATGTTGGAGAAGAGTTGCAAGAAGTTTATGTTGTTCCGTGAAGCGAATGAACTACAGCAATGGATCAATGAGAAGGAAGCCGCTCTGACAAGTGAGGAGGTCGGAGCAGACTTGGAGCAGGTTGAGGTGCTCCAGAAGAAGTTTGATGACTTCCAGAAGGTATGGGCAGTCTTCAGGCTCAGCTGAAAATTTGTTTAAAGATTTGAGTCTCTTGATTTTTTTTTTTTTTTTTTTTTGAGATGGATTCTCACTGTCATCCAAGCTGGAGTGCAGTGGTATGACTTCGGCTCACTGCAACCTCTGCCTCCTGGGTTCAAGTGGTTCTCCTGCCTCAGCATCCTGAGTTGCTGGGATTACAGATGTGCGTCACCACGCCCTGCTAATTTTTGTATTTTTTGGTAGAGACAGGTTTTCACCATGTTGGCCAGACTGGTCTCAAACTCCTGACCTCAGGTGATCCACCCGCCTCAGGCTCCCAAAGTACTGGGATTATAGGCATGAGCTTCTGCGCCTGGCCAGAGTCTCTTGATTTCTGACTGCAAATTACTGGAATGCAAATTACATAGATTATATTCCATCATGTATGTAGCTTTTTTTTTTTTTTTTTTTCAATTTTTTTTTTTTTCCTTTTGAGACAGAGTCTCTCTTTTGTCGCCCAGGCTGGAGTGCAATGGTGCGATCTCGGCTCACTGCAACTCCTCCTCCCAGGTTCAAGCAGTTCTGTCTCAGCCTCCCGAGTAGCTCACCACCACGCCTGGCTAGTTTTTGTATTTTTAGTAGAGATGAGGTTTCACCATATTGGTCAGGCTGGTCTCAAACTGCTGACCTCAGGTGATCCGCCTGCCTCAGCCTCCCAAAGTACTGGGATAACAGGCGTAAGCCACCGTGCCCGGCCTCAGTTTTTTTTTTGTTCAAGACAGAGTCTCACTCTATCACCCAGGCTAGAGTACAGTGGCTCGATCTCAGCTCACTGCAACTTCTGCCTCCCAGGCTCAAGTGATTCTCATGCCTCAGCCACCCGAGTAGCTGGGATTACAGGTACGCACGACCACATCTGGCAAATTTTTGTATTTTTAGTACAACCGGGATTTTGCCATGTTGGCCAGCCTGGTCTTGAACTCCTGGCCTCAAGTGATCTGCCCACCTCAGCTTCCCAAGGTGCTGGGATTACAGGCATGAGCTACCATGCCTGGCCTGTGTAGCTATTTTTAAAAGACTTTAATTGAAACCTTTTTGGACAAATTTAGTTTTAAGGAAAGATATGCTATGTTCTCTACATGTTGTTATAAGAACTTTTCTAAGCCTAAACTACAATAGATGTGAAAGTACTCTTTTTTTTTTAATTGGGGTAAATTCACAAAGCTAGCCATTTTAAACTGTACAATTCAGTGGTATTTAGTACATTCACAGTGTTGTGCAACCACCACCTCTAGTTCCGAAACATTTGTGTCACTTCAGAAGAAAACCACATATCCGTCAAGCATTCATTTGCCATTCTCCCTAACCCCAGTGGCCCACGCAGCCACTCATCTGCTGCTTGCCTCCAGATTTACCTATTCTGGACATTTATATAAATGGAATCACGTTATGTCACTTTTTGTGACTGGCTTCTTTTGTTTAGGTTTTCTTTCTTTTATTTATTTATTTTTTGAGACAAGGTGTTCTGTTGCCCAGGCTGGAGTGCAGTGGCCCAGTCTCGGCTTACTGCAGCCTCCGCTTCCTGGGCTCAAGTGATCCTCCTGCCTCAGCCTCCTGAGTAGCTGGGATTATAGGTATGCACCACTATGCTCAGCTAATTTTTGTATTTTTTGTAGAGACAAGGTTTTGCCATGTTGCCCAGTCTGGTCTCAAACTCCTGAGCTCAGGCCGTCTGCCCAGCTTGCCCTCCCAAAGTGCTGGGATTACAGGTGTGAGCCACCGCACCCGGCCCATAATGTTTTCCAGGTTCATCCTTTTTGTAGCACATACCAGTACTCCATTCCTTTTTATTGCTGAATAATATTTCACTGTTTGATACACTACACATTGTTTTTGGGTTTTTTTGTTTTGTTCGTTTTTTTTGTTTGTTTGTTTGTTTTTCGAGACAGAGTCTCTCTCTGTTGCCCAGGCTGGAGTGCAGTGGCGCAATCTCGGCTCACTGCAACCTCCACCTCCCAGGTTCACGCCATTCTCCTGCCTCAGCCTCCCGAGTAGCTGGGACTACAGGCACCCGCCACCACGCCCGGCTAATTTTTTGTATTTTTAGTAGAGATGGGGTTTCACCGTGTTAGCCAGGATGGTCTTGATCTCCTGACCTCGTGATCCACCCGCCTCGGTCTCCCAAAGTGCTGGGATTACAGGCGTGAGCCACCACGCCCGGCCTAATATACTACACATTGTTTATCCATTCCACCACTTAAAAGGATTCTTACAACAAATTAAAATGAGGAGGGAGAACTTATTTCTCCTATAGTAACTGTGCATTAAAATTTTATCTCGTTTTTATTTATTTTTTAGAGATAGGGTCTCACTCTCTCACACAGGGTAGAGGGCAGTGGATGATCATAGCTCACTGTAACCTCAAACTCCTGTGCTCAAGTGATCCTCCCACCTCAGCCACCCGAGTGGCTGGGACTATGCACATAGGCTACCACATCCATTATTATAATTGAAAAAATTTTTCTGGCCGGGCCCAGTGGCGCATGCCTGTAATCCCAGCACTTTGGGAGGCCGAGGCAGGCAGATCACCTAAGGTCAGGAGTTCGAGACTAGCCTGGCCAACATGGCAAAACCCCATCTCTGCTGAAAATACAAAAATTAGCTGGGCGTGGTAGCGCCTGCCTGTAGACCCAGCTACTCGGTACACTGAGGCATGAAGATCGCTTGAACCCGGGAGGCGGAGGTTGCAGTGAGCCATGATCACGCCACTGCACTCCAGTCTGGGCAATAGAGTGAGACTGAGTCTCATTAGAGAAAAAAAAGAAAAAAAATTTTTCTGTAGAGATAGGGGTCTGGTTATGTTGCCCTAAGCTGGTCTTGAACTTAAGCAATCCTCCTGCTTTGGCCTCCCATAGTCCTGGGATTAAAGGTGTGAGCCACCACACCTGGCCTCATCACATTTTTAAAACATTATTTTAAAACCAAAAAGAGGTTTTAAAAAAGTCTCTATTTGATAAAATTATTTGCTGGGCATAGTGGTGTGTGCCTATAGTCCAAGCTACTCAGAAGATTGAGGTAGGAGGATTGCTTGAGCCTGGGAGGTAGAGACTGCAGTGATCCATGATTGTAATACTCCACTCCAGCGTGGGTGACAGTGAGACCCCGTCTCCAAAAAAGACAAAAAACTACAGTTAATGAAGTAAATTTGAGTCCAATAATTATCTGAGGACTGGGAAAACCAATCCATAGGGATACCTGTTGAACAGATCCTTATAGCTTTTTTTGTTTGTTTTGTTTTGTTTTTGTTTTGTTTTGAGACAGAGTCTTGCTCTGTTGCCCAGGATGGAGTGCAGTGGC
This sequence comes from Homo sapiens, assembly GCF_000001405.40. NCBI lineage: Eukaryota > Metazoa > Chordata > Mammalia > Primates > Hominidae > Homo > Homo sapiens. The sequence continues at coordinate 128,597,710 of NC_000009.12, forward strand.
ACGATTTTGGCTCACTGTAACCTCTGCCGCACCCCGGTTCAAGCGATTCTCCTGCCTCAACCTCCCGAACAGCTGGGATTACAGGCGCCTGCCACCGCGCCTAGCTAATTTTTGTATTTTTAGTAGAGACGGGGTTTCACCATATTGGCCCGGCTGGTCTTGGACTCCTGACCTCGTGATCCACCCATCTCGGCCTCCCAAAGTGCTGGGATTACAGGCGTGAGCCACCGCACCCGGCCTGTTTTGTTTTGTTTTTGAGATGGAGTTTCGCTCTTGTTGCACAGGCTGGAGTGCAATGGCGCAATCTCAGCTCACCGCAACCTCTGCCTACCGGGTTCAAGCGATTCTCCTGCCTCAGCCTCCCGAGTAGCTGGGATTACAGGCATGGACCCCCACACCCAGCTAATTTTGTATTTTCAGTAGGGACAGGGTTTCTCCATGTTGGTTAGGTTGGTCTCGAACTCCCGACCTCAGGTGATCCGCCCACTTGGGCCTCCCAAAGTGCTGGGATTACAGGCGTGAGCCACCATGCCCCCAGCCATAGCTTATTTTTTTAATCCCCCCCTTTTTTTTTTTTGGTAGGCCTCTGTAGAAGAATCCTTATAGTTTCAAGCCATAGTTTGTGACTATGTCTCCTTTGACTTTGGCTTGCTATTTTGGGTTTTAGTTATTATGGCTTTTGCTTTAAAGGACCTGAAGGCCAATGAGTCACGGTTGAAGGACATTAACAAGGTAGCTGAAGACCTGGAGTCTGAAGGTCTCATGGCAGAGGAGGTGCAGGCTGTGCAACAACAGGTAGGTGTCTCCATCTTGGAGTGAGGCTCTGTTGCTGTAAGGATGCAGCTTTGTTCCTCTTGTGTCTGTCATAGCCCAACAAGCAGTGTTTCATAACACAGAACTGTGGCTTGGCTGTAGGTCAGGTCCTCTATGTGACCAAAACCATTTTGATTAACTTCTTTATACCCATATCCCTCACTTTCACTTGGTTTGGAGGGGGGTGGGGGCTTCTGTCTTCTCCGTAAGCTCATTAAATATTTAATGTTTATATAGCCATTAACTAATGGTAATTTCATAAGTTCCTCAAAGAAAAAGTTTATATATAAATACTTGAAGCTCTGCTGGACATTTGGACTGGCATTTCCATTTGTCCTTTTGGAATTATCTCCTGTGTTTCCAGGTTTGGCCATAATAAGTATTCTTGAGAGATGTGTATTTCTTCTAATAATAAAACTGGTTTCTCTCTCTCCTTGTAGGAAGTGTATGGCATGATGCCCAGGGTAAGTTTCGGGTGCTGTGTGTGGATCTTGAACATGAGAAGGACTTAAATCTTGGGAAGAATATCAAGCCAAGAACTTCTTCATCAGAATTGCTGTTCCTGAACCTCAGATGCCTTTTGTGTGTAAAGATTTGTGGAAAACTCCAAAAATTGATTTCTTTTTTTTTGAGACGGAGTCTCACTCTGTCAACCAGGCTGGAGTGCAGTGGTGTGATCTTGGCTCACTGCAACCTCCACCTCCCAGGTTCAAGCGATTCTCCCATCTCAGCTTCCTGAGTAGCTGGAATTCCACGCATGTGGCACCACACCCAGCTAATTTTTGTATTTTTAGTAGAGATGGGGTTTCACCATGTTGTCCAGGCTGGTCTCGAACTCCCAACCTCAGGTGATCTGCCCACCTCAGCTTCCCAGAGTGCTGGGATTACAGACGTGAGCCACCATGCCCAGCCCAGAAATTGATTTCTATTTGCCATTCTCCAAAAGACAAAAAAAGTTGGTTTTTTTTTTTTTCGGTCTTTTGTTTGTTTGTTTGTTTTTTAAGAGATAGGGTCTTGCTTTGTTGCCCAGACTGGAGGTCAGTGGCTTTTCACAGCTGCAGTTATAGCCTACTGCAGCCTCGAACTCTTGGCCTCAAGCAATCCTCCCACCTCAGCCTCCCAGGTATCTAGGACAACAGGCATGCAACACAAAGCACAGCTCTAAAAAAAAAAAAAAAAAAAAAGTCTTCTGTCTCTTCAGTTTTCTAAAACTTTTTCTATAGCTATCTTTAGGTTCATTTATTACCCCTTTGCAGACAATCTTATGAGTACAACATAAAAGTTGGTGGTTTTCTTATTAAATTTCTTTATTCTCTCCATTTCTTCTACTGGATAAAAAAATTGGAATTTTTCTCTCCCCTGTTTGTTGGCTTAATTTTTCTTAACCAGCCTTGTAGTTTGTTACCAGCCAAACTATGGAGGGAAAATGCTGTTTTGGTTAATGTATTAGTATCTGGGATCTCCCCTGGGGGAAACTAGAGTCATTCGCTGGAAAGGCCAGGTGCTTTGTTTCATGGTCAATTGCTTGGCTGCCTAAATTCCTCTTTCTTTGAATAGGATGAAACTGATTCCAAGACAGCCTCCCCGTGGAAGGTAAGAACTCCTTTGCAAATTATTGTTTTCAAGAGTTTTGCGAGATCATGAAATATGTCCTTTTCTGGTGTGCCTTTCTCTGAATATTCAGCTTAAGTCTTTAGTCATTTCTGGACTTGTTTGGGCTGGTTTCTTTCTGAATCTGTTAACTCTAAAATGTGATGCTTAATATACAAAAGCAGAGTGTCTGTCAAATGCTCAGTACAGTTAGGTTGCATTGATTACCCATGTTGGTGCAGGATATGCTGCAGCAGGGAGCACTGTTGTTGGCAGGGTCCCACCAGTAAGAGGCGGTCCAAAGGGAAATGATGTGAACACGAGAACAACTACACATGTAAAGGAGGGCAGGCCTTCATTCACCATCTGCCTGGCCTCTTTATCCTGTGGCCTAAGAAAGGCTTCAGAGATGCCCAATACAGAGATGTAAAGGGAGGAATGAGATGTTTCCCCACTACAGTAGACATTTTTCTGGACAAATCTGGGTGTGAATATGGCTTAACCAGAATGGGCCATCCCTGACCAAGAATACAGGGAGAAGGTGTGTTTTTTTGTTTTGTTTTGTTTTGAGATGGAGTATTGCCCTGTCACCCAGGCTGGAGTGCAGTGGCACAATCTCGGCTCACTGCAACCTCCGCCTCCCCAGTTCGAGCAATTCTCCTGCCTCAGCCTCCCAAGTAGCTGGGACTACAGGCATGTGCCACCATGCCTGGCAAATTTTTGTATTTTTAGTAGAGACAGGGTTTCGCCATGTTGGCCAGGGTGGTCTTTAACTCCTGACCTCAGGTGATCTGCCTGCCTCAGCCTTCCAAAGTGTTGGGATTACAGGCCTGAGTCACAGCACACAGCCAGGGAGAAAGTCTTTTTTTTTTTTTTTTTTTTTTTTTTTGAGACGGAGTCTCGCTCTGTTGCCCAGGCTGGAGTGCAGTGGCACGATCTCAGCTCACTGCAACCTCTGCTTCCCAGATTCAAGCGATCCTCCTTCCTCAGCTCCCCTAGTAGCTGGGGTTACAGGCATGCACCACCATGCCTCCTAATTTTTGTATGTTCAGAAGAGATAGGGTTTCCCTGTGTTAGCCAGGCTGGTCTCAAACTCCTGACCTCGGGTGATCCACCTGCCTCGGCCTCCCAAAGTGTTGGGATTACTGGCCCGGCTGAGGTTTTTTATGTGATACATTTATAACTGTGATTGTGTAACTGGTTGCCTGTGTAACTGGTTGCCTGTGTCTCAGTTCTAGCATCTTCCCTCCTGACCCAGCTCTTCAGGAATACATCACTTGAGTTACAGGCAAGTTAGACAGCAGATTCTGACTTTATAAAAGTAGATCTTTTGGCTAGGTGTTGTGGCTCACACCTGTAATCCCAGCATTGTGGGAGGCTGCCACAGGTGGATGAGCCCAGGAACTGGAGACCAGCCTGGGCAACATGGCAAAACCCCGGCTCTACAAATAAAAATAAAAATGTTTTAAAAAGAAGAAGAAAAAAAGTAGGCCTTCTCCTCATTAGTACAGTGGTGAGTTTGACAAGCAAATAAAAAACAAAAAGTAAAAAGAAATTTTAAAAGTGTGTCCCCAGAAATATGAAGAAAGCATGAAAAGCTAAAAACAAAAAGCCTCCCCTCAACAACCTTTCCGTGTCCACCTTTGAACCCGCTCAGTCACCTTGTCTGACCTCTCCTGAGGACCTAGGCTGAGAGGGGTCTGTGTCTTGTGGCCTCCTTCCCCCACTGGCTCTGACTATTCTCCTCATTAAGTAGATTTCTAACTGGGCCAGGCATGGGTATACACCTTTCCTTCTATTCAACTTTCTCTCCTTTTCTCACTCTTCCCTTTTCTTACGTAGCAAAACTTGGTCATTGATGATATGAATGGGCAACAGCCTTACCCCCTCAACAGAATGTTTCTGATAACATAAGTATTCTTTCAGAAATTTATTTTAGGTACCTTTATAAATCCCAGTACCTCTTATTGGAGACAGTGGGTCCACCTTCTGACTCCTATAAACACACGGGTTGAAAATGTCACCTAGGGATGCCATGAGGACATCTGCATCCAAGCTCAGCCCTCCTGCCCTCCTGTTTTTTTTTTTGTTTTTTTTGGGTTTTTTTTGTTTTTTTTTTTTTGAGACAGAGTCTTGCTCTTTCGCCCAGGCTGGAGTGCAGTAACGTGATCTCAGCTCACTGCAACCTCTGCCTCCTGGGTTCAAGCAATTCTCCCACCTCAGCCTCCCGTGTAGCTAGGATTACAGGCACCCGCCACCATGCCTGGCTAATTTTTATATTTTTAGTAGAGACGGGGTTTCGCCAAGTTGGCCAGGCTGGTATTGATCTCCTAACCTCACCTGATCCACCCGCCTTGGCCTCCCAAAGTGCTGGGATTACAGGCGTGAGCCATCATGCCCTTCCTCTTGTTCTTTACTCAAAGGGTTGTGAGCATTATAACCTAGGCCAATTAGAGTTTCTTTCCAATGAATTGGGTGGGCTGAAAGATCCTAAGGGACTTTATTTATTTGTTTTTATTTGTATTTTATTTATTTATTTTCGAGTCGGAGTCTTGCTCCGTTGCCCAGGCTGGAGTGCAGTGGCGCAATCTCAGCTCACTGCAACCTCTGCCTCCCAGGTTCAAGCGATTCTCATGCCTCAGCCTCCCAAGTAGCTAGGATTACAGGCTCACACCACCGTGCCCAGCTAATTTTTGTATTTTTAGTGGAGACGGGGTTTCACCATGTTGGTCAGGCTGGTCTCAAACTCCTGACCTCAGGTGATCCACCCACTTTGGTCCCCCAAAGTGCTGGGATTACAGGCGTGAGCCAGCATGCCTAGCCCTAAGGGACTTTAGGTTTTTAGAAGTAGCTACGTTGTTGAAATGTACGTTGTTGAAATGTACGTTGTTGAAATGTACGTTGTTGAAAGCTAATTCACTGCTTTATTTTTTCCCTCTGGTAAAGCCGTTGCCCTTCAACGGGGATACGGTTAAAAAGAACAGCAACCCAGTAACTATAATTGGAGATGAAAGTGATTATTAGAGCTCCTGGCTGTTAAACAGTCTCAGCTGCCAGCATTTGTTAAATTTAGGGTTTTTTTTTTTCCGGAATGTTCTCCTGTAGTATAGACAAGAAAATGACACTAATCATTAGTCTTTTAGGTATTTTTCTGTCCAACTAGCTGCTAGAATTGTGGTTTTTACCATTCTTTTTTCACTCTTCATCAGATAAAATTAATTACTCAGTTGAGTCTAATTGTGCACTTTGGGTATTTTCATGACATTCTAGTACTTGACACTTGTACTGATGTCTCTGTTAAGAATGTTGACAGTATCCCTTTAAGGTAATTTGGGTTAATCACAGGGACCTAATCAATGACACTTGCAGCTCAGATCTCTAATTGCCAGACACTTGATTAGTTTTGCCTTCTGCTTTCCTCCCTACCTAGTCTGCTCGTCTGATGGTTCACACCGTGGCCACCTTTAATTCCATCAAGGTAAGAAGCAGTGACCAGCTCCTCTGATCTCCCCTGGTTTTCTCCACTATCTTCCTTCCCTGTCTACAGCAGAGCTCTTGTTCTTGTCAACCGGGTGACCTGTGACATATCTCACTCTATTGGGTCCAAGCATGTCCTAAGTAAACATCAGCACATTCATGGCCGCTGGGTAGCTTGGTGGCTTTCCTGGTCAAGAGCCTGCCAGTTCTCAACAGTGGAGCAAGCCTTCCCTCTGATTTCCAGTAGGGCAGGGAGCTGGAAGGAGCACAGTCTCAGTAATGCAGTGAGCGGCTTCCTTGCCGCCTGCAGTGCGAGGTCCTGTGGCGTGTCGGCTCTTCCCAGGCCTGCTCTGGCCTGAGAGTCTGCTGATTGGGTGTTGGGAGGCAGCAGACTCGCTGGGATTTCTCCACGCAGCTGTGACTTAGGAAGCAGTTGCTACCTGCCAGGCCCCAGGCTAGGAGGTGAGAGTAAGGAAAAGTCAGCTGTGTCTCTCCTGCTGCCTCAGAGAGGATGCCTAGGTCAGGTGTTTGTGGGTGTTGAAGCTGTCAAGCACAGCTAGTTTTGGCTTGGCTCTTACTGGAATATTGTATACTAATTTATTCAGCGAGGAAGGTTGGAAACAGGAAATTATATATGCCCTAGCATCTCCTTCAAACAAAGTCATTTTCCCAAAGTCTGACTGGGGGCATGACAGGAGAGGGAGTGCAGTGGAGCTGATGTTTTGCTGTCCTGCAGGAGCTGAATGAGCGCTGGCGGTCCCTACAGCAGCTGGCCGAGGAACGGAGCCAGCTCTTGGGCAGCGCCCATGAAGTACAGAGGTTCCACAGGTGAGGGGTCAGCCCTGGGCTGGGAGAGGGAGAAACAGGTGACTGCTGGTTTCCTGACAGCCCCCAAGCTTGCTGACTGAGATCCTAGAGCAACTGCTGGCTCTTACTGATGTTTATTTGTGACATGGGGTGGGTGCTCAGTAAATCCTGCTAAGTGAATTATTTGGCTTTTTAGAGTTATTGGTGGTAGCCACAGACAAATATACAAATGTCAGCTAAATAAATTTTTTTAGGCTGGGCGTGGTGGCTCATGCCTGTAATCCCAGCACTTTGGGAGGCCAAGGCAGGCAGATCACCTGAGGTCAGGAGTTCAAGACCAGCCTGGCCAACATGGGGAAACCCACCTCTACTAAAAATAAAAAAATTAGCTGGGCATGGTGGTGGGCGCCTGTAATCCTAGCTACTTGGGAGGTTGAGGCAGGAGAATCACTTGAACCCGGTGGGGGCGGAGGTTGCAGTGAGCTGAGATTGTGCATTGTGCTCCAGCCTGGGTGACAAGAATGAAACTCCATCTCAGTAAATAAATAAATAAATAAATAAATAAATTTTTTTTAGTGTCCTGTAATCAAGGCAGTTGTACTTGGCATTTCTTAACCTGAATGTGTCTCGCCTTTAGAGATGCTGATGAAACCAAAGAATGGATTGAAGAGAAGAATCAAGCTCTAAACACAGACAATTATGGACATGATCTCGCCAGTGTCCAGGCCCTGCAACGCAAGCATGAGGGCTTCGAGAGGGACCTTGCGGCTCTCGGTGACAAGGTGAGAGGACCCAAAGTCATCTTCTGTCTGGCATTTTTGCCCCAGAAAGAGCAGAGTCTTCTGTTCTGCAGAGCATACCCCCTTACTGCAAGCTCATTCACCACTTTCTTCCCATAGGTAAACTCCCTTGGTGAAACAGCAGAGCGCCTGATCCAGTCCCATCCCGAGTCAGCAGAAGACCTGCAGGAAAAGTGCACAGAGTTAAACCAGGCCTGGAGCAGCCTGGGGAAACGTGCAGATCAGCGCAAGGCAAAGTTGGGTGACTCCCACGACCTGCAGCGCTTCCTTAGCGATTTCCGGTACGGAGCCATGTTCACTCAGACTTCTGGAACATAGAGCCTTCTTTGTAGGGGTCATTTTTATTGTGAAAATAGTACATGCTCAGCAGGGTACAATGGCTCACACCTATAATCCAAGCACTTTGGGGGGCCAAGGCAAGCGAATTGCTTGAACTCAGGAGCCGGAGACCAGCCTGGGCTACATGGCGAAACCCTATTTCTATTATAAAATTTTAATTTAAAAATCAAAAACGGCCAGGCACAGTGGCTCACGTCTATAACCCCAGCACTTTGGTAGGCCAAGGCGGGCAGATCACCTGAGGTCAAGAGTTCAAGACCAGCCTGGCCAACATGGCGAAATGCCGTCTCTACCAAAAGTACAAAAATTAGCCAGGTGTGGTGGCAGGCATCTGTAATCCCAGCTACTCAGGAGGCTGAGGCAGGAGAATCGCTTGAACCTGGGAGGCGGAGGTTGCAGTGAGCCAAGATCGTGCCACTGCACTCCAGCCCGGGCAACAAGAGTGAAACTCCATCTCAAAAAAAAAAAAAAATTAAAAACAGAAAAAAGTAGTACATAATCAATGTAAAATAGTCAAACTACTGAATGCCATATTGTTAAAAATAAGTCTCTGCAGCCGGGCACGGTGGCTCACGCCTGTAATCCCAGCACTTTGGGAAGTCAAAGCAGGTGGATCACGAGGTCAGGAATTCAGGACCAGCCTGGCCAATATGGTGAAACCCCATCTCTACTAAAAATACAAACCAGCCGGGCGTGGTGGCACACTGGCACACACCTGTAATTCCAGCTACTCGGGAGGCTGAGGCAGGAGAATCATTTGAACCTGGAGGCGGAGGTTGCAGTGAGCCGAGATCGCACCACCGTACTCTAGCCTGGGCGATGGAGCAAGACTCTGCCTCAAAAAAAAAAAAAAAAAACAAGTCTCTACTTTCCTATCCAAGTATGGGCATACTCCCTCTCATCTCCTTGCCATATGACATTATATTTTTCCCTAGACATATATATATATATATTTTTTTTTTGGGGGGGGAAGCGTTTCGCTTTTGTGCCCAGGCTGGAGTGCAGTGGTGCGATCTCAGCTCACCGCAACCTCCGCCTCCTGGGTTCAAGCGATTCTCCTGCCTCAGCCTCCCAAGTAGCTGGGATCACAGGCATGCACCACCAAGCCCGGCTAATTTTGTATTTTTTTTAGTAGAGGCGGGGTTTCTCCATGTTGGTCAGGCTGGTCTCGAACTCCTGACCTCAGGTGATCCACCCACCTCGGCCTCCCAAAGTGCTGGGATTACAGGCGTGAGCCACTGCGCCTGGTTGTCTTTTTCTTCTTTTTATTGAGGTAAAAGCCACGTAACATACAATTAACTACTTTAAAATGTGCAATCCAATGACATTTAATGTATTCACGGTGTTGTGCAGCCACCCCTCTCTAGTTTTGGAACATTTTCATTGCCCTAGAATAACATTCCTTAACTAATCACCCCCTCTTCTCTCTTCCCCACCCACTAGGAATCCTTTATCTGCTTTCTATGTCTATGGATTTGCCTCTTCTGGACATGTCATATAAAAGGAATCATACCATATCTGACCTTACACACTCAGTTTTGTGCCCTTGTGGTTGTACAGCTGTGAGAAACTGGATCAAATGTATGCCCAGGCCTAGGGCTTCAAGGGTTAATCCTAAAGAAAGGCTTTTTCTTTTTTTTCTTTTTTTTTTAGAGACAGGGTTGCACCACATTGCCCAAACTGATCTTGAATTCCTGAGCTCAAGCGATCCTCCTGCCTCAGCCTCCCAAAGTGCTGGGATTACAGGCATGAGCCACCACGCCTGGCCAACAAAAGCTTTTTCATTTGAAGCTATCAAAGACTTAATTGTAGCTAGAACTTGTTATTCTGGAGGGTGAAAAGATCTTAATTATAAGCCTACTGACTTTTCCTCTGAGAAATTCGGACTTTTAAAAAAATAACAAGAAGTTTTTTAACACTTTGCCCAAAGACCTAGCCTCATTCAGTAGATCAGATTAACCCAAGATAACTTTCTGAGGCAAGAATTATGTCATTCTCTGTTTTCCTGGGCAGAAGATCTCCTTACCAGGTAATATAATAGCTATTTTTCTGGGGTGCTGGTTTCCAGGGACCTCATGTCTTGGATCAATGGAATACGGGGGTTGGTGTCCTCAGATGAGCTAGCCAAGGATGTCACCGGAGCTGAGGCATTGCTGGAGCGACACCAGGTGGGTGGACCTGCCTGCTGAGTAGCAAAGACGTGGCTGCTCTGCAGGGCCCTAGAGGCCTCATTCCCACCCTTTGTGGTGAGTCGGTGGTTGACGTCAGAGTGGGCATCTGCTGCCAGTTACCTAATCCCTTCCCTCCTTTTGGCAGGAACACCGGACAGAAATCGATGCCAGGGCTGGCACTTTCCAGGCATTTGAGCAGTTTGGACAGCAGCTGTTGGCTCACGGACACTATGCCAGCCCTGAGATCAAGCAGAAACTTGATATTCTTGACCAGGAGCGTGCAGACCTGGAGAAGGCCTGGGTTCAGCGCAGGATGATGCTGGATCAGTGCCTTGAACTGCAGGTGTGTGTGCTCCTGGTTTCTGACCAAGTGTTTCCTTGCTGAAGGGCCTCATTTTCTCACCTGCCTCTTGCCCTCTTTAGCTGTTCCATCGGGACTGTGAGCAAGCTGAGAACTGGATGGCTGCCCGGGAGGCCTTCTTGAATACCGAAGACAAAGGAGACTCACTGGACAGCGTAGAGGCTCTGATCAAAAAACATGAAGACTTTGACAAAGCGATTAACGTCCAGGTGAGGCCTCTGGACCATGGAGTTGGAGTCTGGATTTTTCCTGATTGACATCTGTTTCTTGGCTTATATAGTCACTGTTATATCTCCAAGGAATACCTGCGTTGTCTAAGAAAAATATGTACATAAATAATCTTTAAAACTTTATAGATTCTGGTATTTCTGAGATTTTAATAATGGGGGTGCCACAGGAAAAAAAAATATTATCAAAGGGATGGAAAACAAATGTGTGGGTAGGTAAGGGAATAATGAACAAACAACAAGGAAGATGTAAAACTGTTTGATTTATACGTCACTTTGCTGTAAATCTGACAGCATTTTCCTATTATCAGGCTTAATTTTGTTCTGTTCTGATATTCTAACACCTGCCCCACCTGAGTGACCTGGAGACTTCTTGAGTTAAACTCTACTCTAGTAATGAATGAAATCAAGCTTTCTTTTGGCATTTTACACTCTTGCTTCTAAAGTGTCAGTGTATTCTGATCCTGCCACCAGCTAGTTCTCAGTCACCCAAAATAACTATCCTTTTCTCAAGACTGGCAGTCCAGGCAGGGCCCAGCCACAGGCCCACCTTGATCTCATGCCTTTGTTTTCTGACAGGAAGAGAAGATTGCTGCTCTGCAGGCCTTTGCCGACCAGCTCATCGCTGCCGGCCATTATGCCAAGGGAGACATTTCTAGCCGGCGCAATGAGGTCTTGGACAGGTGGGTGTCCTGTGGCACTGACATAGTCACCAGCCCTGAGAGGATGCATCCCCTCATACGAAGGCCCAGGCCTGTTCTGTCTCCCCACTTCCTTCTCCACGGTAAGATATGCTCATGTTGGATCTCATGGTTTCACTCTTTCAGGTGGCGACGTCTGAAAGCCCAGATGATTGAGAAAAGGTCAAAGCTAGGAGAATCTCAAACCCTCCAACAGTTCAGCCGGGATGTGGATGAGATTGAGGCTTGGATCAGTGAAAAATTGCAAACAGCGAGTGATGAGTCGTACAAGGATCCCACCAACATCCAGGTAAGCTGAAGTGACTGGGTGTTGGTCTTGATGTAGCCTTATGTTATTGAGTAGATTTTGTTAAATAAAGCATTTATAAAACAATCTCCTTGCACCCATGGGAAGTCAGTGAGAAATATTTCAGTAAGCCCAGCCAGTGGGAAAGCCCTAGTCAAGTTTCAGAGCCATTTAAAAGTTGCCTTCCTCATTTGTCTCCATTAAAACTATTTCTGCTGTAATAAAAGTCTATAGAATCCCCCTTCTATTACTGTTCCCAAATGCTGAGCTTCCTGGGGGAAGTATGACAAAATGAGTTTCTATTTAATAGCTGATATGTGTGTCCACATCAGTGTACTGAACTCTTGTTCTTTTAATCTGTTTTTGTAGCTTTCCAAGCTGCTGGTAAGTTTTTAATTTTTTTAAGAGTTGTAGTTAAATGAGCTCCAGTATTTGTGTTACTCTGCGTAGATTATTGTTATTATTGTGGTCACACGGTTTGCTGGTGTCTCTTCATCCATCCTTTTCATTTCTAATCATCCATTACACTCCATTCAAGTGTCCCTGTGGGATGTGGCTTTTTCTGTTGTAATTAGCCTGCAACGCCTTACTCCCCCTTCTCTCCCCCAGTTTATCACTTAGGCAAATTCTGTACAGTGTTTGATTTGCGGGGCAGTAATTGACCATTTTCTTTCAAGGAGTGCTTCCTTTTGAAGATGGAACATCAGCTTCAGCTTTTTCTGTGTAGACATTGGCTCAGACTTGCTATGAGCTCATGGTGTTCGGTGGCCTGGGTTGGGGAGGCCAGTCTGGTGTGAGGGTTTTAATGCATACCCACTCTGGCATCCAGAGGTGCCAGTCAGGAGAGGAACAGCTAGAGAACTGTAGAGAGACGGATGGTCTATTAATACCTCCAAATCTTCAAGGAACACAAATGAGAAGTTAAGATAAAAGCAGACATCACTCAACAGGTAGTGAAAGGAGACTTCAGTCAACATGTAGCTCAAAGTTACTTAAGCGGGTGGAAGAAATGAAGATAGAGAAGAGAGTAAATGGGATTTGAACCAAAGGGTGATCAGAACAAGGAACAGAAGAAGAGGGTAATGGGACTTTTGTCAGGATATCTGAGTGTTTGAGACCCTTTTCCTTCTTGGCTTTGGGATCAGGCGGTGGGAGAACGTAACAAGGACATTTCATGTTAGTGCTGAATTGAGCCAGATGGCTCCATCCTTTGACAGTTGCTGCCTCTGAAATGAAACATTTGATGCAGAATTCCCCAACACTACTGCCTTTTAGTTGTTTTTTTTTTGCCCCCCAAATAACACTCCCCTGAGACCCTGCATTTCTTACCCAGCCAATTGTTTTTCCCAGAATTGTGGCATAGCTGCTATGTCCTTGCAATTGTCTCTTGTAGCATTTCAGTACCTTCTGTTTCTTTATGGATTCATAAAAACCATATCAGGCGCCCAGGATCAGGAGCCCATCCTTCTCCTAGCCCTTTCATTTCCCAGTAAAATAAATTCCTTCCTGCAGTCAAGCCTGGGTTCTGACAGTATCCCAGTGTTTTGATTAATGACAGCTACCTAAAGATAAATCAACAAAGCCAATGTCTGTAGTAGCTGTAGATTTCTCCTCTGTCAACAGAGGGAAAAGACTGACCATCAAATATTATTTTGCTGGTTATTACAATTTATGTTATGAATTTTGCTTAATGGTGATTTCTGCTTTAGATAATGAAATGTCCATATGTATCTCATTCATTACAGCCTGTCTCCAATAAGGAGAAAGCCATGGATGGAAATTGATGTACAAGCAGATTCAAAACTGAAGTTGGCCATTGCCATCTTCTGGAAAGTGTTAGGAAGTGTGTAATTCTAGGGCTTCACTCCCAAATAGCTAGCATAGCTACTGCAAGAATTGATTTTTTGGCCAGGCTTGGTGGCTCATGCTTGTAATCCCAGAACTTTGGGAGGCCAATGTGGCTCGATTGCTTGAGCTCGGGAGTTCAAGACCAGCCTGGGCAACATGGCGAAACCCCATCTCTACAAAAAATAGAAAAATTAGCTGGGTGTGATGTCATGCACCCATGGTCCCAGCTATTCGGGAGGCTGAGGTAGGAGGATTGCTTGAGCCGAAGAGGTTGAGGCTGCAGTGAGCTGAGATTACGCCACTGCACTCCAGCCTGGGCAACTGAGCAAGACCCTGTCTCAAAAAAAAGGACTTCCAGTTCATCTACTCCTGAGCTAGTACATTTCCTTCCTCCTTTGCTAACTCCCCAAGAGATGAACCCTAAAATATTTCATACAAACTCCAATTGCCTTCTGTTAAAAACGTTGGCATTTACCCCAGTTCTTTATGTTTGCTGCCACTCCCTGCCTCTGAGAACCCCTTCCCCCTGAAAAGACATAACCTAGCAGGAACTGGTTTGGAAAAAATTTTTTTGGTATTTTTAGAGCAAGCACCAGAAGCACCAGGCTTTTGAAGCAGAGCTGCATGCCAACGCTGACCGGATCCGTGGGGTTATCGACATGGGCAACTCCCTCATTGAACGTGGAGCCTGTGCCGGCAGTGAGGATGCTGTCAAGGTATGGCCCACCAGCTCCCGGTGCCCAGGGAGGAAGATGACCACCGTCACTGTCAACCTGATATAATAACTTGGACATACAGTCTTAAGACACTAAATGGATTATAGAAGACTTTAGGCTGAATTACAGATGGGGAATGCTAGTGAGAATGGCTCCTATGAGTGTTTTCCATTCTCTTCTCTTAGAAGTTCTCAAATTGAGCTTTAGGAGAGGGACGATTCTTCATAGATTTCATCTCTTTTTGGCTCCCTTCTGTTCCCCAGGCCCGCCTGGCTGCCTTAGCTGACCAGTGGCAGTTCTTGGTGCAAAAGTCAGCGGAAAAGAGCCAGAAACTGAAAGAAGCCAACAAGCAGCAGAACTTCAACACAGGGATCAAGGACTTTGACTTCTGGCTGTCTGAGGTAACACTGAGTGGTTCCTCTTCCTACCAGTGGGGGATTTCTAGTCATTTGGCACAGTGGGTCCATCAGTGCCCAAAACCACGAAAAGGCAGGGCTCACCAGACACCCCTTTTGACAGAAACCCTTATTATATATGAGTTGCATGCTGTAAGGGATTTATGAGCAAAGGGAGTGAATGTTAAGAGAGCTGACTTGTAGTGGCACTTGGACTACAGGTCACTCACATCCATAGGGAAGGCAAATAGGAAGAGATTATGGGTAGTTATATGGCATGCAGCTCTAACAAGCCTATGCCAGGTTAGAAACCAAGATAGTAGCATCTGGGAAGCCAGAGTCAGTCATGTATTCTCCATGGAGAATGTTTGGAAAGCACAGACTATAAAAACATAGAGGTTTTGGCCAGGTGCAGTGGCTCACGCCTGTAATCCCAACACTTTGGGAGGCCGAGGCAGGCAGATCACTTGAGGTCAGGAGTTCGAGACCAGCCTGACCAACATAGTGAAATCCTGTCTCTACTAAAAATACAAAAATTAGCCAGGCGTGGTGGCACGCTCCTGTAATCCCAGCTACTCAGGAGGCTGAGCAGGAGAATCGCTTGAACCTGGGAGGTGGAGGTTGCAGTGAGCTGGGATCACACCATTGCACTCCAGCCTGGGCAACAGAGCGAGACTTCATCTCAAAAAAAAAAAATTTTTTTTTTTAATAATTGCGTAAGTTTATCATAGAGCCATGCCATAATGTAACCATTCCCATATTGTTGGACATTGAGGTGTTCCCAGCCTTTTGGTGTATATATTTTGCTGTAGTGAATATCTTTGAATATTAATCTTTGTCCACACTGCTGATTCTTTCCTAGGGGGGTTTCCTTGAACTAGGATTGCTGTGCATTTTGCCTTAGCTGTAGTATTTACTATGAATAGACTCTGGAGTCTAGGTTTGACTGACCGAGTGGAGAGAGTGTCTCAGGCCGGGCAGGCTGATTGGGGTGGCTAGGAATCACAGTAACACATTGTGATGGAGAAGTATTCAACTGTCCAAGCAAGGCCCTGGAATAGCCACTGGGCAACCTGAATTTTCCAGAATGCTGAGTATACACCACACAGTAGCCTTTGCTTTTTGTGTTTTCATTGCCAGGTGGAGGCCCTGCTGGCATCCGAAGATTATGGCAAAGACCTAGCTTCTGTGAACAACCTGCTGAAAAAGCATCAACTGCTGGAAGCAGATATATCTGCCCATGAGGTAAGCAAAGGGAGGCGGGCCAGGCCCGAGTGCCTGGGACACAGCTCTGCCTGACTCCTAAGGAAAACAAGCGTGTTTGAGAAAAGAGAGTGACTTCTTTCACTTAAAGCAGCCATTCTCAAAGGTTGTGGCCTCAGGATCATTATACACTTGGCAGTTATTGAGGGCTCTTGAGAGATTTTTATTATGTAGGTTTTATCAATGCTCACCATTATTAAAAATTACATAAATTTTAAGGCCAGGTGCAGTGGCTTACGGCTGTAATCCCAGCACTTTGGGAGGCCCAGACAGGCAGATCTCCTGAGGTCAGGAGTTCGAGACCACTCCGGCCAACGTGGTGAGACCTCCGTCTCTACTAAAAATACAAAAATTAGCCGGGCGTGGTGGTGGCTGCCTGTAATCCCAGGTACTCAGGCGACTGAGGTAGGAGAATCACTTGAGCCCAGGAGGCGGAGGTTGCGGTAAGCCAAGATCGCGCCACGGCACTCCAGCCTAGGCAACAGAGCAAGACTCCATCTCAAAAAAAAAAAAAAATGCTGAATTCAGGTTGTGGTGTTTTGCATTGGATGAAAATTCAGTTTTACACAGGTAGGTAGGTAGAAAAGGGAGGAATATTTTGATTCGGGTAAGTGTGAATAATTTTCTTTGATACTATACCAAAGTCATAGTTTCTTAAAGCTTAGCTGTGGTCAGGTACAGTGGCTCACACCTGTAATCCCAGCACTTTGGGAGGCCGAGGCAGGCAGATCATGTGAGCCCAGGAGTTCAAGACCAGCCTGGGCAACATGATGAGACTCTGTCTGTACAAAAAAATACAAAAATTAGGCTGGGCATGGTGAGTCATGCCTGTAATCGTAGCACTTTGGGAGGCCGAGGCGGGTGGATCGCCTGAGCTCAGGAGTTCGAGACCAGCTTGGGTAACACAGTGAAACCCCGTTTCTACTGAAATACAAAAAATTAGCAGGGCGTGGCATGTGCCTATAAATCCCGGCTACTTGGGAGGCTGAGGCAGGAGAATTGCTTGAGCCCGGGAGGCAGAGGTTGCAGTGAGCCGAGATTGTGTAACTGTATTCCAGCCTGGGCGACAGAATGAGACTACGTCTCAAAAAAAAAACAAAAAAAAAACACAAAAATTAATTAGCCAAACGTTGGGGTATGCACCTATAGTCCCAGTTACTTGGAGGCCGAGGCGGGAGGTTCACTTGAGTCCAGGCAGGAGGTTGAGGCTGCAGTGTGTGTGTCATGATCACACCACCGCACTCTTGGATGACAGAGCAAGGAAAAAAAAGTTGTTGGGGGGTTAGTTGCAAAGTGGCCCCTGAAACCTTGTCAGTAAACTTTTTATACTGGATTATATTAAAACCCACTGGTCCATCTTGGGCTTTGAATGTAGCTCTTACCTGTGCATGATTTTGCAACATCATGCATGGCTCATTTGGTAAATATTGCTTCACTGAGTTATGCCTGTTCTATATGTTGACACATGTGATTATATGATATCAAAACATTGCAGTTAATACCACCACCAATTTCATTAGAAAAATCTTCACATATTAGGAAGCCTTCAGGCTCCTGGTGGTGGGTGTAAGTTTTCTAAAATTCTAACTTTCTCATAAAAGTTTGAATTTTATCATTAGTAACAAACTGTCAGTATTCTTTGAAGTGACAGGCTCACTTTATTTATTCTGGACCGAGTATCTGTGAGATACCAAGTCTGAATGAGCATAGTTTGTTCGGTGGTTGTTCTTTCAAGTACAAAAGAATGGCTACTCAGTAAAATTAACTTTCACTGCCTTTTTAAGGACATTTTTAAGTGAAACAGCATTTTTTTTTCACTGTGAGTGGGTGGCAGTGAAGAATCCACTTCTGCTAGTAGTTTGCCACTGCCTTGATTTGAGCTAAAGCACCAGCATGTCCCCTCCTCCATTGCTTTTGTACTATCAGTGCAAATGTCCACACGGTAAAAAATAATAATGTCTTATAATGTTATGAAAATAGTGTGAGTTGATAGAATGCCAGAGGTCCACATAACAGACTTTGAGAATATCAACACTCCACATCTCAGTAAGGAATTCCTGAGTTCTTATGTTCAAGCAGATAGCTGTGGGAGACCCAGTTTCTGACCCTCTTATGTCCCCTGCCCCAGGATCGCCTGAAGGACCTGAACAGCCAGGCAGACAGCCTGATGACCAGCAGTGCCTTCGACACCTCCCAAGTAAAGGACAAGAGGGACACCATCAACGGGCGCTTCCAGAAGATCAAGAGCATGGCGGCCTCCCGGCGAGCCAAGCTGAATGAATCCCATCGCCTGCACCAGTTCTTCCGGGACATGGATGACGAGGAGTCCTGGATCAAGTATGTCTTCTCAGCCCTCTAGAAGGCCCCTTACGCCTGTAATAGTGGGCAGCAGGAACCACAGGCTGACTGTTGAGTGGTGAGGCTGGAAACCCTGCTGGACTGGGATCCCAGCTTGGGCACACAGTCGTGGGATGCCTCAGTGTCTTCTGCTTTCCGGGTTTACAGTGATGATAATTGGCGGTGGTGGTGATCCATGCTGGCTACATAGGCCCTGTCTAGACCCTGCCTTTTAGATTCCCGTGAAAGTTAGTGAGTTTGTTTCTGAGCTTCTGGAGAAGATCACTTCTCCAAGGAAGGAGTTGCTTTTTTTCTTATTCTCTATCTGTCCCCGAAAATGTCAGTCTACTGATTCCAGTTGATGTGGCAGGTAAACAAACATTTTTTTTTCTGAGATGGAGTCTCGCTCTGTCACCAGGCTAGAATGCCACCATGCCTGGCTAATTTTTGTATTTTTAGTAGAGACAGGGTTTCACTATGTTGGCCAGGCTAGTCTCGAGCTGACCTCACCTGACCTCAAGTGATCCACCCACCTGGGCCTCCCAAAGTGCTGTGATCACAGGCATGAGCCACTGCGCCTGGTCGGAAGGCTTTAAGGAAGTAAGGAATTAAGAGAGAGGATTTTGTTCTTAAAAGACGTTTGTGGCCGGGCGCAGTGGCTCACGCCTGTGATCACAGTACTTTGGGAGGCTGAGGCGGGCAGATCACTTGAGGTCAGGAGTTCGAGACCAGCCTGGCCAACATGGTGAAACCCCGTCTCTACTAAATACACAAAAATTAGCCAGGTGTGGTAGCAGGCGCCTGTGGTCCCAGCTGCTTGTGAGGCTGAGGCAGGATAATCGCTTGAACCAGGGAGGCGGAGGTTGCAATGAGCCAAGATCGCACCACTGTACTCCAGAGCAAGACTCCGTCTCAAAAAAATAAAAAATAAAAATATAAAAATTAGCTGGGCATGGTGGCACGTGCCTGTAATCCCAGCTACTCAGGAGGCTGAGGCAGGAGAATGATTTGAACCTGGGAAGTGGAGATTTCAGTGAGCCAAGATCGTGCCACTGCACTCCATCCTAGGCGACAGAGCAAGACTTTGTCTCAAAAAATATATATATTACTTATATAGCTGGGTGTGGTGGCTCACGCCTATAATCCCAACACTTTGGGAGACCGAGGTGGGCAGATCACTTGAATCCAAGAGTTTGAGACCAGCCTGGGCAACATGGTGAAAACTCATCTCTACCAAAAATAGAAAAAATTAGCCAGGCATAGTGGCGCACACCTGTGGTCCCAGCTACTCCGGAGGCTGAGGTGGGAGGATCACTTGAACCGGAGTGGCGGAGGTTGCAGTAAGCAGAGATCATGCCATTGCACTTTAGCCTGGGCAACAGAATGAGACTCTGTCTCAAAAAAAAAAAAAGTGTGTATATATGTATATATATAAATATCTTTGTATATTTACAGACATATATTGATATATTAATACATATTTAGTATACATGATTGATATATATTGATATAATTTGATAGGGCTCCTCAGGGCAGCACTAGTGATGCCTCCCATCCTCCAGTGCATCCCCAACCCTCCAGAATCCGGACACACAGCAGGGCTCATAGATGCATAGATGGACAGAGGTTCTTGGTCCCTACTCATTTGGGAAGTAGAGGCTTTTGTTGTTCAGAAAACTGGCAAGGATTTTCCCAGAAAGATTAGTAGATGTCTGTGAGGTCCACAGTTGACCTGATGTCCCCACTTGAAAGCAGGGAGGTGCAGAGACTGACTGTGCTGTTTCCCATCTCTCATTCAGGGAGAAGAAGCTGCTGGTGGGCTCAGAGGACTACGGCCGGGACCTAACCGGCGTGCAGAACCTGAGGAAGAAGCACAAGCGGCTGGAAGCAGAACTGGCTGCGCATGAGCCGGCTATTCAGGTAAGGAGGCCGCCTTCTGGCCAAGAGGGCAGAGGTGTTTGAGTGGGCCCCAGGGGACAGACAAACCCCTTGCGCTTATTTCACTGAGGTCCCTAAAGTGTTCATGACCCCTCAGTCCAAACCTGGAGAAGTCCCAAACTTGATGTTGAGGCCTTTTCCTGGGAGCTTCGAGACAGAAGCACCAGAAGAGCTACCTGCTGTTAACCTCCTCGTCCTTGCCTGTCAGGGTGTCCTGGACACTGGCAAGAAGCTGTCCGATGACAACACCATCGGGAAAGAGGAGATCCAGCAGCGGCTGGCGCAGTTTGTGGAGCACTGGAAAGAGCTGAAGCAGCTGGCAGCTGCCCGGTGAGTAGTCAGAGGCAGGAGCTCCCGGGAACAAGTGGAAGGCCAGCACCCAAGGGCAGACTCTGAGCTGTGGGGGTCCAGTGGGCCCTCCTACTGTCTCCTGGACCTTTGGCCTCACATGTGCCATAGTCGGTTTGCTCCAGAGCCACCTCCTACAGGCCATGCTGAGGTGGTCTCATTCTGTTCATCTGGACCCACTGTATGAGTCCAGAATCATACATGTTTCTGTATGAGTCCAGAATCACACATGAATCACACATGAATCACACATGATTCTCCAGAAATCAAGACATGAGAGTCTGGAATCACAGAGTGGGTGATTCATGATGTTCCATGGACGGCCTGACTGACTGTGAGGGCTCACCTTTTTTGTGAATGTTTTTGTTTTTGTTTTTGAGACGGGGTCTTGCTGTCACCCAGGCTGGAGTGCAGTGGCACAATCTCGGCTCACTGCAAGCTCTGCCTCCCAGGTTCACGCCATTCTCCTGCCTCAGCCTCCCGAGTAGCTGGGACTACAGGCACCCGCCACCAAGCCCAGCTAATTTTTTGTATTTTTAGTAGAGACGGGGTTTCACCGTCTTAGCCAGGATGGTCTCGATCTCCTGATCTCGTGATCTGCCCGCCTCGGCCTCCCAAAGTGCTGGGATTGCAGGCATGAGCCACCATGCCCAGCTTTTGTGACTGTTTTTAAGCATATGTTAACTATCACAATCAAAGCTGGAGGAGATTATGGCTGATTTTCTTCCTGTCTCCTGTAATTAGGGGTCAGCGGCTGGAAGAGTCCTTGGAATATCAGCAGTTTGTAGCCAATGTGGAAGAGGAAGAAGCCTGGATCAATGAGAAAATGACCCTGGTGGCCAGCGAAGATTATGGCGACACTCTTGCCGCCATCCAGGTGAGACAGAAACCAAAGGTGTCACCTGCTTTCTCTCTTGGCAACTGCCTGCTGGTCATCATTTCCCTGTTGGTTTGTTAGAGGGCCCTGCTCTTACTAGGAGAGCACACAGGGCCAGCAGCCAAGGCCTCAGTAGTTGGTTTTAGCCCTCAAGATCTCACACTAGGGGACATCACCCTTCAGTAAACAAAATTGGTATGGCTTTGTCAGTCTCAGTTCACGGGCCCTGTCATTCACCAGGCAGCGCTGTGGGCTTGAGTCTTCATATCAGTTTCCTGGGGCTGCCATAAATAAGTACCACAAACGGAGTGGCACGAACGGAGTACCACAGACAGAGTGGCACAGATGGAGTGGCTGAGGACAACAGAGATTTATTGCTTCTCAGTTCTGGAGGCCAGAAGTCTGAAATCAAGAAGCAGGCAGGACCATGTTCTGCAAACCTGTAGGGGAGGATCTTTCCTTGCCTCTTCCAGTTTTTGCTGGCACCAGGCGCCCTTGGCATGTGGCAGCATCACTCCAGTCTCTGCCTGTCTTCACGTAGCCATCTTCCCTCTGAGTCTGTCTTCACTTGGCATCACTCTGTGTGTCTATTCACATTTCTGTGTTCTGTTGTAGGGACATCAGGTCTATTGGATTAGGGTCCACGCTAATGACCTCATCTTACCTTTGCAGAGGACATTTGCAAAGATCTTGTTTCCACATTCATGGGTACCAGAAGTTAGGACTTCACCATCTCTTGAGGGGGACACAGTTCAGCCCATCACATACTCCCTAAATTGGTTAACTGTTGCTACATAACAACCCGCCTAAATGTAGTGGTTGAAAGCAGCACCCATTTCTTACTTCCAATGGATCTGTGGATCAGCGGCATCTGCAGCTGTCACTGGAGGTCCTTCACGCTCCTGCATTCAGGCAGAGCGTGGCTGGGCTGAGAGATCCATCACACACTGGCAGCTGAGCCTGATTGTCATCCAGCCTGGACATCTCTGTTCCCCTCCACATGGCCTGTTGTCCTCAAGCTGGCTAGACCAACCTCCTTCAGCAGCATTCAGACAGGCAAAGGCAGGAGCTGCAAGATGTCTGCGGCCTCACACATCATCCTCACTGCCTTCTGGCCAAAGCAAGTCCCAAGGCAGCCCAGAGGCATAGGTGGATAGATTCCCCTCTGGAAAGGAGATGCTGCAAAGTATCATGGTCAGATATGACTAAATTCCTGCCCCCAGATGTGGAAGCAGGAGTGTGCACTCCCAGGAATCGAGTTAGCTTTGAGCCACCTTCCTCACCATGGGAAGCATCCTCCCGCTGGTCAGGGTGATTCAGGTAGAATTTAGATGGTCAGTCATTTCCCATCCTCTGCATAGTTGAGTTCCCTGGAAGCAACCAAAAAGGCATGGTCTGCAGTGCTTAAATTGTACTAAGGAAAAGACCTGGGGCCAGGTGCGGTGGCTCACACCTGTAATCCCAGCACTTTGGGAGGCCAAGGTGGGCAGATCACCTGAGGTCAGGAGTCCGAGACCAACCTGGCCAACATGGTGAAACCCCGTCTGTACTAAAAACTACAAAAATTAGCTGGGTGTGGTGGTGCACACCTGTAATCCCAGCTACTTGGGAGGCTGAGGCAGGAGAATCGCTTGAACCTGGGAGGCAGAGGTTGCAGTGAGCCAAGATCACGCTGCTGCACTCCAGCCTGGGCAATAGAGCAAGAACTCCGTCTCAAAAAGAAAAAAAAAAGACATGACTTGGAAGGCCTTTTCTGAGATGTGTTCAAGTTAAACCTTAAAAATGTGTCGTTTTTGTTTGGGTGTATATCTTCAGCTTGCTTTGTGTCATTCTTGTGGTCCTCTTGGGGGAGAGACCATAAGTCACTGTTGATGGATGACAAAGGGTTTGACCCTTCCCAAAGGTCCAAAGACTGTCCCTGCTGAAGCCTGTCCCACCACTGCTGGTTACTCTCACTGCCTCACTGCCTCCTGTTTTCCTTCCTTTTATGATTCTCTATTTATTAATGTTCCTCTTTATTATCCTCTTCCCCAGCTAGACTGTAATGTGTGCATGGACAGGGACCATAGCAGTTTTGTCACTCTCTGTCCCCGGGGCCTAGCCCACAACACATAGCAGGCTCTCAATAGTGTGCCTTGGCTGCTTCTACTCCAGGGCTTACTGAAGAAACATGAAGCTTTTGAGACAGACTTCACCGTCCACAAGGATCGCGTGAATGATGTCTGCACCAATGGACAAGACCTCATTAAGAAGGTGAGTCCAGCCCATTGGTAAGACCTCCATCGCCCACTGGGACACCCACGTGTTGGTACCACAGAGGTCCCCCAAAGTTCACTTCCTGGGATGTTCACCAAACCAAGGTCTGCGTGGAGACCAGCAGCAATTCCATTCCTGTGTTTCGTGACAAGTTGGATATTT
This sequence comes from Homo sapiens, assembly GCF_000001405.40. Classification (NCBI taxonomy): domain Eukaryota; kingdom Metazoa; phylum Chordata; class Mammalia; order Primates; family Hominidae; genus Homo; species Homo sapiens. The sequence goes on from NC_000009.12 coordinate 128,621,422, forward strand.
CCCCCTTTTTGAAGCCAGTAAAGTTATTCTGCAGTGCTTATTTTTTCTGCATTAAGCAACAGAGACACTGGCACTCCCAAATGCTGCTCTTAGTTTATTTCTCAAGCAATACAGTCTCTTTATAGGGACAGTAGAAAATGCAAATAAGCAAAACATAAAATAAAAATTACCCATAAAGCCCCACCCTGACACCACACATTAGATCTTTGTGTCTGACCTGCCAGACCTTTCTTTTCTCTCCACAGGTTTAGAGCTACCAGCTAGATCAAACAGCCGCAGACTCCCGTTTAATAGGATCATATCACTCCATAAATTATCAAAAACCTCGAGGCTGTACAGGGCATTTTAGAAATGAATCTACTTCATTCGCAGCCCTTTTGGGAGAAAAAATAAAGGGGCTTGGTGCTTTCTCAGCAGCAGCGAAGCCACATCCCTCCCACACAGAAGCTCTAGACTGAAGGCAGTGTGTCCGTGGGTCGGGAATTCACCAGCAATCACTCAGGTGCAGTGACGCACCTGGAGTGCCTCAGGACAGAGGTTTTAACAGCTATGGTTTCCTGTCACACACACATCATGAGTAAGATTTCTCATCACAGAGGTTGCACTCAGCAGTCATGGCCTTCAGACTAGGGTTTGATCCATAGGCAGCAACAATGTAGCTAAAATCCACTTCACTGGAGAGCTTTTCTTCCTTGCTCTGATCTGCAAATAAACTTGCGTGAAACTAATTTCAGCTACAGCCATGTATAGATGTAGACGTGGCTCCTGCACACTTAACCCCCTGACACACACCCAGACAACATTCTCTGTTCTTCAAGCCAGGAGATCACCAGTGTGAGTGTCCTTCAGCCTCCTGGCAACGAGCCAGCTGCTTTTTTTTTTTTTTTTTTTTTTTGCGACGGAGTTTCGCTCTTGTTGCCCAGGCTGGAGTGCAGGGGTGTGATCTGGGCTCACCGCAACCTCCACCTCCCAGGTTGAAACGATGCTTCTGCCTCAGCCTCCCTAGTAGCTGGGATTACAGGCATGTGCCACTATGCCCGGCTAATTTTGTATTGTTAGTAGAGATGGGGTTTCTCCATGTTGGTCAGGCTGGTCTCGAACTCCTGACCTCAGGTGATCCGCCCTCCTCGGCCTCCCAAAGTGCTGGGATTACAGGCATGAGCCACCACCCCCGGCCAGCGAGCCGGCTGCTTTGTCCTCAGCGACAGCCTGTTTCCTCTTTGAATTTATCTTTCAATTCTTTTTTCTTTTTATTTTCCCCCTTTCCACAGGTGTTAAAGAATTTCTCTTTAAATTCAATGTGACTTGTAGTATGGTTTATTTATTTATTTATTTATTTATTTATTTTTTAGACGGAGTCTCACTCTGTGGCCCAGGCTGGAGTGCACTGGCGCAATCTCACCTCACTGCCACCGCCACCTCCTGGGTTCAAGTGACTCTCCTGCCTCAGCCTCCTGAGTAGCTGGGGTTACAGGCGCCTGCCACCACGCCCAGCTAATTTTTGTATTTTTATTAGAGATGGGGTTTCACCATGTTGGTTAGGCTGGTCTCAAACTCCTGACCTCATGATCCGCCTGCCTCGGCCTCCCAAAGTGCTGGGATTACAGGCGTGAGCTACTGTACCCAGCCAATTTTTTTATTTTTATTTTTTGAGATGGAGTCTTGCTCTTGTCGCCCAGGCTGGAGTGTAGTGGCACGATCTCGGCTCACTGTAGCCTCTGCCTCCCGGGTTTCAGCAGTTCTCCCACCTGAGCTTCCCTAGCTAGCTGGGACCACAGGTGGGTGTCAACACACCTGGCTAATTTCTTTCTTTTTTTCTTTTTTTTTTTTAAGAGATGGGGTCTCACTATGTTATGTTGCCCAGGCTGGTCTCCAACTCCTGGGCTCAAGTGATTCTCTCGCCTTGTGCTGAAATTACAGGAGTGAGCCACTGCACCCAGCCCTGTATGTGTAGTATTTTAAGTGATATGATTCAGTTTTTTTCTATCAAAAATAATACTAATGAATATATCATCTTAACTTCAAATTTCAGCCCATTCGTTTTTTTTGTTTGAGACAGAGTCTTGCTGTGTTGCCCAGGCTGGGGTGCAGTGGCATGATCTCGGCTCACTGCAGCCTCCACCTCCCAGGTTCAAGCAGTTCTCATCCCTCAGCCTCCTGGGTCACTGGGATTACAGATGAGTGCCACCAAACCTGGCTAATTTTTTTTTTTTTTTTTTTTTTGTATTTTTTAGAAGAGACAGGGTTTCACCATATTAGCCAAGCTGGTCTTGAACCCCTGGCCTCAAATGATCTGCCCACCTCAGCCTCCCAGAGTGCTAGGATTACAGGCGTTAGCCACTGCGCCTGGCCCATATTTCTTTAGAATTAATTCCTTGGACCGGCTGGGCACTATGGCTCACACCTGTAATCCCAGCACTTTGGGAAGCCGAGGTGGGCAAATCACCTGAGGTCAGGAGTTCGAGACCAGCCTGACCAACATGGTGAAACCCCCATCTCTACTAAAAATAATTAGCTGTGCATGGTGGTGTTCGCCTATTAGTCCCAGCTACTCGGGAGGCTGAGGCAGGAGAATCTCTTGAACCCGGGAGGCGGAGGTTGCAGTGAGCCGAGATCACGCCACTGCATTCCAGCCTGGGCGACGGAGTGAAATTCACTCCGTCTCAAAAAAAAAAAAAAAAAAAAAAAAAAGAATTCCTAAAAGTAGAATTGTCAGTACGTGTATTTGTGTGAAGCCTTTGACCGCATTGCTCTTACAAAAGCCTTACCCTATCATTGTTTACCCAGCAGTGGACAGGGGAGCAAGTGGCCCATTTTATAGAAGTTTAGAGCCTTTCCAGGGAGGGCATAGTCAGGTAACCACAGCAGGTAAGGCTGACCAGTGTGTGCCTCTCTCCATGGCCTAGAACAATCACCATGAGGAGAACATCTCTTCAAAGATGAAGGGCCTGAACGGGAAAGTGTCAGACCTGGAGAAAGCTGCAGCCCAGAGAAAGGCGAAGCTGGATGAGAACTCGGCCTTCCTTCAGTTCAACTGGAAGGCGGACGTGGTGGAGTCCTGGATCGGTGAGCACTGTCAGCAAGGCCCGGAAGAGCCTTCCCAGAGCTGCTCTTTGTCTCCTTCCGTGTCATTGGTTTTCTTCTGCAGAGAAGAAACTGATCAATTGTGGGCATGGCAGAGAACCTACTACCAGGGCAGACCACTGACTGCCAGCTAGGAGGAGACAGTGTCCTGAGGCCAGAACTGCCACCCGGAACTGGGCTGGCACCAGGGTCAATAAACAAAAGCCTGTAAACGCTGCTGCACGCAGAGATGGCATAATGTGACGTCATGGCATGAACAAAGTTGGCACAGCAAAGGCACCACTAGCTGCCCTGGTCAGGGGCGCCACCCAGCTCCTGGGTGAGGGAAAACTGGGTCCGGATATCGGGGTCCACGTGTCCTGGGTAGTAGTAATAGCAACTGAACTAGAAGACGGGCTGCAGGGAGCTCGTCATGGCACAGATGGAGGCCAGGCCTGGGTGCAGGGAGGGGCCTGCTAATGTGGGTTCTGAGGCTGTAGTTAGGAAGATTGGGATTTATCTGTACACAAAAAATGGTTTGTCTGGGTTTTGATGTTTTTCCTTTCTAATCCATCTCCACTGAGGAGGGCAGTATATTTTCCACACTTCGTTTTCTAGGTGAAAAGGAGAACAGCTTGAAGACAGATGATTATGGCCGAGACCTGTCTTCTGTGCAGACGCTCCTCACCAAACAGGTCTGCCCTGGCCCCTTCACTGGTTGAAATGTATGCAGATAGCATCTGTGAGATGACTGGTGGCGTCTTTCACTGAGGCATTTATCTTCTGTTAGCCCCTGGGGATCAGCAGGAAAAAGATCCTGTCCTGGTCCTCAGGGAGCTTCCAGACTAACTGGGGAAGCAGACACAGAACCAGGCATCTCTGCAGCAGCCTGCTGGGTGCTGACGGGACTGGGCACTGCAGGAGCACTCACTCAGTTTTCAGCAGGCGAGGGTTGAAGGGGCAAGTTCTCCTAAGCGAAATCATGAGGGGTGAATGAAAACGGTCAGGGAGAGAGGCAGGGCGAGTGTTCTGGGCAGAGCTGGCAGGGATCCCTGGGGCGGGAGAGCGGAAGGCTGGGGTCAGGGAGGTGGGAGGAGGCTGCCGCAGTGATCTGCGGTCTGAAGGAGAGCAGGAAAGGGGGCATGTGTGACTGAGTCTCAGCAGTGTCCAGGTGGACAGTTTGGCTTGGGCATCTGGGGGACATGCTGGTGCCATCTGAGCCTAGGAAGAGCAAGTTCCAGTCCTGTGGAGTCACCACAAATTGGCTTGTCACTCCTTGTTCAGGAAACTTTTGACGCTGGGCTGCAGGCCTTCCAGCAGGAAGGCATTGCCAACATCACTGCCCTCAAAGATCAGCTTCTCGCCGCCAAACACGTTCAGTCCAAGGCCATCGAGGCCCGGCACGCCTCCCTCATGAAGAGGTGGAGCCAGCTTCTGGCCAACTCAGCCGCCCGCAAGAAGAAGCTTCTGGAGGCTCAGAGTCACTTCCGCAAGGTGAGGATGGGGCCACGTGAAGCTTAGCTGGCCCACAGCTCAAGGAAGGACGCCCACCTTCTGTCTGCCCAGCTCTGCCACTCCCCCTTGAGGAAGCTGTGAGCTCAGTGCAGAGCTTTCAAACATGGGTGTGGCTGGCATCAATTAAAACCAGGGCAAATGAGAGGGCCCTGTGAGATCGCCATTCAGAAGCACGCAGGACAGACTAGAGACAAGGGCAAAGGGTAGGAAGGGGAAAAAAGGCTGGTGAAGACTTGAAGGGGGAGCAGGAGACAGGAGCAGAGGGGAGCTAAGCTCCCAGCAGGCTGTGTGCGCCTCTGATTCCCAGGAACCACCCCGCACCCCACCTCCTGCACTGCGTCGGCACGTCCAGCCCTGGCGACTCCGCCAACTCAGTCTCTTCTGCTTCCAGGTGGAGGACCTCTTCCTGACCTTCGCCAAAAAGGCTTCTGCCTTCAACAGCTGGTTTGAAAATGCAGAGGAGGACTTAACAGACCCCGTGCGCTGCAACTCCTTGGAAGAAATCAAAGCTTTGCGCGAGGCCCACGACGCCTTCCGCTCCTCCCTCAGCTCTGCCCAGGCTGACTTCAACCAGCTGGCCGAGCTGGACCGCCAGATCAAGAGCTTCCGCGTAGCCTCCAACCCCTACACCTGGTTTACCATGGAGGCCCTGGAGGAGACCTGGAGGAACCTACAGAAAATCATCAAGGTACACCTCCCGCTGCCCTCAGGAGCTGCTCGGCCTCCCAGAGCCCTCTCTGGGCCCTGCTCAGAGCCCACACTTAACTGAGTCACGACAAGACGAGCAGGATGGAGGAGCATGGTTTCATCAGAAGTTTCATTTCTTTTTGTGTTCTTGAGGCAGGGTCTCTGTCACCCAGGCTTCAGTGCAGTGGTGCTACCATGGCTCCCTGTAGCCTCAACCTCCCAGGCTCAGGTGATCCTCTTGCCTGAGCCTCTTGAATAACTGGGACTACAAGCACGTGCCACCACGCCTGGCTAATTATTTTAATTTTTGTAGACAGGGTGTTGCTATGTTGCCCAGGCTGGTCTTCAACTCCTGGCCTCAAGCAGTCCTCCTGCCCAGGCCTCCCAAAGTGCTGGGATTACAGGTGTGAGCCACTGTACCCAGCCAGAAGTTTCCATTTCTGACAGTCCAGCAACTCCCTGCTTGACTGACCAGTCGCTTCCCTCCAGGTCCGCCTCTTCCTTGAAGCCCCTGGGGGGTGGGAACAGAGAAAGAACTACCAAGTGCTCTGAGCCGGCCTCATGTCTCCCAGCCTCCTCCTCTCATCTTTGGGGAGGTTCCTTGTGGGGAGGCCACCACCACCCTGAGCCCATCTGTGAAGGAGGGGCTGGTGTCACTGCCACAGCAGCGCACAGCATCTGCCCCCCTTTGGCCCTCAGGAGAGGGAGCTGGAGCTGCAGAAGGAACAGCGGCGGCAGGAGGAGAACGACAAGCTGCGCCAGGAGTTTGCCCAGCACGCCAACGCCTTCCACCAGTGGATCCAAGAGACCAGGTGCCAGCCCGCTGGGGCCGGGGAGCAGCAGCATGTCCCTGCTGTACTTAAGCCCTGGGGAGCTTCCAGCCCCAAGGAGGTGGTGGTGCTTTGTGTAAAACCAGAGGCAGCCTGGGAATAAAGCTGGGCTGGCAACGCCTGGTCGGGCTCTGGAGCCGGGAGTGGGGGCATAGGTGGAGCAGCCTCTCAGTGCTGCATGTCCCAGACATCAAGTTGTTAGAGATCCCGGATTGAGTGGGACCATGCAGGGCGCGTGGTCAGCCCCAGCCATGACTTGGTGACAGACGATGCAGGGTCTGTGCGTTGGGTACTGATGTTCTTGCTTTTGTTTTCCTTTCTTTCTTGTGTCTTCTCTCTGTCCCCCCGATTGCTGCTGTTGTCCGGACACCACCTTGTCTCCCGGCTGCTTGGATCTGCTCTCCACAGGACATACCTCCTCGATGGGTTAATATTGTTTTCTTCCTTCTCTGGGCTTGTCATGTGGGGGTCTCGTGCGCTTGCCCCTCGTGGCCTGGCTTGTGGAGGATCCCGGGATGGGCCTTCCTGCCCAGGGCGGGCTGCACTTCCCCTCCCACCCTTCTCGTCACCTGATGAGGAGTGTGTGCCTTGCCCCATAGCCCATGGTCCCTGGTCCCCGATAGAGCCTTCAAGCCAGGGGGAGCCGTCCTTGCCTCACTGGGCGATTCCAAGGGCTCACTTTGGGTAGGGAAGGTGATGAAGCACGAAGGCCAGAGCTGGAGTCCAGAGGCCCTAAGAACCCCCGTGCCTGTCCAGCCACCGGGCTCTGTTGGGCTCTCACCTCTGCTTCCCCAGCGAGTCCAACAGTGGTCAGTGGGCATGAAGCAGATGGCAGTGCTGGGGGCTCAGGCAGGGTACAGTAAGTCCACAGCTGAGAAGGGCTGGGCACTGACACCCCCTAAGTAGCTGAGGCTGCCACTTTACTTTCCTGGGGTCAGGGAGGGTAACAAGACTGTCCGCCCTAATAGAAGGCAAAAATGCACCCGTTATGTGATAGACAGGACGTGGGAGGAGCCCCAGGGAGGAGCAGGGCTGGGCTGTCCCGCCCAGTCCCGGCAGGGACTTCTCTGCTTGGCCTGGGGCCTCTGCCTGGCCGGGTCACCTTTGTAATCTGCCAAGCCTGCTGTGAAAGCCAGGGCTGCTGGGACTGGAGTGGCTTGGCCTGCACTCCTGAGGCTCTGCACCCAGGCACATCAAGCCTGTATAGGCGGCCAGGGGAGAAATAGACCCATCCAGCCGGGCCACACATTCTGATGGCAGAGCAGCTGGGGACGTAGGGATCGCAGTTTCCGGCCTGTGCCCGTAGGACACCCTGGCCACCTGACTCCCCTCCCTGCCCCATGCCTGTGTCTGCTGGTCTTGCTCTTGTCTCCGTGAGGTGCCACGCTCCCCTCACCTTATGGCTCCTCCCAAGCCCTGCCCATCTTGCCCATTCCTAGTGTGAGCTGCCTGGGGTGAACCACTGGGCCTGCTGCCTCCAGGTACCCGCCGGGCACCAGGTTGCCCTTGCCTGCGCCCTGCCAGCTTGGGCTTTGTGTGTGTCTGTTGCAGTGTGCTCTTGCCTCCCCTCCCTTTGGTGTATTCATTTGGTTTCTTTTCTTTGAATAGCATAGCATATCGTCGGGTCATTCGTGTCTATCAGTATGAAGTTGGGGATGATCTGTCTGGAAGGTTTTTCTCCTTATTTCTCTTCTTACCTCACTGTGGCTTTACTGATGCACTCTTGACATCCCCAGGCGGCTCCACCCTGACTAACCTGCCGCCCTCGGCTGCTTGGGAAGGAGGGGTCTGTCCTCCCACTGCACCGGCACCCAGCCTCCTGCCCCCAGGTCCTGGGGGGCATTTTCCCCGGGGGGACATGGCGTGACTGTGAGTCTGACCTGCTGGGGTAGGAGGAAGCCTGGTGCCTTGCCTTGCTAGAGCACTTTGAACCTGGGGAGATTGCAGAGCTAACCCTGGCTCGCCGGGTTTTAAAAGGGTAGGTTGGGGTGAATGTGGGTACAGGGGAGCCTGGGCTAAAACCCCACCAAGGCCACACGCACCGTGTGATTCGTCCCTGCACGTAACCCTAACTCGTTTGTTGTCTTTGTTTACTGGTAGCCTCTGTGACCTGGCACTGTGTTCTCTTGGGAAGGAGGCTCCCCAGAGCCCATCTGCTCTCAGAACTTGGTCCTAGAGAGGAGGCTCCCTCCCTGGCTGTGTCTAGAGGATGGAACCGGGATCTGGGGTTTAGTCACAGCCATCTCTCTCCTTTTGGCACAGTTGGTCGTGATCTCCCAGCACTCCACTTGTGTCCTTTGTCTGCAGGGTCGTGCTCTCATTCCCCCTAGAATGGGGCTCCCTCCCTCAGGAACCTTGCCGGGACACTCCAGGGTTTCTGTGGGGAGGCTGTCAGGTTCTCAGCCTCCCCTCTGCCCTGAGGTCTCCTGTCTGTCAGGTGTCAGGGTGTGCCATCCCCCACATGGCTGCAGAGAGGATGCTCAGACAGGCCTGCAGCCACCCTGCACCCATGGGGGAATTTAAACTCCATTCCTGAGTCATCCTGGCCTTGGGAGCAAGACGAGTGGGCTCAGCCCTGGCCCACACCAAGGCAGCAGCTTCCCATCTCTAAAACGGGAGAAATGCTCCCTGCCATCCCTCGATCCCTGGGGCCCATTAGGTAAAGATGGCCAGTTGCAGTTAGGTTTGGTTTCCTTAAAAGGAATGTGAGGTTGCCAGGCATTGCTCTCTCTGAGAGAAGGTTCATTCTGAGCTCTCGGCCAGCTGGGAGCAGGCCCCTTTCCTCACTGTCCTTCCACGTTTAGGTCCTGTATGGTGGAAGAGTCGGGGACCCTCGAATCCCAGCTTGAAGCTACCAAAGTAAGTGCCCGTGGGGCTCTGGCCCAGCAGAGACCCTTCACCCAGCCACCCCCCAGGGTACCCCTTCCCTTCCTGGCTTAAAGTCAGGAACCAGATGTGCTATTATTGTACCCTTTTCCCTTGGCCTAAAGCAGTCTAGGGCTCTTCACTATCTCTCTCTCTTTTCTTTCTTTCTTCATGGAATCTCTCTCTCGCCCAGGCTGGAGTGCAGTGGTGCGATATTGGCTCACTGCAACCTCCACCTCCCAGGTCAAGCAATTCTCCTGCCTCAGCCTCCCAAATAGCTGTACTACAGATGTGTGCCACCACATTTGGCTAATTTTTGTTTATTTTTAATTATCTTTTGAGATGGAGTTTCACTCTTGTTGCCCAGGCTGGAGTGCAATGGACGTGGTCTTGGCTCACTGCAACCTCCACCTCCTGGGTTCAAGTGATCCTCCTGCCTCAACCTCCCAAGTAGCTGGGATTACAGGCGCCCACCACCACACCTGGGTAATTTTTGTATTTTTAGTAGAGACAGGGTTTCACCATGTTGGCCAGGCAGGCTGGTCTCGAACTCCTGACCTCGGCTGATCTGCCCGCCTCGGCCTCCCAAAGTGCTGGGATTACAAGCGTGAGCCACCACATCTGGCCTAGTTTTTATATTTTTAGTAGAGACAGTGTTTTGCCTTGTTGGCCAGGCCGGTCTGGAACTCCTGATCTCCAGTGATCTGTCCACCTCAGCCTCCCAAAGTGCTGGGATTACAAGCATGAGCCACCACTCCCGGCCGAGGGCTCTTCACTTTAAAGAAAGTCTTTGGGGCTGGGTGTGGTGACTTACACCTGTAATCCCAGCACTTTGGGAAGCCGAGGCGGGTGGATTGCTTGAAGTCAGGAGTTCGAGACCAGCCTGGCCAACATGGGGAAACCCCATCTCTACTAAAAATACAAAATATTAGCTGGGTGTGGTGGCAGGCACCTGTAATCCCAGCTACTCAGGAGGCTGAGGCAGGAGAATCACTTGATTCTGGGATGCGGAGGTTGCAGTGACCCGAGATCAGGCCATTGCACTCCAGCCTGGGTGACAAGAGCAAAACTCCCTCTGAAAAAAATTACTTGGGCATGGTGGCCTACACCTGCTCAAAGTCCAGCATGGGCAATATATAGCAAGACCTTGTCTTAAAAATAAGGCTGGGTGCAGTGGCTCATGCCTATAATCCCAGAACTTTGGGAGGCCAAGACAGGCAGATCACTTGAGCCTAGGAATTCAAGACCAGCCTGGTCAATGCAGTGAAACATCGCCTCTACTAAAAATACAAAAATTAGGCAGGTGTGGTGATGGGCACCTGTTAGTTCCAGCTACTCAGGAGATTGAGGCAGGAGAATCACTTGAACCCGGGAGGTTGCAGTGAGCGTGATTGCGCCACTGCACTCTAGCCTAGGCGACAGTGAGACTCCATCTCAAAAAAATTTATAAAAATCTTTGGCCACTGCTTCCTGGAGTCCTCGCCGTACTTGTCCTTGGCGTGCACTGCCCTCTGGCAGGTCTACCAGCTGCTTTGGAACCCTCACATTGAAAGTCTCTCCCTCTATTGAGGTGGTTGGGATTTCTTCAGCTTCACCCCATCCCACTATTCCTATTCTAGAATGTTCTTGTTTTACGAGGTCTCAGGCCAGGCCTGGAGCAGGAACCAGAGGGCAGTAAGTGGCTCCTGGGCTGGTGACTGAGCTGAGGGCCCCCGTCTGAGCATCTGTGCTCCCCACCCCTGCAGCGCAAGCACCAGGAAATCCGAGCCATGAGAAGTCAGCTCAAAAAGATCGAGGACCTGGGGGCCGCCATGGAGGAGGCCCTCATCCTGGACAACAAGTACACGGAGCACAGCACCGTGGGCCTCGCCCAGCAGTGGGACCAGCTGGACCAGCTGGGCATGCGCATGCAGCACAACCTGGAGCAGCAGATCCAGGCCAGGTACCCGGGAGGGCTGTGGGCCAGGCTCAGCCCAGAGCAGGGGGAGGAAAAGACACAGTCACCTGCTGTGTGGAGGGTCTGTTCCCTAATTTCTGTTTTTCTTCCAGGAACACAACAGGTGTGACTGAGGAGGCCCTCAAAGAATTCAGCATGATGTTTAAGTGAGTTCAGCCTTACTCGCCCTGGCTGGGTGGGGGGTGTTCGGCAGCAGGGCTGCCTGCTGAGCCGCCCTCGGCTTTGTGCTGCAGACACTTTGACAAGGACAAGTCTGGCAGGCTGAACCATCAGGAGTTCAAATCTTGCCTGCGCTCCCTGGGCTATGACCTGCCCATGGTGGAGGAAGGGGAACCTGACCCTGAGTTCGAGGCAATCCTGGACACGGTGGATCCGAACAGGTAAATTAATTAAGGCCAGGTGCTGTGAGCCTCTGCCCGGGGCACCCACCTGCCCTCCCTGCTCAGGCTCTTGCTTCCCCCGCTCCTAGAGATGGCCATGTCTCCTTGCAAGAATACATGGCTTTCATGATCAGCCGCGAAACTGAGAACGTCAAGTCCAGCGAGGAGATTGAGAGCGCCTTCCGGGCCCTCAGCTCAGAGGGAAAGCCTTACGTGACCAAGGAGGAGCTCTACCAGGTATGGGCCTCAGGAGGTGGGTGAAGAGGTGTCCTTTGGAAAACTAAAGCCAAATTTGTGGCAGAGCTGAGTCTGGGGTAACAGGCCCTGCGCTGGGTATTCTCCCCATTTACAAATCAAACTCAGTATGGACAGAAGTCCCGGATCTGCTTGTAGAAGCAGCTCCGAGCCCCCAGCATCCTGAGACCTGGGAGGTCGGGTTTGAAGTGGGTGCAGCTGGCTCAGGCACCAGGTGCCATCTCTTACCCCACAGAACCTGACCCGGGAACAAGCCGACTACTGCGTCTCCCACATGAAGCCCTACGTGGACGGCAAGGGCCGCGAGCTCCCCACCGCGTTCGACTACGTGGAGTTCACCCGCTCGCTTTTCGTGAACTGAGCCACTCCCTGGGTCACCCACCCCTCGCTGCTTGCCCTGCGTCGCCTTGCTGCATGTCCGCTCCTCTGTGTGCTCTCACTTTCCACTGTAACCTTAAGCCTGCTTAGCTTGGAATAAGACTTAGGAGAAAATGGTGCTTCACTAACCCGCTTCCGGTCCAGTCACAATCATCATGTCACTGTGGGGACCCAGATCTGTGTCTTGAAGCAGCTGCCCTCATTCCGACTTCAGAAAATCGAAGCAGCTGGCTCCTCCCCTTGTTCTCTCTCCCACCCTCCCCCAAATCTGTTTTCATGTAAAAGACAAATAAATGATGACTTCCCCCAAAGCTTTGCTTTTCTTCATTTGGCTTGCGTCAGAAACACAAGGCTCGGCACAGCGAAGGCTTGCACCCGCCTCCCGGGACCCCTCAGGCCGCCACCTCTGCTGCCAGGCAGTCCAGGTCCTCAGCTTCCCGGGGCCCTTGTTCCGTGAACTCTGTGCTCAGCTGCCACACCTTCACTGTGCCCTGGGCATCGCCCGCAGCCAAGAGCTGAGTCTGCTGGCTGTTGAACTCCAGACAGTAGACAGGGCTTTCATCCTGGGTTTGCTTGATCAAAACTGTGGGTTTCTGGGAGCTTTTCTGGAGATCAAACAGCTGCACGTCACCTGCAAAGAGAGACAGATACGTGGAGTAAGAGAAACTCTAGAGACCAACCACATGGCAGGAGGAGGCTAATGCCCGGGTTCAATCCTGTTGTGTGCAGCCACAGTGGCTTTGAGTTGGGTTGCTGGAGGGAAGCCGTCCTTACCCCCATGTGTGGTCTTTTCCCCAACCCAGAACCCCAGGTACAAGCAGGGCCCAGACCACCCACCCCTTAAACAGATCCAGGCCTAGCGGCCCCTTCCTACCTTTCCCAGAGGCAGCTGCAAAAACCAAGGGCCGCACTGGGGACCAGCGCACAGCAAACAGATACTTGAGGGAGAGCTGCAGCGAAGTCAAGGGAGGGGCCTGCAGCATGGAGTACAGGTGGACATGCCCGTCAGTCCCAGCGCTCAGGAAGAGATTCCTAGACGGGATGCAGGGGGCCAGGCAAGGGAATCAGTGCTGGGGTCTGGGTGGTGCTGGCCCCCAACACCAGACCCCTCCTGGGCTGCCAGGCTCGTGAAGAGCCTCCCGGGTCCCTCAGCCTGGAGTTGGTCCTCTCATTAGAGAAGGGACGATGCCTGGGCCAACCACCAAAGACCTGAACACGGGTCTCAGAGTGGGCAGAAGGCAAGCACTTGAAGCAGTTTGTCATGAGGCTTGGCAGGCTAGAGACCCGCAGGGCAGGGACACCCTGGCCCCACTGTGCCCCAGGCCTGCCCTACGTACCTGTGGAAGGGGGAACAGCTCACAGAGTAGATGGGACCGCCGTGGGGGGAGAAGGTAAACTGTGCTGGGGCCCGCAGGGGCACGGAGCTGGGCATCCGCGTGAGGGCTGCCTCTCCAGCTGCCAGGGAACACTTGAGCGGGAAGCCGCCTTCCGTGCCCAGAATGAACAGCCTAGGGTCAAAGCTGGAGAAGGCCACTGCCGTGGCGCCCACCTCGGTCTCCCCGCGGGGATGCTGTGGAGAAATGGCAGCAGCAGGGTCAGAGCCAAGGGCATCAGATGGCACTGTCCCAACAGAGCCAGAGAACAGGAGGGGAGATCACAGCAAGTCAGGCCCACTGCCACACCTTCCCACCCCCAAGGCTCACCGGCGCAGGCCAGGGCAGTTTCCGGGTGCCCACGTACCTTCTTGAGCTTGGTGCTCCGTGGCAGCTGCTGCATGACCAGGGCGAAGCCCTCTGTGAGCTGCAGCTGGCCTACCCCGATGCCCTGCCAGAGTAGCACCTTCCCGTCGGTGGCCACACTCAGCACCTGGAAGCGGTGGCTGTGCCCAGGCTCGGGCAGCCACACCACCTGAGTTAACAGCATGCAGGGCCAGGATGGAGACAAGGGACACCTGCCCAGGTGTCACGCTCCACCCCTACCCTCCCTCTCTTCCAGGAAAAAAAAAAATTCTCCGGGAGGCCCCAGAACCAGGCTCACCCACCAGGGGGCAGGCCTGGAGGGTTCCCAGGGCCCTCTCCAGTCCCAGAATCCCAGCGCTGCTCACTCGGTGCCTGCAGAGGAGGCTGGGAATGGCCACAGGGCCCTGGGAGTGGCTCCTGAGGGGGGTGACTCATGCTGCGGGAGCTCCGAGAATGCAGGAGGCAGCTGTCCAACTGCCAACGCCCGGGTGACCTTCCTAGGAGAGTGGGCGCCCTCTCCCCAGCTCTGCCTCAGGGCCCACCCCGCCCGGCAGCCCCTGCCCTGACCTGGGACACAGGGTCTGTGTGGGTGTCATCCGTCAGGCCTGTGCGCCACAGCAGCGGGTCCTCAAGACGGCTCAGGTCCCACACCAACACCTCACCACTGTACAGCCCTCCTGCAGGGACAGTGGACCTGGGCAGAGGCTCAGCCCCACCCCCAGCCTGACTTCCTGGCCAAACACCCGCCCCAGCCCACCTACAGGGCCAGGGCCAGGGCCAGGCGGCAGAGCCACTTGGCTGGAAGTCATCCCCACAGAGGGAGAGTCCTAGCCCCCAGCTCCCCTGTTGTACCCCAGGGAGCTTTGCCGGACACCCCTGCCCTGCACCTGGCAGCTCCCTCCAGCGTTGCCTGCCCCCTACCACTGACGGCTTCCCAAGGGCACCTGCCTCTTCTGGCCTCTCCACAGCCCCCTGTCCTGGCCCCGACCCTGGCCCCCTTCCAGACTCCTCCCCCGAGTTCCACCCCTCAGGGCTCACTGCAGACCTTCACCTGGGCTCCAGACTGAGAGGGTCAGGGCCCGCCTTCCTGTCTCCGGGCCAAAGGGCCCATGGAAAGCTCCCTTGTGCCCTCTGCAGGGCGGGAAGCTGAGTCCTGAGAGGAGAGGAGGCGGACACAGCAGGCAGCTCACCTGCGACGTGGGAGGGCTGCGTGGGGTGGAAGGCCAGACACAGGACAGCGCTGGGGACCTCCACCACGGCCGACGGCTGCTGGGGACGCAGGTCTCGCCGGTCCAGGTTCCAGGCACACACGAAGGACTTAAGCGTGCTCCAGTCCCCATGGTCCAGCCTGTGCAGGGACAGGCTTGAGCCGGCTGTGCCCCTGGGTGGGGCTCCTATCACCCACCCCACCTCTCTCCCCACTAGCCCCGGACACACTCGCTGTGTCCTTGTCACCACCAGACACTACTCTGGGTATTGAAGTGGCCCACACTCCACTCTAGCACCCCAAGGGTGTGGCATTCTCTGGAAAATGGTCCCCAGGCACCAAGGACAGTCCATGCCATGCAGGATGGGGAAGCAGCTGGTGGGGCGGGCGAGGCAGGCAGGCCCAGGGCCTCCAGGCAGGGGGGAGGGTGATCCTGGCACTCAGCCCCACTGCCTGCTCTTCTGCCACTTGTTGTCAACCCTGCCCAGGAAGGCTTGAGAAGAGACTCCCAGGATGGCCAAGCTCTTAGAACCAGCCCTTCCCTGTGCAGCTACAGAGACAAGGCCCAAGGAGGGTCCTGGGGTGGCGAGCTGCCCCTCACCTGCCCCGCTGCCACTCACCGGCCGTAGGCACAGGCCACCACAGAGCCAGTGGAGTTCCAGGAGATGCTGGTCACATGCAGACCCTGCGCTTGGGCTGGCGGGTAGCCCAGGGTATACAGACAAGACACCTGCGGAGACGTCCCCAACCCTGAGTCCAAAGCCACCAGCAGGGGCCTCATGACTGCCTAACCAAACCCCACCTAGGCCAGGCCACCCTTAGCCCTAGAGGCCCTCAAGTCCATCAGCCAGGCCTAGAGGAAAATGTGGCACGTTCATCCCCACATCTGCCCCAGCAGAATGCTTCCAGAAGCCCAGAAGGCATGGCCTGAGAAGCAAGGCCGACCAGGCTCCCGCCCAGAGGGGTGGCTGCCCTCACAGGCACACTCCACAGTTTCCAAGCCTCAGGGGCTGCAGCAGGAAGGTGGGGATGGTTGCCCAGCAGCATAAAAGTGCCCAACGCGGCCAAGTACAAGGGGTCAAGCGAACCACCCGACGTCACGCTGTGCTACACGCACATGATTTTTTGTTGTTTGTGGTGGTTAGTTGGTTGGTTTTCTTTTTGAGACAGAGTCTCACTCTGTGGCCCAGGCTGGAGTGCAATGGTGCAGTCTCCACTCACTGCAACTGCCACCTCCTGGGTTCAAGTGATTCTCATGCCTCAGCCTCCCAAGTAGCTGGGATTACAGGCGCGTGCCACCAAACCTGGATAATTTTTATATTTTTATCAGAGACGGGGTTTCACCATGTTGCCCAGGCTAGTCTCGAACTCCTGACCTCAGGTGATCCGCCTGCCTCGGTCTCCCAAAGTGCTGAGATGACAGGCATGAGCTGCTGTGCCTGGCTGCCCACGATTTTTTGTCAAGCTCTGGCATCTTGCTTTCAGCCCTGCAGCCGGCCACAGCTGCATGTGAGGAGGCTGACGACCAGCCTAGCCAGGGGTAGGCACCAGCTGCCCAGGAAGTGGTGTGTGCCAGGAATCCAAACAGCCTCTCAGATCCTCTGACGTTTCAGATCTGTTGACCTCATGATTCTACATAAAGAAACTATCAACTGAGGGCCGGGCACGATGGCTCACGCCTGTAATCTCAGCACTTTGGGAGGCTGAGGCAGGAGGATAGCTTAAGCTCAGGAGTTCAAGACCAGTGTAGGCAAGATGGTGAAACCCCGTCTCTACCAAAAATACAAAAATTAGCTGGGCATGGGGGTCAGAGCCTGTAATCCCAGCTACTCAGGAAGTTGAGGTGGGAGGATCACTTGAACCCAGGACACAGAGGTTGCACTGCTGCTCTCCAGCCTAAGCAACAGAGCAAGACCCTGTCTCAAAAAAAAAAAAAAAAGGCCAGGCCTGGTGGCTCATGCCTGTAATCCCAGCACTTTGGGAGGCGGAGGCGGGCGGATCACAAGGTCTGGAGTTCAAGACCATCCTGGCCAACATGGTGAAACCCATCTCTACTAAAAATACAAAAAATGAGCTGGGTGTGGTAGCACGTGCCTGTGGTCCCAGCTACTCAGGAGGCTGAGGCAGCAGAATAGCTTGAACCCAGGAGGCAGAGGTTGCAGTGAGCCCAGATCACGCCATTGCACTCCAGCCTGGCGACAGAGCGAGACTCCATCTCAAAAAAAAAAAATGCATTTTGTAAAAAAATAAAAAAGAAACTATCCACTGGAAAGACTCCACACTCCACAAAGAGCTCCACAGCCACACCCCGCGCACTGCTGCAGCATGTGCAAGAGGTGCCTCTGCTGTGGAGAACAAGCTGCAGGAGACCAGGACCAGCAACTCCACTCATAGGTTTAGACCCTAGAGAAATGAAAACTCATGTCCACATGGACACCTGTACACCAATGTCCACAAGAGCATGACTCACTATAGCCAAAAAGGGGAATAGCCCAAATGTCCATTAGCTGATGAGTGGCTAAATGAATGTGGTCTGTCCATGCAACACCATGCAGCTGTAAAAAGGAACGCAGCACCAACCCAAGCCACAACACGCATGAACCTATTATTTTCAAACAAAGCTATACAATGGGCTAGGAGGTGGAAGGAAGCTTTTACAGGCCTTGTAATGTTCACTTTCTTGATCTGGATTTTGGTTCAAGGAATGTTTATACTTTGTAAAAAATCATCTCAGGAGGCTGAGGCAGGAGCATCTCTTGAGCCCATCTGAACTACAGCCTGGGCAACATAGGAAGACCCTAACTCTAAAAAAATTTTTTTGGCCAGGCGAGGTGGCTCACGCCTGTAATCACAGCACTTTGGGAGGCCAAGGCAGGCAGATCACCTGAGGTCAGGAATTCGAGACCAACCTGACCAACATGGTGAAATCCATCTCTACCAAAAATACAAAATTAGCCGGGCGTGGTGGCGGGTGCCTGTAATCCCAGCTGCTCAGGAGGCTGAGACAGGAGAATTGCTTGGACCCGGGAGGCAGAGGTTGCAGTGAGCCAAGATCATGCCACTGCACTCCATCCTGGGTGACAGAGCGAGACTCTGTCTCAAAAAAATAAAAAAAAAAGAAAAAGACAAAAGCTCCCTCATCTCAAACCCAATACTGTCTGCCCAACTGCCCATCAGCATTTACAGGGTCATGACTCTGGACTGTACTTGGAGGGCAGATGACCCAGAGCATGGCAGTGAAACCAGAGAGACTGGGGTTCAAGTTCTGGAGCTGTGTGTGTGGACCTGGATATGTCACTTAGCCTCTCTCAGCCTCATCTATAAACTGAAGATTATAATAGCACTACCTCATACAGTTTTTTTTTGTTGTTTTTTTGTCTTTTTTTGAGATGGAGTCTTGCTCTGTCACCCAGGCAGGAGTGCAGTGGCACAGTCTCAGCTCACTGCAAGCTCCGTCTCCCGGGTTAAAGTGATTCTCCTGCCTCAGCCTCCCGAGTAGCTGGAACAACAGGCGTGCACCACCACGCCTGGCTAATTTTTGTATTTTTAGTAGAGAGGAGGTTTCACTATGTTGGCCAGGCTGGTCTCGAACTGCCAACCTCAGGTGATCCACCCACCTTGGCCTCCCAAAGTGCTGGGATTACAGGCGTGAGCCACTGTGCCCAGCCTCATACAGTTGTTTTGAGGAGTGAAGAAGATACCACAGGAGACATTCTTTTTTTTTTTTTGAGACAGAGTCTCGCTCTGTTGCCCAGGCTGGAGTGCAGTGGCGTGACCTCAGCTCACTGCAAGCTCCACCTCCCGGGCTCACGCCATTCTCCTGCCTCAGCCTCCAGAGTAGCTAGGACTATAGGCACCTGCCACTACGCCCGGCTAATTTTTTTTTGTATTTTTAGTAGAGACGGGGTTTCACCGTGTTAGCCAGGATGGTCTCCATCTCCTGACATTGTGATCCGCCCGCCTCGGCCTCCCAAAGTGCTGGGATTACAGGCGTGAGCCACCACACCTGGCCAAGGAGACATTCTTAAACTGTGCCTGGCCCAAAGAAGGCCCTCACTGCACCGTACATGGGGAGGCAGGGCAGCCGGGCCACCCAGACTCTAGCCTGCCTCCACTGCTCAGCTGCTCAGTTTCACTCTGGACGTTACTTCCATATAGGGTGTCCATCTCCCTAACTGTAAAGTGGACAGAACAATACCGACCTCAAGGTCAGCAGTGAAGGCTCACTGACTTATTCTTAGGGAACCTAGCGCAGTACCAGGCAGGACATTAGAGCCTGGTGATTGCTGGCCGTGATGATGACTGGCACGGCTGTTATTTGTGGGAAGGAAAACAAGAGGAGACAGAAGTGGGGCAGGGGCTCGACCCGAGGCTGCACCAGCCCATCCCCTACCATCTGCTGCTGCTCGGTCCAGTTCACCTCGAAGCCATCAAACGCGTGGCTCTGCCAATTCTTGTTCAGCTCTCGGATGACCATGGCCTCCACTCTCCGAAGAAAGGCTGCGAGCCTGGGTATGTCATACTGGGACGGGGGCTGCACGCTGACAGGCACGGGGGCCTCCGTCTGCACCTGGGCGTCCACATGATTCCTGGCCTGGGCGGATGCACTGGCAGTGGCAATGCTGGCCGTCTGGCAACTTTTCTGGGGGGAGGGTGAAAACAAGTGTCACCACCCAGCTGTCCTCGCACAGCCCCCACCCAGCCCCCTGCCTGCCCCTCCTGCTTGACCCCCTCCTTGCTGCTGTGGGTCTCAGGCTAGGGGCCTCTCTCAGTGAGGTCTTGGTTGGAGATGGCCCCTTGATTCTCCTATGTCCCACAACCAATCAGTGCCAGCCAATCAGAGCACCGTGTCCCTACCTCAGCCACAGTGACCAATTCAGGGCTGGCCAAGTGACCAACACAGGCCAGTGAGACCCTGCCCCAAGACTTTTGGTGCAACAATTCGGAGGAGTCAGAGGGCTCCCTTTCTGAAGATGCGGAGGGCAGGCAGAACCACATCGGCTCACAGCAGCACCCTGGCAGACACATGGTCTGATGCCCATGAACACCCCAGCTTCACACCACCAGGCCCTCCCTCAACGGGCAGCCCTCCCAGCACCCGGGTAAGCAACAGCAGCTTCAGCATCCACTATGAGCTGCTAGGTGGGAGGCAGAGCACTGCCCCCAGAGGCCTTGCTCTCCACCCTGCCACCACGCCTACTATTCCTGGTCCCCTGCTTAGCTGTACCTGGCACAGGTACAAACATCAGAACAGGGCAGGAGAGGCCAGCCTCCCTTTCTTACAGACATGCCCAATCTTCACCAAACCAAGGCTCTCTGGGCGGAAGCAATCATGGTGATTGCTGCTATCTGTGAGGGGCTCTCCTCGGGTGGCTGCTCAAGGGACAATGACAAGGCCCTGGACTGCCACACTCCCTCCTTCCCATCTCATGCGGGATTCGAGCTGGGCCAGGAGGCAAGCCCGGAGGAAGAGGGCAGGACTCACCAGGACAGTTCTCTTCTGAACACACAGGCCTCAGCACTGGTACCCACCCTCACCTCCACAGGCCACTCAGTTCTCTCTGCTTGTCTGTGTCCTACTGAACCGCCAGCCCCCCAGCATAAGACTCTTGTCTGATCTTTGTATCCCCAGCACTTTGCATGGTATTTGGCACAAAGCAGATGTTCATTTATATACATACACACACACACACACACACACACACAAATGCCGGGCACGGTGGCTCACGCCTGTAATCCCAGAATTTTGGGAGGCCGAGGCGGGCGGATCACAAGATCAGGAGATCAAGACCATCCTGGCTAACACGGTGAAACCCAATCTGTACTAAAAATACAAAAAATTAGCTGGGCATAGTGGCGAGCATCTGTAGTCCCAGCTACTCGGGAGGCTGAGGCAGGAGAATGGCGTGAACCCAGGAGGCGGAGCTTGCAGTGAGCCAAGATCGTGCCACTACACTCCAGCCTGAGCGACAGAGCAAGACTCCGTCTCAAAAAAAAAAAAAAAAAAAATTAGCCGGGTGTGGTGGCGCGTGCCTGTAATCCTAGCTACTCAGAAGGCTGAGGCAGGAGAACTGCTTGAACCCGGGAGGCGGAGGTTGCACTGAGCCGAGATCATGCCACTGCACTCCAGCCTGGCCTATGGTAGGAGACTTTCTCAAAAAAAAAAAAAAAAAAAAAAAATTACTTATTGAGGCCGGGCGCAGTGGCTCACGCCTGTAATCCCAGCACTTTGGGAGGCCGAGGCGGGCGGATCACAAGGTCAGGAGATCGAGACCATCCTGGCTAATACGGTGAAACCCCGTCTCTACTAAAAATACAAAAAAATTAGCCGGGCATGGTCCTGGGTGCCTGTAGTCCCAGCTACTCGGGAAGGCGTGAACCTGGGAGGCAGAGCTTACAGTGAGCCGAGATTGTGCCACTGCACTCCAGCCCGGGTGACAGAGCGAGACTCCATTTCAAAAAAAAAAATTACTTATTGAGCATCTACTTGCCAGGCATTGTCTGGGTAATGAGGACACAGCAGAAAAGAAAATGTGCAAGATTCTTGTGCCCCAGGCGCTTACATAGGGGTGGGGAGAGATGAATAAACAAGAAAAAAACACCAAATCCACACAGCACTGAGCACATGCAGAGGCACGAGAAAGGAAGGAAACAGCAAGGGAGGCTGTCTGGATGGGATGGCGAGGGTGGCCTCTTAGGGAGATGGCGTTTGAGCTGAGATGTGAAGGACATGAAGGAGCCGGCCAAGTGGAAAGCTTCAGGAAGGAGTGTAGTGGGCCAGAATAAAATGTCGTGGAGGAAAATCCCCTGAGCGCCGTGGCTCACGCCTGTGATTCCAGCACTTTGGGAGGCTGAAGCAAGAGGATCACTTGAGTCTAGGAGTTTGAGACCAGCCTGGGCAACAGAGGGAAACTCTGTACCTACAAAACAATTAAAAATTTGCCAGAAGCCAGGCGCAGTGGCTCATGCCTGTAATCCCAGCACTCTGGGAGGCTGAGGCGGGTTGATCATGAGGTCAGGACTTCAAGACCAGCCTGGCCAAGATGGTGAAACCCCGTCTCTACTAAAAATACAAAAAAATTAGCCAGGTGCAGTGGCAGGCGCCTGTAATCCCAATTGCTCAGGAGGCTGAGGCAGGAGAATCGCTTGAACTTGGGGGGCGGAGGTTGCAGTGAGCCGAGATCGTGCCACTGCACTCCAGCCTGGGTGACAGAGTGAGACTCCATCTCAAAAAAAAAAAAAAAAATTGCCAGGCATGACGGCGCATCCTGTAGTCCCCAGCTACTCAGAAGGCTAAAGTGTGAAGATTGCTTGAGTCCAGGAAGTGGAGGCTGCAGTGAGCAGTTGATTGTGCCACTGCACTCCAGCCTGGGCAACAGAGCAAGTAAAGCCCAAGACGACGTGTTGGACTCTGGGAATCGTGGAAAGAAGGAAATCCAGGGTGACCCTGGGATCTGCACTGAGAACCTGTGGACGGGGCGTCCCCAGATGTGAGGTCACACTCAGGCAGAGAACACAGGGCAGTTCTGTGGGGCCTGCTTTGGACTCAGATGCCTCAGCCACCCACGGGGAGGCACCAAGTATTCCCGGGGGAGGTCACAAAGCTCTGGAGAGTTTCTGACCAGACATGTGACTTGAAGCCCCAGAGCTGGAGGAGGCTGCTGAGGGACTACACACACCAAGGAATGAATGAATGGGCCAGGGGATCAGAAAGTGCATGTGCCGAGCCAAGATGCAAGGGGACTAAGGCAGAATCTCAAACTCCATGGAAGCCACAATTCTGATGACAGTGCCAGTTGGTAAGAGCTCACTTCCAGGCACTGTGCCAAGAACTTCACCCACATCACCTTTCTTCCTCACAACCACCCTATGAAGTAAATCCTATCTTCATATTAATGTTGGCACTGAGGCACAGAGAAACTGAGTAACTCACCCAAGGTCACACAGCAAAAGGTGATCGACTTGAACCCAGGCGGCCTTTTTTTTTTTTTGAGACAGGGTCTCACTCTGTTGCCCAGGCTGGAGTACAATGGAGTGGTCATAGCTCATTGCAATCTAGCTCTGCCTCTTGGGCTCAGGCAATCCTCCCACCTCAGCCCCCCAAGTAGCTGGGACTACAGGTACACAACCACACCTGGCTGATTTTTTAAAAGAATTTTTTCGTAGAGACAGGGTCTCACTATATTATCTAGGCTTGTCTCCAACTCCTGGGCTCAAGTGATCCTCCCTCCTCTGCCTCCCAAAGTCCTGGGATTACAGGCGTGAGCCACCGCACCTGTCCAACCTGACTTGCCACTAGATTGTCTGACCTCACGACAGTAAACTGCATCTCAGCCACGGTGCCCTCCCGAACACGTGCGAAGCTGGGCCGCACCACGTGTCACTGCGCTCTGCTTCATACGCTTTGCAGATTCAGCACTTTTCACAAACTGAAGGATCACGGCGCCCCTGCACTGCACAAGCCTATCGGGCCATTTTCCCTACAGCATGCGCTTAGTTGATGCCTCTGCCACATTTTGGCAATTCTCACACTATTTCAAATTTATTCATTCTTATTATATCTGCTACACTGATTTGTGATCAGTGATCTTTTACGTTACTACAGTAATTGTTTTGCAGCACCACAAATTGTGCCTACATGAGATGGTGAACTTCATCGATAAATGTTGCGTGTGATTTGACGGCTCCACTGACCAGCTGTTGCCTGTCTCTCTCTCTCTCCTTGGGCCTCCCTATTCCGAGACAAGACAATATTGAAAGTAAGCCAATTAGGCCAGGCGCAGTGGCTCATGCCTGTAATCCCAGCACTTTGGGAGGCCGAGGCGGGCAGATCACCTGAGCTCAGGAGTTCAAGACCAGCCTGACCAATGTGGTGAAACCCCATCTCTACTAAAAAAAAAAAAAAATACAAAAATTGGCCGGGCATAGTGGCTCATGCCAGTAATCCCACCACTTTGGGAGGCCAAGGCGGGCGGATCGCCTGAGGTCAGGAGTTCGAGACCAGCCTGGCCAACACAGCAAAACTCCATCTCTACTAAAAATACATAAATTAGCTGGGCATGGTGGTGTGCACCTGTAACCCCAGCTACTCAGGAGGCTGAGGCAGGAGAATCACTTGAACCAAGCCTGGGCAACAAGAGTGAAACTCTGTCTCAAAAAAAAAAAAAAAATTACCCAGGCATGGTGGCGGGCGCCTGTAGTCCCAACTACTTGGGAGGCTGAGGCAGGAGAATCACTTGAACCCAAAAAGCAGAGGTTGCAATGAGCCGAGATCGTACCACTGCACTCTGGCCTGGGCAACAAAGTGAGACTCCATCTCAAAAAAAAAAAAAAAAAAAAAAAAAAAGGTAAGCCAATTAATATCCCTACAGGGGCCTCTAAATGTTCAAGGGAAAGGAAGAGTTGCAGGTCTCTTAATTCAAAAGCTAGACATGATTAAGCTTAGTGAGGAGGGCATGTTGAAAGCTGAGACAGGCTGCAGCCAGGCCTCTTGCAACAAACAGCCAAGTTGTGAATGCAAAGGAAAAGTTCTTGAAGGAAATTAAAAGTGCTACTCCAGGGAACACACAAATTATAAGTGAAACAGCTTATTGCTGATAGGGATAAAGTTTAGTGGCTTGGATAGAAAATCAATCCAGCCACATTTCCTTAAGACACACCATAACCCAGAGCAAGGCCCTAACTCTCTTCAACTCCATGAAGGCTGAGAGAGGTGAGGAAGCTGCAGAAGAAAAGTGTGAAGCCAGCAGAGGTTGGCTCATGAGGTTTAAGGGAAGAAGCCATCTCCATAATGTACAAATACAAGGTGAAGCAGCAAGTGCTGCTGGAGAAGCCGGAGCAAGTTCTCCAGAAGATCTAGCTCAGATTATTGATGAAGGTGGCCGCACTAAACAATAGATTTTCTTTTTGTTGTTGTTTTTTTGTTTTTGTTGTTTTGAGACACAGTCTCACTCTGTCACCCAGGCTGGAGTGCAGTGGTGTGATCTCGACAACCTGTGCCTCCTGGGTTCTAGCAATTCTCCTGCCTCAGCCTCTTGAGTAGCTGGGATTACAGGTGCCTGCCACCATGGCTGGCTAATGTTTGTATTTTTAATAGAGACGGGGATTCACCATGTCAGCCAGGCTGGTCTCAAACTCCTGAACCCAGGTGATCAGCCTGCCTGGGCTTCCCAAAGTGCTGGGATTACAGGCATGAGCCACCTGGCCCAGATTTTCAAAGTAGATGAAACATTAGAAGGACATGCCATCTAGGAATGTGAACTAGAAAGAAGTCAATGCCCGGCTTCAAAGCTTCGAGAGACAGGCTGACTCTCTTGTTAGGGGCTAATGCAGCTGATGACTTCAAGTAAAAGCCAAAGCTCATTTATATCCAGATAATTCTAGGGCCCTTACAAATTATGCTAAGGAAGGCACAGTGGCTCATGCCTGTAATCCCAGCACTTTGGGAGGCCAATGAAGGTGGATCATTTGAGTCCAAGACTTTGTGACCAGCCTAGGCAACATGGGGAAACCCAGTCTCTACAAAAGATTTAAAAATTAGCCAGGTTGGCTGGGCACAGTGGCTCACGCCTGTAATCCCAGCAATTTGGGAGGCCAAGGAAGGTGGATCACGAGGACAGGAGTTCGAGACCAACCTGACCAACATGGTGAAACCCCGTCTCTACTAAAAATACAAAAATCAGCCAGGCGTGGTGGAGCGTGCCTGTAATCCCAGCTACTTGGGAGGCAGAGGCAGAAGAATCACTTGAACCCAGGAGGCAGAGGTTGTGGTGAGCTGAGATTGCGCCATCACACTCCAGCCTGGGCAACAAGGGCGAAACTCTGTCTCAAAAAACAAACACACAAACAAAAAACAATAATATGGCACCTGCAAATTTCCTGTGAATTGGTAAGAAGCCACCATTACTCTTTGTGCTCCGGGATACCTAAGTCAGAGATCCCTTTGGGGATGAGGCCCAAGTCCATACCCCGCCACCATGCCAGGCAGTGTGTGACTAGCAAGAGGGTAAGGCTCCAATAAGCCGCCCCCGGGGGAAGTCAGAGAAAGAAATGGGGCATGGGAGTCAGGATCCTCACTTCCTAGGCCACTCTCAGAGGGGAGTGTCAAGGACGCTAGGCCCAGAGCCAGCCTCCCACACCTAGAAAGTGTATTCAGGGGCCAGGCGCTATGGCTCACGCCTGCAATCCCAGGACTTTGGGAGGCCAAGGCGGGTGGATCACGAGGTCAGGAGATCGAGACCATCCTGGCCAACATGGTAAAACCCCGTCTCTACTAAAAATACAAAAAATTAGCCAGGCATGGTGGCATGCACCTGTAATCCCAGCTACTCAGGAGGCTGAGACAGAATTGCTTGAACCCAGAAAGCAGAGGTTGCAGTGAGCCGAGATCACACCACTGCCCTGCAGCCTGGGCAACAGAGCAAGACTCCATCTCAAAAAAAAAAAAAAAAAAAAGCGTTCAGGGGAATACAAAGGGCTGGGCCAGACTTTATGTAATCAGACCAGGACATCCTTGGAGGGAATCAGAGAACAGTAATTACCAAAGCAAGACCAGCAGGGTCCACCCTCTTGAGAGTCTGAGGCCCCAGGGACGCTCTGCAGCCTGAAGCCCAATTCTCCTGCCCCAAGAGAGCCTGCAGCCATGGAGAAACCCAGAACATCAGCACTCCTGCCTCTCAGAGGAAGGAAACTGAGGCCCAGAAAGGTGAGGAGATGCCTTCTGGAAAGTCCACCTGCCCCACAGGACCCCTTTCTTGGAAAACCTCCTACCCAAGCCACAAGCTAGGCCCCAAGCCCCAGACTTCTCTGACTGAATGAAAACTGAACACTGGCCGGGCACAGTGGCTCGCACCTGTAACCTTAGCACTTTGGGAGGTCGAGGCAGGAGGATCACTTGAGGCCAGGAGTTCGAGCACCCTGGCCAACATGGCAAAATCCCATCTCTACTAAAAATACAAAAATTAGTCAGGTATGGTGGCACACGCCTGTAACTCCAGCTATTTGGGAGGCTGAGACAGGAGAATCACTTAAACCAGTAAGGTGGAGGTTGCAGTGAGCTGAGATCGCGCCATTGCACTCCAGCCTGGGCAACAGAGCCAGACTCCATCTCAAACAAGCCCACTCCAGCAGGGGGTGCCATATGCTAGAGAATCTCCTGGGCCGGGCCCGACCAAGCCAGGCCCCGCCAAGCCAAGCCAAGCGGGCAGGGCCAGGCATGGTGGCTCAGGCCTGTAATCCTAGGCCTTTGGGAGGCCGAGGCAGGCAGATCACTTGAGGCCAGGAGTTCAAGACCAGCCTGGCCAACATGGTGAAGCCCTATCTCTACTAAAAATACAAAAAAAAAAAAAAAAAAATTAGCCAAGCGTGTTGGCGGGCAACTGTAATCACTGCTACTAGGGTGGCTGAGGTGGGAGGATTGCTTGAACCTGGGAGGTATAGGTTGCAGTAAGCCAAGATCGTGCCACTGCACTACAGCCTGGGCGACGGAGGGAGACTCCGTTTCAAAAAAAAAAAAAAGAGAGAGAGAATCTGCTGGGCCAGAAGCTACAGCCAGTCCAGAAGAGGCACTCACTTAGAGGCCCAGAGCTAGGCAGCTAGGTCAATTCTGAGGAGGGATGCAGCAGAGGCCTGCCAGGGAGTGAAAGCACACAAGAAACCATTCAATTCAGCATTTCCTAGGCACCTCTGGGACATGGAAAACTACAGGAGACTCACCCCTGCCCTCAAGGAGCTAAATCACGGGAGACAGACCTGAATGTCAAAAATGCATCCCACTGGGAAAAAGTTCAATAGATCGCGGTGATGACTGTGCACTGGAATTATACTTGATGCCTCTGAATTGCACACTTTTTAAAATGGTTAAAACGGGCCAGAGATGGTGGTTCACAGCTTTCATTTCAGCACTTTGGGAGGCTGAGTGGGAGGCTCACGTGAGGCCAGTTGTTCAATACCAGCTGGGCAACAAAGCAAGACCTCTGACTCTACAGAATTTTCCAAATTAGCCAGGCGCGATGGTGTGCACCTGTAGTTCTTTCTACTCGGGAGACTGAAGTGGGAGGATCGCTTAAGCTCAAGAGTTTGAGGCTGCGTGAGCTACGATCACATCACTGCATTCCAGGCTGGGAGACAGAACCAGACCACCAGCACTTTGGGAGGCCAAGGTGGGAGGATCATTTGAGGTCAGGAGTTCGAGACCAGCCTGGCCAACATGGTGAAACCCTGCCTCTACTAAAAATACAAAAAAGAGCCAGGCCTAGTGGGACGCGCCTGTAATTCCAGCTACTGGGGAGGCTAAGGTGGGAGAACTGCTGGAACTCAGGGGGCAGAGATTGCAGTGAGCCAAGACTGCACCACTGCACTCCAGCCTGGGCAAGACAGTGAGACTCCATCTCAAAAAAAAAAAAAAAAAAAAACTGGGCCAGGTGCAGTGGCTCACACCTGTAATCCCAGCACTTTGGGAGGCTGAGGTGGGCGGATCATGAGGTCAGGAGTTCAAGACCAGCCTAACCAACATGGTGAAACCCCATCTCTACTAAAAATACAAAAATTAGCTGGGCATGGTGGTGCGTGCCTGTAGTCTCAGCTACTAAGGAGGCTGAGGCAGGAGAATCGCTTGAACCCGGGAGACAGAGGTTGCAGTGAGCTGAGATCGCGCCATTGCACTCCAGCCTGGGTGGCAGAGCGAGACTCTAAAATATAAATAAATAAATGAAAAATTTTTTAAAAAACTACTGGAAAGCAGCTGGATTAAACTAGTGGTTCTAGTGGTTCTCAAACTTTGCTAAGCATTAGAATCATTTAGGGAGATATTATGAAACCAGATCCCCAGGTCATACCACATCCAAAGTAAGCCACAGTAACTGCAAGTAGAACCCAGGAGTCCACATTTTTCAACACTTTCCAGGGCATTCCAGTGTTGACTACCTTTGAGAAGAGGAATGAGGAGGCCCCCCTCAGCTGAGACAGCAGGGCCAGTCACTGACACTCAGAAACTCCACGTGAACAGCACTGGCTTTCACTTGGCTTTCTGGTCAACAGTCCCATTCAACCCCATAAGAAGTATCCTAACAATCGCACTTCACAGAAGAGAGACTGCGTTACTAGTCCAGGGCCAAGCCACTGATAAAAAGGATCTGCACCCTCAAACTCAGATCGAAAATTAAGGTCCAGGACACTGTCCCTCTAAACAGATAGGGACGTGGCAAGAAAAGTCAAGTCAGGCCAAAGACCATATATATATATATATATATATGCCACCACGCCCGGCTAATTTTGTATTTTTAGTAGAGACAGGGTTTCTCCATGTCGGTCAGGCTGGTCTTCAACTCCCAGTCGACCTCAGTTGATCTGCAAGGCTCAGCCTCCCAAAGTGCTGGAATTACAGGCATGAACCACCACACCCAGCCCCATTTTTGTATTTTTAGAGATGGGGTTTCACCATGTTGGCCAGGCTGGTCTTGAACTCCTGACCTCAGGTGATCCACCCACCTCAGCCTCCCAAAGTGCTGGAATTACAGGCGTGAGCCACCACGCCGGCCCATAGATTACTTGTATAAAGAACAAAAAGTTAACTCAAAAAGCACCAGGCAGCAGTGGCGCAGTAGTCACCATGACGGCTAAGGGGCTGGGTGCGGTTCTGCCAGGCTAGGAGCACAACCGGCACCCAGAATCTGTCGCCGCTGCTTGAACACAGCCTGCACCATGGCCACCTCTGCCCCCTCCTCGGAGCATGTCGGGAAGCGGCATGAGATCTTTCACTGTCTCTATGAAGGCCTACAAGGAGTGCCCAAGCACCTGCTGGGTGCAGTGGGGACCAAAGAGAAGTTGATCAGAGATTTTGATGAAAAGCAACAGGAAGGAAACAAAAAGCTGGCAGAGATGGAGGAGGAACTACATTATGCACCTCTATCTTTCCGTAACCCCATGATGTCTAAGCTTCAAAACTACCAGAAGGGCCGGGGGTAGTAGCTCATACCTGTAATCCTAGCACTTTAGGAGGTCGAGGTGGGCAGATCACTTGAGGTCAGGAGTTCAAGACCAGCCTGACCAACATGGTGAAACCCCATCTCTACTAATAATACAAACATTAACCGGCCGTGGTGGCGCACGGCTGTAATCCCAGCTTCTCGGGAGGCTGACGCAGGAGAATCGCTTAAACCCGGGAGGCAGAGGTCGCAGTGAGCCAAGATCGTACCACTGCACTCAAGCCTCAGCAACAGATCGAGACTGTCTCAAAAAACACTACTGGAAGGACCTTGCCAAACTATCAGGAGATGAGAAGCACACCTTGGAGAGCCACAACTGGAGGCCGAGGAGACATGAAATATGGCACACAGCCAGGCACGGTGGCTCACACCTGTAATCCCAGAACTTTGGGAGGCCGAGGCGGGCAGATCACCCAAGGTCAGGAGTTTTGAGACCAGCCTGGCCAACACAGTGAAACCCCATTTCTACTAAAAATATAAACAATTAGCTGAGTATGGTGGCAGGCGCCTGTAATCCCAGCTACTCAGGAGGCTGAGGCAGGAGAATTGCTTGAACCCAGGAGGCAGAGGTTGCAGTGAGCTGAGATAGCACCACTGCACTCCAGCCTGGGTGACTGAGTAAAACTTCATCTCAGAAAAAAAAAAAAAAAAAAGAAAGAAATATAGCACATGTGCTGCAGAGAATGAGCACATGGACTGGCTACAATCTCAAAGGGCAATGCTTCTACAAGGCACTGGAAGCCTGATCCAGGTGACCCGAAGTACTGAACATTCTCATCAGACTGGCACAGAAACTGACCAGATTGGCTCAGAAATCACAGAAGAACCAGAGGAACAAGACAGACCAATTAGAAAGCACCAAGAATCGGGCCAGGTGCGGTGGCTCACGCCTGTAATCGCAGCACTTTGGGAGGCCAAGGTGGGCAGATCACCTGAGGTCAGGAGTTTGAGACCAGCCTGGCCAACATGGTGAAACTTCGTCTCTACTAAAAATACAAAAATTAGCTGGGCATGGTGGCAGGCACTTGTAATCCCAGCTACTCAGAAGGCTGAGGCAGGAGAATCGCTTGAACCCAGGAGGCAGAGGTTGCACTGAGCTGAGATCATGCCATTAAACTCCAGCCTGGGGAACAAGAGCGAAACTTCATCTCAAAAAAAAAAAAAAAAAAAGAAAGAAAGAAAGTACCAAGAGTTGGCCAGGTGCTGTGGTACACACCTGTACTCCTAGGTACTCAGGAGGCTGACGGAGGAAAATCGCTTGAACCCGGGAGGTGTAGGTTGCAGTGACCCAAGATTGTGCCATTGCACTCTAGCCTGGGCAACAAGAATGAAATTCCGTCTCAAAAAAAAAAAAGAGGCCGGGCACAGTGGCTCACTCCTGTAATCCCAGCACTTTGGGAGGCCCAGGCAAGTGGATCACCTGAGGTCGGGAGTTCGAAACCAGCCTGACCAACATGGAGAAACTCCCTCACTACTAAAAATACTAAATTAGCCAGGCATGGTGGCACATGCCTGTAATTCCAGCTACTCAGGAGCTGAGGCAGGAGAATCACTTGAACCCGGGAGGCGGAGGTTGCAGTGAGCCAAGATCATGCCACTGCACTCCAGCTTGGGCAACAAAAGCGAAACTCCGTCTCAAAAAAAAAAAAGTAAGTACCAAGAGTGCCAGGCACGGTGGCTCACACCTGTAATCCCCAAGCAGTTTGGGAGGCTGAGGCGGGTGGATCACCTAAGGTCAGGAGTTCAAGACCAGCCTGGCCAGCATGGTGAAACCCTGTCTCTACTAAAAACACAAAAATTAGCCCAATGTGGTGGCGTGCACCTGTTATCCCAGCTACTCAGGAAGCTGAGGCAGGAGGATCACCTGAAACCAGGAGGCGGAGGTTGCAGTGAGCTGAGATCACACCACTGCACTTCAGCCTGGGCAACAAAGCGAGACTCCGTCTCACACACAAAAAAGAAAGTACCAAGAGTAGCCCAGGTGAGGTGGCTCAGGCTTGTAATATCTATACCTTGGGAGGCCGAGGCAGGCAGATGACTTGAGGCCAGGAGTTTGAGACCAGCCTGGCCAACATGGTGAAAGGTCGGGAGTTCAAAACCAACCTGGCCAATATGGCGAAACCCCGTCACTACTAAAAATAAAAAAAACTGGGCCGGACACGGTGGCTCACACCTGTAATCCCAGCACTTTGGGTGGCCGAGGCAGGCGGATCACGAGGTCAGGAGATAAAGACTATCCTGGCTAACACAGAGAAACCCCACCTCTACTAAAAAAAAAAAAAAAATTAGCCAGGCGTGCTGGCATGCACCTGTAGTCCCAGCTACTCGGGAAGCTGAGGCAGGAGAATCGCTTGAAGCCGGGAGGCGGAAGTTGCAGTGAGCTGAGATCACGCCATTGCACTCCAGCCTAGGCCACAGAGCGAGACTCTGTCTCCAAAAAAAAACCCAGGCCGGGCGCAGTGGCTCACGCCTGTAATCCCAGCAATTTGGGAGGCCAAGGCAGGCGGATCACGAGGTCAGGAGATGGAGACCATCCTGGCCAACACAGTGAAACCCCATCTCTACTAAAAATACAAAAAATTGACCAGGCGTGGTGGCGGGTGCCTGTAGTCCCAGCTACTGGGGAGGCTGAGGCAGGAGAATGGCGTGAACCCAGGAGACAGAGCTTGCAGCGAGCCGAGATTGCGCCACTGCACTCCAGCCTGGGTGGCAAAGCCAGACTCCATCTCAAAAGAAAACAAAAAACAAAAACAAAATGTTCAGCAAGAGCTATTTTGAGTATTGCTTAAAAGCCAGTGCATCTGAATCATCAATTGACCTGCGATAAGGATGGACAGTTAACTAAACCACCTAGTGCCCTGGCTTTCCCTGAGAACCGTTCCCATACAGCACAGCAAAGCGGGAAGTGCGTGCAAGCCACATCAGATCCTGGCTTCAGCTGGGCAGACTTCTAGGCCTGAGGTAAGAAATCTGTCCTCAAGAGTAAGATTTCATGGAAACCTCACTGGCCTTGGGGAGGATTTGGGCTCTCTGCAGGTTCATGCAGCAAGCTAAGCCTCAGTATTCTCTTCTGGGACGTGTGCAGCACCCAATGCTGCTCATTTTCAGAGGAAAAACATAAGTCCTTACAATACTCTGACAGCCCCCACCTGACCTGCCTTTCCTTTCCTTACCCTCTCTGACCTCACCTGGGACCACTCTTCCCCACCCCTCACTCCTCTCCAGCCCCACCTGCCTCCTCAAACAGACAGATTTGCCCTAGGGCCTTTGCACTGACCTTTTTTTCCCCCTGTAAAGTTAGGGTCTCATTCTGTTACCCAAACTGGAACACAGTGGTGCAATCATAGCTCACTGCAGCCTCCAACTCCTGGGCTCAAGGGATCCTCCTGCCTCAGCTGCTCAAGTAGCTGGAAATACAGGCACAATGCCAGGGCACCCTACTTTGCACTTGACTTTTCATCTCCTTAGATGACTCTACCCCAGGTATCCACTTAGCCCACGCTCACTCCTCCAAATCTTTGCTAAAATGTCACCCTCACTGTAGCCCACCTGGCAAACCACCCTCTCAATCCCCAACCCAGTCCTTCCAATCTCTCAGCTTTCTCTTTTGTCCACGGCACTATTCACCTTCTAACACACTGCATAATTTACTTATTAAATATACTGTTAATGTTACAGCCGTTGCCACTGCCCCATGTAAGCTCGAGGAGGGAGAGATGTCCGTCTTCTTCTCTGATGAGTCCCCAACCCTTGAACCGCTCCTAGCACACAGCAGGTGCTCAAGCTGAAAGTCCGCACAGACCCCTTGGGAGAGGCCTTGAGCACGCAGCATCTCATCTCATCAGAGCATCTCCTTTCGTGTGCGTTTGATTAAACACCTGGAAAACTGGCTTATCTAGAATTTACAATGCAGTTTGGTCATTTAAAAGTTAGCCTGGGCCGGCGCGGTGGCTCACACCTGTAATCCCAGCACTTTGGGAGGCCGAGGCGGGTGGATCACAATGTCAGGAGATCGAGACCATCCTGGCTAACACGGTGAAACCCCGTCTCTACTAAAAAAAAAAAAAAAAAAAAAAAAAATTAGCCGGGCGTGGTGGCGGGCGCCTGTAGTCCCAGCTACTAGGGAGGCTGAGGCAGGAGAATGGCATAAACCCGGGAGGCGGAGCTTGCAGTGAGCAGAGATCGCGCCATTGCACTCCAGCCCGGGCGACAGAGCGAGACTCCGTCTCCAAAAAAAAAAAAAAGAGAAAGAAACCAAGTAGCGCCGAAACCAAGTAGCTGGCACTACTACACTCCAGCCTGGGCGACAGAGTGAGACTCTGTCTCAAAAAAAAGAAAAAAAAGAAGGCCGGGCGCGGTGGCTCACGCCTGTAATCCCAGCACTTTGGAAGGCCGAGGAGGGCGGATCACGAGGACAGGAGATGGAAACCATTCTGGCTAACACTGTGAAACCCCGTCTCTACTAAAAAATACAAAAAAATTAGCCAGGCGTGCTGGCGGCCGCCTGTAGTCCCAGCTACTGGGGAGGCTGGGGCAGGAGAATGGCGTGAACCTGGGAGGCGGAGTTTGCAGTGAGCCGAGTTCGCGCCACTGCACTCCAGCCTGGGCGACAGAGCGAGACTGTCTCAAAAAAAAAAAAAAAAAGCCTGAACGCGGTGGCTCACACCTGTAATCCCAGCACTTTGGGAGGCCGAGGAAGGAGGACAGCTTAAGCCCAGGAGTTGGAGACCAGCCAGGGCAACACATGGAGACCCCATCTCTACAAGATAATAAATAAATAAACAGCCAGCGTGGTGGCCCGCGCCTGAGGTCCCAGATACTCTGGATGCGCAGGTGGGAGGATCGCTCAGCACCGGGGGCTGAGGCTGCAGTGAGCCGAGATCGCACCACTGCACTCCAGCCTGGGCGACAGAGCGAGACCCTGTTCAAAAAAAAAAACACAAAACAAAACCAAAAAAAGTTGTTTGAAATGCTTAAAAACTACAGTTCACACAAAATCCTTCAAAACGTGGGATCCTTGGAGGTGTTTTGTTTTTCCACTTTTTGTTGTTAAAAAATGGGCCGAAAGTATCCTCTGGGTCAGTTTCTGTGGAATAAACTGTAAAGGCAAACGGTGGGACGCCCGAACCCGCCCGGCAGCCACGGTGGGACGCCCGAACCCGCCCGGCAGCCACGGTGGGACGCCCGAACCCGCCCGGCAGCCGCGCTGCGACCCCGCCTTCCCGCCCGCGTCGCTCCGCGCGGGGCCCGCGCCCTCACCGTCTCCCAGCGGATGCCCTGGACGGCCCTCCACTGCGAGGGCACGGACGCCACACCCAGGGTCTCGTCCTGCAGCGGCCCTGGCCGCCCCGGCCCCGGGCCGCTCGCAACCCCGACTGTCGCCAGCGCCGCAACACCAGCGCTTCCCGCCTGGCTGAGTGGCCCCGGCTGCGCGCGGGTTGCCATGGAGACGGTTCCGCCCTCTCGTGCGGACGCACTCAGGCGCGACCTCCGCCCCTACGCCGCCATGAGCGGAAAACGGGGAATGTGAGGCTGACGGCGCCATGTTTGAATTGGTCGCAGCGCCTCCTGCAAGACCTGGAAGAAAGAAAAGTAACGATTCTTCTCGGCCAGAG
Source organism: Homo sapiens (assembly GCF_000001405.40). Lineage (NCBI taxonomy): Eukaryota > Metazoa > Chordata > Mammalia > Primates > Hominidae > Homo > Homo sapiens. The sequence continues at coordinate 128,656,897 of NC_000009.12, forward strand.
AGAGAAGCATGACCGGTTTTGCATACCCTGTCCCCAGAAAAAGCACTCTAAGAGTAGGCGCGCTACTCCTGGGCGAGGAAACTGCGGAAGTGAGGCATTGGTGCCAGGTTCAAAGATGGCGCTGAGCAGCCAAGCGCAGAAGCGAAGAGAGGGCGGCAGCCTGCGGCCGTGGCCGGCCCGCGAGGTCTGGGCCTGGGAGCGCAGATCTGGCTGAGCAGCTGATTCTTCCAGCAGATCCGAGAACCGCGCCACTCGAACAGGCTGTCACCTCGAAGCCAAGTGATCTCCCTTTAATCCTCAGTCTCTGTCTCAATAGAATGATGATGAAAAATATTCCTACGGAGATCCTAAATGTGGTTAAAAAGCTGGGAGGCCCAAATGAGGTCTTCTACAGAAACATGCTTATTAAATCGAAATTAAAAGCAAATAACTAAATAATGTGCCTACTGTGTGTCAGGCAAAGAGCCCAGAACGTCTCTTTCTTATTAAGTTCTCACCCTGAGGAAAGAATTGCTTTTTATACTATATTATGTCGTTCTGCCATTCCGCGCGCCCCACCGGAATTAAAAAAACTGGAGATTCTGACCTGAGGACTAAAAAATAAAAATAAAGAATAAACAAATAGGCCAGGTGCGGTGGCTCACACCTGTAATCCCGGTACTTTGAGAGGCCAAGGCAGGAGGATCGCTTGAAGCCAGGAGTTCGAAACCAGCCTGAGCAACATAGTGAGAGCCCGTCTCTACAAAAAAAATGTTTTAAAACTTAGCTGGGCATGGTGGCACGTGCCTGTAGTCCCACCTACTCGGCAGGCTGAGTGTAAAGATCCCTTGAGTCCAGTAGTTTGAGGCTGCAGTGAGCTATGATTACACCACTACACTACAGCCTGAGTGATAGAGCAAGACCCTATCTCTAAAAAAATAATAATAGGCCAGACGAGATGGCCAGCACTTTGGAAGGCCAAGGCAAGAGGATCACTTGAGCCCAGGAGTTTGAGACCTGCCTGGGCAACACAGCAAGACTCCCTCTCTACAAAAAAAAATTTTTTAATTGGCCAGGCATAGTGGCACACACCTGTAGTCCCAGCTGCTCCGGAGGCCAAGGTGAGAGGATCCCTGGAGTCAGGGAAATTGAGGCTGCAGAGAGCCCTGATTGAACCACGCTGTGCTTTAGCCTGGACAAGAGAGTGAGACCCTGTCTCAAAATAATAATAATAATAACAACAAAATAATAAAAAAATTCTAAAAAATGATCTGGGAAGGATAGATGCTACTTTTTTTTTTTTTTTTTAAGACAGAGTCTCACTCTGTCGCCCAAGGTGGAGTGCAGTGGCGTGATCTCGGCTCACAGCAACCTCCACCTCCCCAGTTCAAGCGATTCTCATGCCTCAGCCTCCCAAGCAGCTGGGATTACAGGCACATGCCACCACACTGGGCTAATTTTTGTATTTTTAGTAGAGAAGGGTTTCACCATGTTGGCCAAGCTGGTCTGGAACTCCTGATCTCAAATGATCTGCCCGCCTCAGCCTGCCAAAGTGCTGGGATTACAGGCGTGGGCCACTGCGCCCAGCCTGTTTGTTTTTTTTTGAGACAGAGTCTCGCTTTGTCGTCCAGGCTGGCGTGCAGTGGCACTATCTTGGCTCACAACAACCTCCACCTCCCAGGCTCAAGTGATTCTCCTGCCTCAGCCTCTCGAGTAGCTGGGATTACAGGCAACCGCCACCACGCCTGGCCAATTTTTTGTATTTTTAGTAGAGATGGGGTTTCACCGTGTTGGCCATGCTGCTTTGAAACTCCTGACCTCAGGTGAGCCACCTCACCTGACCTAATTTTTTTTTTTTTTTTTTTTTTTGAGACAGGGTCTGGCTGTGTCACCAGGCTGGAGTAGTGGTATGATCATGGCTCACTGCAGCCTCAACCTCTCCGGGCTCAGGCCATCCAACCACCTCAGCCTCCTAAGCAGCTGGGACTACAGGCATGCACTACCATCCCCAGCTAATTTTTGTGTTTTTGTAGAGATGGGGGCAGGGGTCTCCCCGTGTTGCCCAGGCTGGTCTCGAACTCCTGGGTTCAAGTGAACTGCTCACTTCTACCTCCCAAAGTGCTGGGAATACAGGCTAAGCCACTCCCCAGGCCAAAGCAGATGGTATTTGAAAACACAATTCAATCCCTTCAGGGCCCAAGATTCCGTCCCTGTACCCACCCTCTCTCCACCCCATGGCCTCTGCCTCCACCTGCTTCAAGCACACCCCTCAGGCCTCAGTTTACCACCACCTAGAAAGGCCCTTCCTCAAATGTAGACTGAAGAAAAAGGGACTTTTTAAAAACTCATTAAGGGGCCGGGCGCGGTGGCTCACAACTGGGAGGCCGAGGCGGGCGGATCACGAGGTCAGGAGATCGAGACCATCCTGGCTAACATGATGAAACCCCATCTCTACTAAAAAATACAAAAATTAGCCGGGCGTGGTGGCGGGCGCCTGTAGTCCCAACTACTCGGGAGGCTGAGCCAGGAGAATGGCATGAACCTGGGAGGTGGAGCTTGCGGTGAGCAGAGATCGCACCACTGCACTCCAGCCTGGGCGACAGAGGGAGACTCCGTCTCAAAAAAAAAAAAAAAAACACACACACAAACTCACTAAGGTCTGGTGTGGTGGCTCATGCCTAAGAGTTCGAGATCAGCCTGGGAAACATAGGGACACCTCGTCTCTAAGACAAAACCTATTTAAAAAATTAGGGCTGGGCGCAGTAGCTCACACCTGTAATCCCAGCACTTTTGGAGGCCGAGGCGGGTGGATCACCTGAGGTCAGGAGTTCGAGACCAGCCTGACCAACATGGTGAAACCCTGTCCTTACTAAAAATACAAAATTAGCGAGGCGTGGTGGCACATGCCTATAATTCCAGCTACTCCGGAGGCTGAGGCAGGAGAATCACTTGAACCTGGGAGGTGGAAGTGGCAGTGAGGCAAGATGGCGCCATTGCACTCCAGCCTGGGCAACAAGAGCAAGACTCTGTCTCAAAAAAAAAAAGTTAGCCAGGTGTAGTGGCATGCATCTATGGCCCAGTTACTCTGGAGGCTTAGTTGGGAGGATCGCTTGGGCCTGTGAGGTCAAGTGCAGTGAGCCATGATTGCGCCACTGTCTTCCAGCATGGGTGCCAGAGTGAGACCCTGTCAAAAAAAAAAAAAAAACCCTCAAAACTCATTATTATTATTATTTTTATTTTATTTTATTTTTGAGACGGAGTCTCGCTCTGTCGCCCAGGCTGGAGTGCAGTGGCACGATCTCGGCTCACTGCAACCTCCGCCTCCCGGGTTCACGCCGTTCTCCTGCCTCGGCCTCCCAAGTAGCTGGGACTACAGGCGCCCGCCACCACCCCCAGCTAAGTTTTTTTGTATTTTTAGTGGAGACAAGGTTTCACCGTGTTAGCCAGAATGGTCCCGATCTCCTGACCTTGTGATCTGCCCACCTCGGCCTCCCAAAGTGCTGGGATTACAGGCATGAGCCACTGTGCCCTGCCTATTATTTCTTTTTTTTTTTAAACAGTCTTGTTCTGTTGCCCAGAGTGGACTGCAGTGGTGTGATCTTGGCTCACTGCAACTGCTGCCTCCCGGGTTCAAGCGATTCTCCTGCCTCAGCCTTCAGAGTAGCGCATGCCACCACGCTCAACTAATTTTTTGTATGTTCAGTAGAGACAGGCTTTCACCATGTTAGCCAGGATGGTCTCGAGTTCCTGACCTCATGATCCGCCCACCTCAGCCTCCCAAAGTACTGGGATTATAGGCATGGGCCACCATGCCTGGCCTGACAAAGCTGTCTAATTTTATTTTTATTTTTTATTTATTTATTTATGTTTTTGAGATGGTGTCACGCTCTGTCATCCAGGCTCAAGTGTAGTGGCACAATCTCGGCTCATTGCAACCTTCACCTCTTGAGTTCAAGTGATTCTCTTGCCTCAGCCTCCCAAGTAGCTGGGACTACAGGCATGCACCACCACACCCGGCTAATTTTTGTATTTTTAGTAGAGACGGGGTTTCACCATATTGGCCAGGCTGGTCTCGAACTCCTGACCTCAGGATCTGCGCACCTCAGCCTCCCAAAGTGCTGGAATTACAGGCAAAAGCCACTGCGCCAGGTCAAAGCTGTTTTAATAATGAGGTTGTTGTGTTGAGCCGGCCGCAATGTTTCACGCCTGTAATCCCAGCAATTTGGGAGGCCAAGGCAGGTGGATCACCTGAGGTCAGGAGTTCCAGACCAGCCTGATGAACATGGTGAAACCCTGTCTCTACTAAAAATACAAAAATTAGCCAGATGTGGTGGTGCATGCCTGTAATCCCAGCTACTCCGGAGACCGAGGCAGGAGAATTGCTACCCCACTGCACTCCAGTCTGGGTAACAGAGTGAGACTCCATCTCAAAAAAAAAAAAAAAAAAACAAAAAGAAAAACCAGCCTGGCATGGTGGCTCACGCCTGTAATCCAGCAATTTGGGAGGCCGAGGTGGGCAGATCACCTGAGGTCAGGAGTTCAAGACCAGCCTGGCCAACATGGTGAAACCTTGTCTCTACAAAAATACAAAAATTATACGGGTGACATAGCGGGTGCCTGTTATCTCAGCTACTCGTGAGTCTGAGGCAGGAGAATCGCTTGAACCCAGGAAGTGGAGGTTGGAGTGAGCCGAGATTGAGCCGTTGCACTCCAGCCTGGGCAATAAGAGTGAAACTCTGTCTCAGAAAAAGACAAACCAAAAAATTAGCCGGGCGTGGTGTCAGGCACCTGTATTCCCAGCTACTTTGGAGGCTCCCATGCATCAGGTCCTAATAACAATCACACTTACTTGATCCTCAGGGGATGAATGTCTGAAAAAAAGCCGGCCGGGCTTGGTGGCTCATGCCTGTAATCCCAGCATTTTGGGAGGCCGAGGTAGGCGGATCACCTGAGGTCAGGAGTTGGAGACCAGCCTAGCCAACATGGTGAAACCCCGTCTCTACTAAAAATACAAAAATTAGCTGGGCGTGGTGGCAGGCGCCTGTAATCCCAGCTACTAGGGAGGCAGAGGCAGAAGAATCACTTGGACCTGGGAGGTGGAGGTTGCTGTGAGCCGAGATTGCACCCCTGCAATCCAGCCTGGCGACAGAGCGAGACTCCATCTCAAAAAAAAAAAAGAAACCCCATCTCTACTAAACATACAAAAAATTAGCTGGGCATGGTTGCATGTGCCTGTAGTCCCAGCTACTTTGGAGGCTGAGGCAGGAGAATCACTTGAACCTGGGAGGCGGAGGTTGCAGTGAGCCGAGATTGCGCCATTGCACTCCAGCCTGGGCAACAGCGCGAGACTCCGTCTTGGGGAAAAAAAAAAAGAGCCTGAAACCTGAAGGGGGCTCAATCAATGGTGGCCATAATGAAAGCGCCATCTGCCCATGCTCTTTGTGTTGAGAGGCTGGTGTGCCCTACAGATGGATACTGGACATAAAGCAGCAGGATATTCATAATTCCAAAACACAAGTGTTACAGTCTTGGGTGTTTTGTTTTGTTTTATTTGAGATGGAGTTTTGCTCTTGTTGCCCAGGCTGGAGTGCAATGGCGCGATCTCGGCTCACTGCAACCTACTTCCTGGGTTCAAGCAATTCTCCCTGCCTCAGCCTCCCGAGTAGCTGGGATTACAGGCACCCGCCACCATTCATGGCTAATTTATTTATTTATTTTTTTGCAGGCAGAGTCTCACTCTATCCCCCAGGCTGGAGTGTAGTGGCACGATCTTGGCTCACTGCAACCTTCACCTCCTAGGTTCAAGTGATCCTCCTGCTTCAGCCTACAGAGTAGCTGGGATTACAGACAACTGCCACCATGCTGGGCTAATTTTTGTAGGTTTCACCATGTTAGCCAGGCTGGTCTCGAGCTCCTGACCTCGGGTGATCCACCTGCCTTGGCCTCCCAAAGTGCTGGGACTACAGGAGTGAGCCACTGCACCCAGCCTTTTTTTTCTTTTGAGACGGAGTTTCTGCCTCACAGGTTCAAGCATTTCTCATGTCTCAGTCTCCTGAGTAGCTGGGACTACAGGCGTGGGCCACCACACCTGGCTAATTTTTGTATATTTGGTAGAGATGGGGTTTGGCCAGGCTGGTCTCAAACTCCTGACCTCAGGTGATCCGCCTGCCTCAGCCTCCCAAAGTGCTAGGATTACAGGCGTGAGCCACGGCGCCCGGCCCCAATTCATTCTTAATGATCCAGATTGAACCTCTCTGATCTCTGCCAGTGGATTATTTATTTATCTATCATGTTTTTTTTTCATTCTAGTAACTACAAATAGGAAACCAGAGGGGGAGCCCCAGGCTGGGACAAACAATGGCCACCCCCTCCTTGACATTACAGTGGAACAACGTGGCCCCTACATCCTTTATGGTCAATTCAGGCCCCACTCCTTCCTCTTCTTCTGCTGCAGTGTAGGGACCTCAAACTCCTCCTGCTTTGTTTCCTGTACCCCAAAGGGGATTGTCTGACCTAGTGCAGGGACTAGGGAAGGAGAGGAAGGAAGAAAAGTGAGTGTGAGCTCCATGGAGTGACAAAGACACAGGCTGGGCTGGGGACATTTTTGAGAATAAGCACCCCCGCAGATGGCCATACCTGCTACTGCCAGGACAGTGGAGGAGGGTGTGCTAGGATGAGATGGGGCTTGGGCTCCTTTTAATCTGCAAGTAGATGTATTTGTTCCATTTTCTGTAGCCCAATTAGGTTTTGTTCATATCTATTATAGTTTTTTTCTTTTTTTTTTTTTTTTTTTTTGAGACAGGGTATCACTCTTGTCACCCAAGCTGGAATGCAGTGGCACCATCATGGCACACTGCAGCCTCAACATCCAGTGCTCAAGTGATCTCCCAGCTCAGCCTCCCTAGTAGCTGGGACTACAGGTACACGCCATCATGCCCAGTTAATTTTTTGTATTTTTTGTAGAGAGTGGGTTTCACCCTGTGGCCAAGGCTGTCTTGACCTCCTGGGCTCAAGCGATTCGTCTGCCTCGGCCTTTCAAAAACCTGGAATTACAAGTGTGAGCTACTGCACCCAGGCTTTTTTTTTTTTTTTTTTTTTTGAGACGGAGTTTTGCTCTTCTTGCCCAGGCTGGAGTGCAATGGCGTGGTCTTGGCTCACCGCAAACTTCACCTCCCCGGTACAAGCGATTCTCCTGCCTCAGCCTCCCGAATAGCTGGGATTACAGGTGGCCGCCACCACACCTGGCTAATTTTTTTTTGTATTTTTAGTAAAAACAGGGTTTCACCATGTTAGCTAGGTTTGTCTTGAACCTCTAACCTCAGGTGATCAGCCTTCCAAAGTGCTGGGATTACAGGCGTGAGCCACCACGCCCAGCCTGTTTAGCATATCCTTCCCCGATGGTCACAATGCCTCCTCCCCACGTCCTTGATGTCTCTGTTCAAAAGCCAACTCATTAGGGAAATATTACCTTATTTTGTGTATTTTGTTCAAAGCACTGATTACAATCACTGCTGCCTCACATATATTAGACACTCTATAAGTATTGTTTAAATGAATGAATATGGTTCTGTGTAGGCAATTGTTCTAAATATGTCAATACCAGTATTTCATTTTTCTTTTTTTTTTTTAGACAGAGTCTTGCTCTGTCACCCACACTGGGGTGAAGTGTCGCGATCCTGGCTCACTTCAACCTCTGCCTTGTGGGTTCAAGCAATTCTCCAGTCTCAGCCTCCCAAGTAGCTCGCTTTACAGGTGCCTGCCACCACGCCCAACTAATTTTTGTATTATTAGTAGAGACAGGGTTTCACCATGTTGGCCAGGCTGGTCACGAACTCCTGACCTCAGGTGATCCACCCGCCTCAGCCTCCCAAAGTGCTGGGATTACAGGCGTGAGCCACCGTGCCCCACCAGTATTTCGTTTTTCAACATTATACATGCAGCACCAATTCTGTTGAAAAAAACGTTGGCCAGGTGAAGTAGCTCACACCTGTAATCCCAGCACTTTGGAAGGCCTAAGGGTGGAGGAGCACTTGAGCTCAGGAGTTCAAGACCAGCCTGGGCAACATAGCAAGATCCCATCTCTTTTTTAACAAAAATAAAAATAAAAACAAGAAAAATATAACACATAAACAGTTATTTGGGTAAAATTATAACTGTGAATTTTTTTTCTTTTTCTTTTTCTTTTTTTTTTTTTTGAGATAGAGTCTCGCTCTGTCACCCAGTCTGGAGTACATTGGCGCAATCTCGGCTAACTGAAAGCTCCACCTCCAGGGTTCAAACAATTCTCCGGCCTCAGCCTCCTGAGTAGCTGGGATTACAGGCGCCCGCCACCACGACCAGCTAATTTTTGAATTTTTAGTAGAGACAGGATTTCACCATGTTGGTCAGGCTGGTCTCAAACTCCTGACCTCGTGTTCCACCCTCCTCGGCCTCCCAAAGTGCTGGGAATACAGGCGTGAGCCACCGTGCCTGGCCAAATCTGTGAATTTCAAAGTTACTCAGCCAGAGATGGGTCATGTTAGTCTCACCGTTATATTTGCCATGACCTTAAATTAGGGCTTTCTCATAAAAAGTACTTAATCAACACGTATTGAATAAAACAAATGTGTTGGGACCAGGCGCGGTGGTTCACACCTGTAATTCCAGTACATTAAGAGGCTGAGGCAGGTGGATCACCGGAGGTCAGGAGATCAAGAACAACCTGACCAATATGGTGAAACGCTGTCCCTACTAAAAATACAAAAATTAGCTAGGCATGATGGCACACGCCCGTAATCCCACCTACTTGGGAGGCTAAGGCAGGAAAATCGCTTGAACTCGGGAGGCAGAGGTTGCAGTGAGCCGAGATTGCACCACTATACTCCGGCCTGGGCGACAGAGTGAGACTCTGTGTCAAAAAAAAAAAAAAAAAAAAAAGTCGGGCCCAGTGGCTCACGCCTGTAATTCCAACACTTTGGGAGGCTGAGGCAGGCAGCTCATGAGGTCAGGAGTTCAACACCACCCTGACCAACATGGTGAAACCCCGTCTCTACTAAAAAAAAAAAAAAAAATTAGCCGGGCATGGTGGCGGGCGCCTGTAGTCCCAGCTACTCGGGAGGCTGAGGCAGGAGAATCGCTTGAACCCAGGAGGCGGTGGTTGTAGTGAGCCTAGATGGCACCACTGCACTCCAGCCTGGGAGACAGAGCAAGACTCCGTCTCAAAAAAATAGAAAAAAAATGTGTTGGATCAATTGACAAATATTTTGGAAAAATAACTTTGGGAGCCTAAGGCGGGCAGATCACTTGAGGTCAGCAGTTCGAGACCTGCCTGGCCAACATGGAGAAAACCCATCTCTACTAAAAATACAAAAGTTAGCCGGGCGTGGGCATGGTGGTGGGCGCCTGTAATTCCATCTATTTGGGAGGCTGAGGCATGAGAATTGCTTGAACCTGGGAGGTGGAGGTTGCAGTGAACCAAGATCGTGCCACTGCTCTCCAGCCTTGGTGACAGAGTGAGACCCTGTCTCAGAAAAAAAAAAAAAAAAAAAGCCAAAATACATCCACACATCATACTACAAAATTAATTCAGGTTGGTTATAAACTGGAATGTTAAAAATGAAGACAATGCCGGGCATGGTGGCCCACGCCTGTAATCCCAGCAGTTTGGGAGGCTGAGGTGGGCGGATCACTTGAGGTCAAGAGTTCAAGACTAGCCTGACCAACATGATGAAACCCCATCTCTACTAAAAACACAATAATTAGCTGGGCGTGGTCAGTGCCTATAATCCCAGCTACTCCGGAGGCTGAGGCAGGAGAATCCCTTGAACCCAGGAGGCAGAGGTTTCAGTGACCTGAGATTGTGCCACTGCATTCCAACCTGGGTGACAGAGCAAGACTCCATCTCAAAAAAAAAAAAAAAGAAGATAAGGCCTGGCATGGTGACTCATGCCTGTTGTAATCCCAGCACTTTCAGAAGCTAAGGTGGATGGATCACTTGAGCCCAGAAGTTCAAGACCAGCCTGAGCAAAATGGCAAAACCCTGTTGCTACGAAATACAAAAATTAGGCCAGGCGCGGTGGCTCACTCCTGTAATTCCAGCACTTTGGGAAGCAGAGGGGGGTGGATCACGAGGTCAGGAATTCAAGACCAGCCTGGCCAACATGGTGAAACCCCATCTCTATGAAAAATACAAAAATTGGCCAGGTGTGGTGGTGGGCACCTGTAATCCCAGCTACTCAGGAGGTTGAGGCAGGAGAATCGCTTGAACCCGGGAGGCAGAGGTTGCAGTGAGCCGAGATCACGCCATTGCACTCCAGCCTGGGCAACAGAGCAAAACTCCATCTCAAAAAAAATAATAATAATAATTAGGAGTGGTGATATGTGCCTTTAGTGCCAGCTACTAGGCTAAGGTGAGAGGATAACCTGAGCCCTAGGAGGCTGAGGTTGCAGTAAACTGTGATTATTTATTTTTATTTTTTATTTTTTTATTGAGATGGAGTCTCACACTGTCGCCCAGGATGGTGTGCAGTGGCACAATCTCAGCTTGCTGCAACCTCCGCCTCCCTGGTTCAAGCGATTCTCCTGCCTCAGCCTCCCGAGTAGCTGGGACTACAGGCGCCCGCCACCACGCCCGGCTAATTTTTGTATTTCTAGTAGAGATGGGGTTTCATTATGTTGGCCAGGCTGGTCTCACCTTGTGATCCGCCCGCCTCGTCCTGTATTTTTTTCTTTTTTGAGACACAGCCTCGCTCTGACACCAGGCTGGAGTGCAGTGGCTCCATCTCAGCTCACTGCAACCTCCACCTCCCTGGTTCAAGTGATTCTCCTGCCTCAGCTTCACGAGTTGCTGGGATTACAGGCATTCGCCACCACGCCCAGCTAATTTTTTTTTTTTTTTGAGAGGGAGTCTCACCCTGTTGCCAGGCTGGAGTGCAGTGGCGCAATCTTGGTTCACTGCAACCTCTGCCTCCTGGGTTCAAGCGATTCTCCTGCCTCAGCCTCCCGAGTAGCTGGGACTACAGGTGCGTGCCATCATGCCCAGCCAATTTTTGTATTTGTAGTAGAGATGGGGTTTCACCATGTTGGCCAGGATGGTCTCGATCTCTTTTTTTTTTTTTTTTTTTTTGAGATGGAGTCCCGCTCTGTCACCAGGCTGGAGTGCAGTGGCACAATCCCAGCTCACTGCAACTTCTGCCTCCCAGGTTCAAGCGATTCTCCTGCCTCAGCCTCCCGAGTAGCTGGGATTACAGGCGTGAGCCACTATGCCCAGCTAATTTTTGTACTTTTAATAGAGACGGGGTTTCATCATGTTGGCCAGGATGGTCTTGATCTCCTGACCTTGTGATCCGCCCGCCTTGGCCTCCCAAAGTGCTGGGATTACAGGCGTGAGCCACCACGCCCGGCCAGTCTCGATCTCTTGACCTTGTAATCTGCCCGCCTCCGCCTCCCAGAGTGCTGGGATTACAGGCATGAGCCACTGCGTCTGGCCACAACGCCCAGCTAATTTTTGTATTTTTAGTAGAGACGGGTTTCACAATATTGGCCAGGATGGTCTCCATCTCCTGACCTTGTGATCCGCCCGCCTTGGCGTGAGCCACTGCATTGGGTCGTAAATCACGATTGTGTCATCACACTCCAGCGCCAGCTTGGGTAACAGAGTGAGACCATTCTAAAAAAAAAAAAAAAAGGCTGGGCGCAGTGGCTCACACCTGTTATCCCAGCATTTTGGGAGGCTGAGATGGGTGGATCACAAGGTCAGGAGTTTGAGACCAGCTTGGCCAACATGGGGAAATCCCATCTCTACTAAAAATACAAAAATTAGCAGGGATGGTGGCATGCACCTGTAATCCCAGCTACTGGGGAGGCTGAGGCATGAGAATCGCTTGATCCCAGGAGGTAGAAGTTGCAGTGAGCTGAGATCATGCCACTGCACCCCTGGAAAACAGAGCGAGACTCAGTCTAAAAAAAAGGAAAAAAAAAAAAAAGAAAAGGAAAGATCAAGTGCCTTGAATACATAGAAATAAAATACTTACCGGGACAGTGTATATGGAGGTCAAAATATGCTAAGGAGTGTATAACAACTAACCTGCCATATGGCCAGGTGCAGTGGCTCACACCTGTAATCCCAGCACTTTGAGAGACCGAGGCCGGTGGATCACCTGAGGTCAGGAGTTTGAGACCAGCCTGACCAACATGGCAAAACCCCGTCTCTACTAAAAATATATAATTGGGCCGGGTGTGGTGGCTCACACCTGTAATCCCAGCACTTTGGGAGGCCGAGGCGGGCGGATCACGAGGTCAGGAGATCAAGACCATCCTGGCTAACACGGTGAAACTCCGTCTCTACTAAAAATACAAAAAATTAGCCAGGCGTGGTGGCATGCGCCTGTAGTCCCAGCTACTCGGGAGGCTGAGGCAGGAGAATGGCGTGAACCTGGGAAGTGTAGCTTGCAGTGAGCCGAGATTGCGCCACTGCACTCCAGCCTGGGCGACAGAGCGAGACTCTGTCTCAAAAAAATTTAAGAAATTAAAAAAAATTTTTAAAATTAAAATTAAAAAGAAGGCCCAGCGCAGTGGCTCACACTTCTAGTCCCAGCACTTCAGGAGGCTGAGGTGGTCAGATCACCTGAGGTCGGGAGTTCAAGACCAGCATGAGCAACATGGAGAAACCCTGTCTCTACTAAAAATACAAAATTAGCCGGGCGTAGTGGCACATGCCTCTAATCCCAGCTACCTGGGAGGTTGAGGTAGGAGAATCGCTTGAACCTAGGAGGCATAGGTTGCGGTGAGCCGACATCGCACTATTGCACGCCATCCTGGGCAACAAGAGCGTAACTTTGTTTGAGATGGAGTCTCGCTCTGTTGCCTAGGCTGGTGATGAGTGGCACAAACTTGGCTCATTGCAACCTCTGCCCCCCAGGTTCAAGGGATTCTCCTGCCTCAGCCTCCCTAGTAGCTGCGATTACAGGTGTGTGCCACAATGCACGCTTATATTTTTTGTATTTTTAGTAAAGACGGGGTTTCACTATGTTGCTGAGCCAGGTCTTGAAATCCTGAGCTTGTGATCCGCCAGTCTCGGCCTCCCACAGTGCTGAAATTTCAGGCATGAGCCACTGCACCTGGCCTAAAAATACAAAAATTGACTGGGCATGGTGGTGAACACCTGTAATCCCAGCTACTTGAGTCTGAGGCATGAAAATTGCTTTGACTGATGAGGCAGAGATTGCACTAAGTCAAGATCTTGCCACTGTACTCCAGCATGGGTTACAGAGTAAGACTCTGTCTCAAAGGAAAAAAAAAAGGCTGGACACCGCTGGTGGGTCACACCTGTAACCCCAGCACTTTGGGAGCCCAAGGGGCGGATCACCGGAAGTCAGGAGTTTGGGACCAGCCTGGCCAACATGGTGAAACTCCGTCTCTACTAAAAATACAAAAAAATAGCTGGGCGTCGTGGTGGGTGCCTGTAATCCCAGCTACTCGGGAGGCTAAGGCAGGAAAATCGCTTGAACCTGGGAGGCAGAGGTTGCAGTGAGCTGAGATTGTGCCATATCACCCCAGCCTGGGTGACAAGAGTGAAATTCCATCTCAGAAAAAAAAAGAGAGGCCAAACACAGTGGCTTACACCTATAATCCCAGCACTTTGGGAGGCTGAGGCGGGCAGATCATGAGGTCAAGAGATCGAGACCACCCTGGCCAACATGGTGAAACTCCATCTCTACTAAAAATACAAAAATTAGCTGGGTGTGGTGGCCCACACCTGTAGTCCCAGCTATTCGGGAAGCTGAAGCAGGAGAATTGCTTGAACCTGGGAGGAGGAGGTTGTAGTGAGCCGAGATCACACCACTGCACTTCAGCCTGGCAACAGAGTGAGACTCCATCTCAAACAACAACAACAAAAGAAAAAAAAAAAAAAAGAGAGAGAGAAACGCGGTGGGGTGTGGTGGCTCAGGCCTGTAATCCCAGCACTTTGGGAGGCTGAGGCAGTGGATCACCCGAGGTCAGGAGTTGGAGACCAGCCAGCCTGACCAACATGGTGAAACCCCGTCTCTACTAAAAATACAAAATCAGCCAGGCGTGGTGGCACGTGCCTGTAATCCCAGCTACTTGGGAGGCTGAGGCAGGAGAATCGCTTGAACCTGGGAGGCAGAAGTTGCAGTGAGCCCAGATTGCACCATTGCACTCCAGCCTGGGCAACAAAAGCGAAACTCCGTCTCAAAAAAAAAAAAAAAAAAGAAACACCCAAGAATGGGCAGTTTAGAAAAGCAGTAGCATCATCAGTCAAGAAACACATGAAGAACTTCGGCTGGGCACAGTGATGAGCACCTGTCCCAGCTACCAGAGAGGCTGAGGTGGGAGGGTCACTTGAGCCCAGGAGTTCAAGACTACAGGGAGCTGTGATCCTGCTTCTGTGCACTCCAGCCTGGGCAATAGAGTGGGACCCTGTCTCTCTTTTTTTTTTTTTTTTTGAGATGGAGTCTTGCTCTGTCACCCAGGCTGCAGTGAAGTGACTTGATTTCAGTTCACTGCAAACTCCGCCTCCTGGGTTCAAGCAATTCTCCTGCCTCAGCCCCCCAAGTAGTTAGGATTACAGGCACATGCACCAGGCCTGGCTAATTCTTTTTTTTTTTTTTTTTTTTTTGAGACGGAGTCTCACTCTGTCTCCAGGCTGGAGGGCAGTGGCCGATCTCGATTCAATGTAACCTCTGCCTCCCGGGTTGAAGTGATTCTCCTGCCTCAGCTTCCAGAGTAGCTGGGACTACAGGTGCGTGCCACCACGTCCAGCTAATTTTTGTTATTTTTTATTTATTTATTTTTTGAGACGGAGTCTTGCTCTGTCGCCCAGGCTGGAGTGCAGCGGCTCGATCTCGGCTCACTGCAAGCTCTGCCTCCTGGGTTCAAGCCATTCTCCTGCCTCAGCCTCCCGAGTAGCTGGGACTACAGGTGCCCGCCACCATGCCCGGCTAATTTTTTTTGTATTTTTAGTAGAGACGGGGTTTCACCGTGTTAGCCAGGATGGTCTCGATCTCCTGACCTCATGATCCGCCCGCCTCGGCCTCCCAAAGTGCTGGAATTACAGGCTTGAGCCACCGCGCCCGGCCTAATTTTTGTATTTTTATTTATTTATTTATTTATTTATTGAGACGGAGTCTCGCTCTGTCGCCCAGGCTGGAGTGCAGTGGCGCGATCTCAGCTCACTGCAACCTCCACCTCCTGGGTTCACACCATTCTCCTGCCTCAGCCTCCCGAGTAGCTGGGACTACAGGCGCCCACCTGCATGCTTGGCTAAATTTTTGTATTTTTAGTAGACGGGGTTTCACCGTTTAGCCAGGATGGTCTTGATCTCCTGAACTCGTGATCCGCCCGTCTCGGCCTCCCAAAGTGCTAGGATTACAGGTGTGAGCCACCGCGCCCGGCCAATTTTTGTATTTTTAGTAGAGACAGGGTTTCACCTTGTTGGCCAGGATGGTCTGGATGTCTTGACCTCGTGATCCGCCAGGCCTGGCTAATTTTTATAGTTTCAGTAGAAACGGGGTTTCCCCATGTTGGCCAGGCTAGTCTCAAACTCCTGACCTCAGGTGATGTGCCCGCCTCAACCTCCCAAAATGCTGAGATTACAGTTGTGAGCCACTACACTGACCCTGTCTCTAAAAAAAAAAAAAAAGTTTAATCTCATTAATAATACCAGCTGTGAGATAAAATTTTCCAACTACCAGGAAGTGTCTATTCAGGGCAACTTAAATCTATGCTTCTGGGGAGAAAAAAAAAAAGGAAAAAAATTTCCACCTGCCAAAATGGAAAGAAGCCAGATTCAATGAAATGTACTGAAATATACACAGACACTACAGAAGAGCAACTGGACAATTTGGGAACATGTTAAAAACCCTTTTTATTGGCCGGGCGCGGTGGCTCACGCCTATAATCCCAGCATTTTGGGAGGCCGAGGCAGGCGGATCACAAGGTCAGATGGAGACCATCCTGGCTAACATGGTGAAACCCCGTGTCTACTAAAAATACAAAAAACTGGTGGGGCGTGGTAGCGGGCACTTGTAGTCCCAGCTACTAGGGAGGCTGAGGCAGGAGAATGGTGTGAACCCGGGAGGCGGAGCTTGCAGTGAGCCGAGATTGGGCCACTGCACTCCAGCCTGGGCGACAGAGTGAGACTCAGTCTCAAAAAAAAACCCTTTTTATTTTACATACTTTTTCACTTAACAATTGTAGTTCTAACAACATACTCTAAGGAAACAATCATGTATATGTGCCAGGACTTAGCTGCTCAGATGTTTATCACAGAGTTGCTTATAATGATCAAACAGTAGTAGCAGCTTAAATTTTCACCTTTGAGGCTTAAATAAGTATAGCACATTTACCCAACAAAAATAATGCAAGATTAAAAAATACTGTCAATAATAAAATGTTCTTATTTATACATAATGGCAAAAAGTTGTCAAAAACATTTGTTAATGGTTAAAAAATACAGTAGCAAACAGTTGTTTTGTTTGTTTGTTTTCAAGGAGTCTCACTCTGTCGCCCAGTCTGGAGTGCAGTGGTGCAATCTGGGCTTACTGCAACTTCTGCCTCCAGGGCTCAAGGGCTCCTCCCTGCTCAGCCTCCTGAATAGTTGGGACCACAGGCACAGACCACCTCACTGGCTATTTTTTTTTTTTTTTCTGAGACGGAGTCTAGCTCTGTCACCCGGGCTGGAGTGCAGTGGTGCAATCTCGGCTCACTGCAAGCTCCACCTCCTGGGTTCACGCCATTCTCCTGCCTCAGCCTCCCGAGTAGCTGGAACTACAGGCACCAGCCACCAAGCCCGGCTAATGTTTTTGTACTTTTAGTAGAGATGGGGTTTCACCGTGTTAGCAAGGATGGTCTCGATCTCCTGACCTCGTGATCCGCCCCCCTAGGCCTCCCAAAGTGCTAGGATTACAGGCGTGAGCTACCGCACCCAGCTATTTTTTTTTTTTTTTTTTTGAGATGAAGTTTCACTCTTGTTGCCCAGGCTGGAGTGCAATGGCTCAATCTTGGCTCACCGCAACCTCAGCCTCCCAGGTTCAAGCAATTCTCCTGCCTCACCCTCCCGAGTAACTGGGATTACAGGATGCGCCACCACACCTGGCTAATTTTTGTATTTTGAGTAGAGACTGGGTTTCTTCATGTTGGTCAGGCTGGTCTCTAACTCCCAACCTCAGGTGATCCACCCACCTCACCCTCCCAAAGTGCTGGGATTACAGGCACGAGCCACCACACCTGATCATCGCTAGCTAATTTTTTTTGTTTTGTGTGTGTGTGTCTTGTTTTTGAGATGGAGTCTCGCTCTGTTGCCCAGGCTAGAGTGCAGTGGCGTAATCTCGGCTCACTGCAAGCTCCAACTCCTGGGTTTATACCATCTACTGTCTCAGCCTCCCGAGTCACTGGGACTACAGGCGCCCGCCACCACACCCGGCTAATTTTTTGTATTTTTGGTAGAGATGGGGTTTCACCGTGTTAGCCAGGATGGTCTCAATTTCCTGACCTCGTGATCCGCCTGCCTTGGCTTCTCAAAGTGCTGGGATTACAGGCATGAGCCACCATGCCTGGCCGTCTCTAGCTAATTTAAAAAAAAATTTTGGCCTGGCGTGGTGGCTCACGCCTGTAATCCCAGCACTTTGGGAGGCCAAGGACGGTGGATCACAAGGTAAGGAGTTCGAGACCAGCCTGGCCAATATGGTGACACCCTTGTCTGTACTAAAAATACAAAAATTAGCTGGGCATGGTGGCACGCACCTGTAATCTCAGCTACTTGGGAGGCTGAGGCAGGAGAATCGCGTGAACCCAGGAGATGGAGGTTGCAGTGAGCAGAGATTGCACCACTGCACTCCAGCCTGAGAGAGAGATCGAGACTCCGTCTCAAAAAAAATAAAAAATGTCTAGACATGGAGTTTAGCCATGTCGTGCGGCTGGTCTCAAACTCCTGGACTCAAGTGATCTGCCCGTCTCAGCCTCCTAACGTGCTGTGATTCAGGCGTGAGCCACCACGCCCAGCCAATGATAACTTTTTAAGGAATACTCAGGAGCCAGAGCTCAGTGTGAGGGGCAAGGAAAGAGAAATGTCTGTGGTAGAGAAACTCTACCGGGAGATTCCTGAGGCCCCGTCAGAGCTGATCTCCCGGGGGTCTCAGAGACCAGCCTTGCTTCACTGTCAGCCTTCCTGAGCGGTCTGTTTTCATTACACTAAGGCTATGTTGGTATAGGGGAGCCAGAAAGACAGGGGTTGGAATCTTGACTCCTCTACTCCTTGCCCTTTGATTTTAGGGCAAGTTATGCCTTTGAGTCTTTATTTATTTTTTATTTATTTATTTTAGAGGCAGGGTATTGCTGTGTCAACCCAGGGTGGAGTGCAGTGGCGCGATCTCAGCTCATTGCAACCTCCGCCTCCTGGGTTCCAGCGATTCTCCTGCTGCAGCCTCCCAACTAGCTGGGATTACAGGCATGCACCACCATGCCCAGCCAATTTTGTATTTTTAGTAGAGATGAGGTTTCACCATGTTGGCCAGGCTAGTCTAGTCTAACTCCTGACCTCAGGTGATCTGCCCACCTCAGCTTCCCAAAGTGCTGGGATTATAGGCATGAGCCACCGAGCCTGGCGGAGCCTTGATTCTTCATTTGGTTTGGTTCTCCCAACTGTAAAATAAGGGCATAATACTATCCTATAAAGATGGATGGGAGGATTCAAAAGGGTAATGCTTAGTCAGCGCCACATGTAGGTCCAGCTGATGCTCAATAAATGGTAGCTATCTACAGCCATCCCAAGCGGACAGGTGAACAGATAAAGAAACAATACAATGTTTTGGAAACTTCTGGTTCCCAGAGGGAGCCTGGCCTTGGGGTTATGGAACATCTGGTACTCCCTGAGCCTGTCAACTTTTGGGTGGAGTGGAGGGACACCTTTTGCTTTGCCCCCAGCTGCCCTGTAGCTCCATTCTAGAACTGGGAAGAGTTGCCACAGTTGCCTAGTAACGCCCCTGGGAGTCCAGGAAGCTCAAATTTTAGAAGCTGGAGAGGAAAGGAAAGGTGGGCCAGGTCCAGCTACCCTGGAGGCTGAAGCAGGAGGATCACTTGAGTCTAGGAGTTCAAGACCAGCATGGGTAATATAGCAAGACCCTGTCTCTACAAAAAATACAAAAATTAGCTGATTTGCTGGGGCACACCTGTCGTCCTAGCTACTCAGGAGGCTGAGGAGGGAGGATCACTTAGAGCCTGGGAGGTGGAGGCTGCAGTAAGCTATGATCACACCACTGCATTCCAGCCTGGATGATAAACCAAGACCCTGTCTCAATTTAAAAATAAAGAAAAAATATTAAAAAACACACAAACAGGCCAGGCACAGTGGCTCACGCCTGTAATTCCAGCACTTGGGAGGCCAAGGTGGGTGGATCATCTGTGGTCAGGAGTTCAAGATCAACCTGGCCAACATGATGAAACCCCATCTCTACTAAAAATACAAAAAGTAGCCGGGCATGATAGTGGGTACCTGTAATCTCAGCTACTCGGGAGGCTGAGGCAGGAGAATCACTTGAACCCAGGAGGTGGAGGTTGCAGTGAGCCTAGATCCTGCCATTACACTCCAGCCTGGGTGACAGAGAGAGACTCAGTCCAAACAAACAAACAAACAGGAAAAGTGAGGTCTTATGTGTTTGAATTTTTTTTTTTTTTTTTGAGGCGGAGTCTTGCTCTGTCGCCCAGGCTGGAGTACGGTGGTGTGATCTCAGCTCACTGCTACCTCCGCCTCCTAGGTTCAAGTGACTCTCCTACCCTAGCCTCCAGAGTAGCTGGAACTACAGGCACCTGTCACCACGCCAGGCTAATTTTTGTATTTTTTAGTAGAGACACGGTTTTGCCATGTTGGCCAGGCTGGTCTCAAACTCCTGACTTCAAGTGATGTGCCTGCCTCAGCCTCCCCAAGTGTGGGGATTACAGGCCTGAGCCACTATGGTTGGCCCCAGCTGTTTTTTTTTTTGTTTTGTTTTGTTTTTGAGACGGAGTCTCGCTCTATTGCCCAGGCTAGAATGCAGTGGCGAGATCTCTGCTCACTGCAAGCTCCACCTCCTGGGTTCAGGCCATTCTCCTGCCTCAGCCTCCTAAGTAGCTGGGACTACAGGCGCCTGCCACCACGGCCGGCTAATTTTTTGTATTTTTAGTAGAGATGGGGTTTCACCGTGTTTGCCAGGATGGTCCTGATCTCCTGACCTCGTGATCCACCTGCCTCAGCCTCCCAAAGTGCTGGGTTTACAGGCGTGAGCCACCATGCCCAGCCAGTTTTATTTTTAATGTAATATGTTCACAAAGGGCCAGGTGCCATAGCTCACTCCTATAACTCTGTCTCAAAAAAAAAAAAAAAGAAAGAAAAAAGTTCACAAGCCTCCAAACTCAAAATGCAGAGCAGAATTCGAGACTAGCCTATCCAACATAGTGAAACTCCATCTCTACTAAAAATACAATAAACTAGCCAGGCATGGTGGCTTATGCCTATATTCCCAGCTACTTGGGAGGCTGAGACATGAGAATTGCTTGAACCCAGGAGGCAGATGTTGTAGTGAGCTGAAATCGCTCCACTGCACTCTAACCTGGGTGACAGAGTGAGACTCCATCTCAAAAGCAAAAACAAGAAAACAAAATGCACAGGCTAGGCACAGTGGCTCATGCCTATAATCCCAGCACTTTGCGTCGGCTGAGGTGGGTGGATCACCTGAGGTCAGGAGTTCAAAACCAGCCTGACCAATGTGGCGAAACCCCGTCTCTACTAAAAAAAAAAAAAATACAAAAATTAGCTCGGCGTGCTGGCAGGCACCTGTAATTCCAGCTACTCGCAAGGCTGAGACAGGAGAATCGGTTGAACCCAGGAGGCAGAAGGTTGCAGTGAGCCAAGATCGCGCCACTGCACTCCAGGCTGGGCTACAAGAGGGAAACTCCATCTGAAAAACAACAACAACAAAAAACACGGCAGGGTAGAGTAACACTGCTACCACCTATCCTTGTCCTCTCACCTCTGATCACCCAGTCCTTTCTCTGGGGACAGCCATGTGATTCGTTTATTGGGAATCCTTCAACAGCTGTGTTAGAGGTATACTGGCAAAGTGTTTTTATCTACTCCTCTTTTACACAAATGGCAACATACTAACCACGTGGGTTTGGACTTTGCTTTTTTCCCTTCGACTTAGCTGCAGTTTTCTTTTCTTTTCTTTTTTTTTTTTTTGGGACAGAGTTTCGCTTTCGTTGCCCAGGCTGGCGTGCAATGGTGCAATCTTGGCTCACCGCAACCTCTGCCTCCCGCATTCAAGCGTTTCTCCTGCCTCAGCCTCCCGAGTAGCTAGGATTACAGGCATGTGCACCACGCCCAGGTGATTTTGTATTTTTAGTAGAGATGGGGTTTCTCCATGTTGGTCAGGCTGGTCTCGAACTCCTGACCTCAGGTGATCTGCCCACCTCGGCATCCCAAAGTGCTGGGATTACAGGTGTGAGCCACCATGCCCAGCCTAATTTTTTTTTTAAAAGAGGCCAGGTGCAAAAAAACTTAATTTTTCATTTTCAATGTTCATGTGTAGAGACCACAGGTAATTTTTTTTTTTTTTTTTTTTTTTTTTTTTGGAGACAGAGTCTTGCTCTTGTTGCCCAGGCTGGAGTGCAGTGGTGCAATCTTGGCTCATTGCAGCCTCCACCTCCCAGGTTCAAGCGATTCTCCTGCCTCAGCTTCCTGAGTAGCTGGAATGACGAGTACCCACCACCACGCCCGCTTAATTTTTGTATTTTTAGTAGAGATGGGGTTTCACCATGTGGGCCAGGCTGGCCTTGAACTCCTGATCTCAAGTGATCCACCTGCCTCAGCCTCCCAGAGTGCTGGGATTACAGGTGTGAGCTACCGAGCCTGGCCAGGTAATCTTATAATAAAACAAAGAGGGCCAGGCGTGGTGGCTCACACCTGTAATCCCAGCACTTTGGGAGGTCGAGGCGAGCAGATCATGAGGTCAGGAGATGGAGAGCATCCTGGCTAACATGGTGAAACTCTGTCTCTACTAAAAATACAAAAAATTAGCCGGGCGTGGTGGTGGGCGCCTGTAGTCCCAGCCACTTGTAAGGCTGAGCCAGGAGAATGGCGTGAACCTGGGAAGCGGAGGTTGCAGTGAGCCGAGATTGCGTCACTGCACTCCAGCCTGGGGTACAGAGCAAGACTCCGTCACAAAATAGATAAATAAATAAATAAAACAAAGAGGCAGGTATTATCATCCATTTTACAGATATATACACTGAGACTTAGGCTTGTTAGCAAGCACATCTCTGTGATGAGGTGATCCTCAAATCCATTTCTCATTAGAACGTGGTTATTCTCTTCATGATCTTAGGCAAATCCCTTCTGTCAGGCTCGCTTGCCCTTTGTAAAATCAAGACACCTGTGACTTTCAAAATGCATTAGAAGGAGCCCAGAGTCTCAGCAGCTCAAAAAGAAGAAAGGGAATCGATGAGGGACATGGGTGATGGTGGCACGTCCTCCACCTTTTCTTCCACCAGAGAAAGCTCAGCTTTTTATCAGTATTGAGGTCATTGACTTATGACTAAGATTTAGTTAAAGTAATTAATTAATTAATTACTTTTTGAGGCAGGGTCTTGCTCTGTTGACCCAGTTGGAGTGCAGTGGAGCAATCATAGCTCACTGTAGCCTATACCTCCCGGGCTCAAGCCATCCTCCTGCCTCAGCCTCCTGAGTGGCTGGGACTAAAGTCACATGCCTTTATGTTTGGCTAACTTTTGTTTTTTGTTTTTTTTTGTTTTTTTTTTTGAGATGGAGTCTTGCTCTGTCGCCCAGGCTGGAGTGCAGTGGCGCGATCTCAGCTCACTGAGGCCTCTGCCTCCTGGTTTCCAGTGATTCTCCTGTCTCAGCCTAAGTAGTATTTAAGGCTGCAGTGAGCCATGATTGCGCCACTGCATTCCAGCCTGGGCAACAGGGAGGGAGACCCTATCTCAAAAAATAGATACACAGACACACATATATAAAATCTGGCAAACCTAAGATTCATGAATGAAATACACTGGTATAGCAATCCCCATCCAGAAACTGAGCATCACCAGGACCCTGGAGTCCCCTAATGTCTCTTCCACATACCCTTATACCACAAGACTCTGGACTTCTAATAGTACATGCTAATTTTGCCTGTTTTAGTACTTTATTTCTTTCTCTTTTCTTTTTTTTTTGAGACAGAGTTTCACTCTTGTTGCCCAGGCTGGAGTGCAATGGTGTGACCTCGGCTCACCACAACCTCTGCCTCCCGGGTTCAAGCGATTTTTGTGCCTCAGCCTCCCAAGTAGCTGGGATTACAGGCATGTGCCACCACACCCGGCTAATTTTTGTATTTTTAATAGAGACGGGGTTTTGCCATGTTGGCCTAGCTGGTCTCAAACTCCTGGCCTCACGTGATCCTCCAGCCTCGGCCTCCCAAAGTGCTGGGATTACAGGCATGAGCCACTGTACCTGGTCAATTATTATTATTATTATTATTATTATATTTTTTTGAGACGGAGTCTTGCTCTGTCGCCCAGGCTGGAGTGCAGTGGCGCGATCTCGGCTCACTGAAAGCTCCACCTCCTGGGTTCACGCCATTGTCCTGCCTCAGCCTCCAGAGTAGCTGGGACTACAGGCGCCCGCCACCATGCTCGGCTAATTTTTTGTATTTTTAGTAGAGACGGGGTTTCACCGTGTTAGCCTGGATGGTCTCGATCTCCTGACCTCGTGATCTGCCTGCCTCGGCCTCCCAAAGTGCTGGGATTACAGGTGTGAGCCACCGTGCCCAGCCTATTATTATTATTTTTGAGACAGGGTCTCACTCCGTCGCCCAGTCTGGAGTGCGGTGGCGTGATCTCGGTTCACTGCAACCTCCACCTTCTGGGTTCAAGTAATTCTCCTGCCTCAGCCTCCTGAGTAGCTGGGATTACAGGCGTGTGCCACCACGCCCAGCTAATTTTTGTATTTTTTAGTACAGACTGGGTTTCATCATGTTGGCTGGGTTGGTCTCAAACTCCTGACCTCAAGTGATTTGCCCACCTTGGCCTCCCAAAGTGCTGGGATTACAGGCGTGAGCCGCCACACCTAGCTTGTTTTTGTACTTTATACAAAAGAAATCACATGGTGTATACTATTTTGTGTCTTTGTCTTTCACTCAACATTATATTTGTAGGCTGCATTCACATCATTCCGAGTACCAGTCATTCATTTCTTTTCTTTTTTAGAGACGGAGTCTCACTCTGTCACCCAGGCTGGAGTGCAGTGGCGCAGTCTCGGCTCACTGCAACCTCAGCCTCCCGGGTTCAAGTGATTCTCCTGCCTCAGCCTCCCGAGTAGCTGGGACTACAGGTGCGTGCCACCACTCCAGGTTAATTTTTGTATTTTTAGTAGAGACAGGGTTTCACCATGTTGGCCAGGCTGGTCTTAAACTCCTGACCTCAGGTGATCCACCTGCCTTGGCCTCCCAAAGTGCTGGGATTACAGGTGTGAGCCACCTCGTCTGGCCCATTTATTTTCATTGCTTTGTAACTTTCCTTTCCTTGAATATCTCACAATGTATTCATTCTACCTTGGACAGACATTTGCATTGTTTCCAGTTTGTCTATTATGAATCTTGCTGCTGTGAACATTCTTGTCTATTATGAATCTTGCTGCTGTGAACATTGGTGCACGTTATGCATATCTGTTGGAGATGTAGGGAGGAGTACCATTGCTCGGTCACAAAGCATGAACACATTCAGCTTGGGTAGTCTTGGCATGCAGTTTTCCACCTTAGTTGTACCAATCTACCTTCTATTAGCTGTTGTGCTTTTGTTTTTTGCCTTACTCATTTTTATGCCCTAACAGACCCCCAATAACAGTGGCCTTTGTGACCCCCAGACAAGCGGCTTTCTAAAAATTCTTCTAGGTTGGGTGCGGTGGCTCACACCTGTAATCCCAGCACTTTGGAGGCTGAAGCAGGAGGATCACTTAAGGTCAGGAGTTCAAGACCAGCCTGGCCAACGTGGTGAAAACCCATCTCTACTTAAAATACAAAAATTAGTCACGCCTAGTGGCGGTGCCTGTAACCCCAGCTACTCAGGAGGCTGAGACAGGAGAATTGCTTGAAACTGGGAGGTGGAGGTTGCAGTGAGCCAAAGATTATGCCACAGCACTCCAGCCTGGATGACAGAGTGAGACTTTTTTTTTTTTTTTTGACAGTCTCGCTCTGTCGCTCAGGCTGGCGCAATCTCCACTCACTGCGATCTCCGCCTCCTGGGTTCTGGCCATTCTCCTGCCTCAGCCTCCCGAGTAGCTGGGACTACAGGTGCCTGCAACCACGCCCGGCTAATTTTTTGTATTTTTAGTAGAGGTGGGGCTTCACCGTGTTAGCCAGGACGATCTCGATCTCCTGACCTCGTGATCCACCCGCATCAGCCTCCCAAAGTGCTGCGATTACAGGCATGAGCCACCGCACCTGGCCCAGAGTGAGACTCTTTCTATAAATAAATAAATAGTAAAAATTCTTCTGGTCTGGTGTGGTGGCTTATGCCTGTAATACTAGCACTTTGGGAGGCTGAGGTGGGCAGTTGGCTTGGGACCAGGAGTTGGAGACCAGCCTGGGCAACATGGCCAAACCCTGTGCCTACTAAAAATACAAAAAATTAGCCAGGCATGGTGGTGACGTCTGTAGTCCCAGCTACTCAGGAGGCTGAGGTGGGAGGATCACCTGAGCCTGGGAAGTTGAGGCTGCCGTGAGCCATGATCACTAATGTACTTGAGCCTCAGAGACAGGATGGGACCTTGTCTTTTTTTTTTTTTTTTTTTTTGAGACGGAGTCTCGCTCTGTCGCCCAGGCTGGAGTGCAGTGTTGCGATCTCAGCTCACTGCAAGCTCCGCCTCCCGGGTTCACACCATTCTCCTGCCTCAGCCTCGTGAGTAGCTGGGACTACAGGTGCCCACCTCCACGCTCGGCTGATTTTTTTGTATTTTTAGTAGAGACGGGGTTTCACCATGTTAGCCAGGATGGTCTCGATTTCCTGACCTCGTGATCCGCCTGCCTCAGCCTCCCAAAGTGCTGGGATTACAGGCTTGAGTCACTGCGCCCGGCTGGGACCTTGTCTTAAAAAAAAAAAAAAGTCTTTTTTTGAGACAGGGTCCCGCTCTGTCGCCTAGGCTGGAGTGCAGTGGCACGATCTCGGCTCACTGCAACCTCCACCTCCCAGGTTCAAGCGATTCTCCTGCCTCAGCCTCCCAAGTAGCTGGGATTACAGGTGCCCACCACCACGCCCAGCTAAAATAAACCCTCTTCTCTTAACTTGTATCCCTTTCTGAAACAAGTGAAGAATGAATAAATACTCCAAGTCTCCAAAGTTTCCTGCTTTTCCCTCTTTCTCTGTAATTCTTTCTTTCTTCTTTTTTTTTTTTTTAAAGCAGGCATCTAATTCCTTTGTAATTCTTGATTGGGAAATCTTTTTTTCAACATTAATCTATCCCTTCAAGCAGAGACAAGGGAGGTCAGGAAGGAGTTAGCGAAACCGGGCAGTGGGGGTGTGGTTTACTGAGGAATGTTCCAAGCTTAGGTGAGGCAACAGCACGTGTTTAAATCTTTTGGAGGCCAAAGGAAAAAAAAAAGAGGATAAGTTCTCAGTAGGGGCAGGCCTGTCTACCTGGGGGTTTGGGAACGAACTGGGGGATAGGCTGCGGGGGTTTCACGTGAAACCAGGAGGTCTAGAAAGCACAGGGATCCTCTCCTCAAGGAAGAACTTGCCCCCTCCCCCAAAGCCAAGAGTGCCCCTGCAGAGCGAGGCAGAGAGCAACTAAAAGAAATTTCTCCTGATTGGAGGGTGGGTGGGATGAGGCTGGGGGAGGGGGCCGGGGTGTGTGTCCCACTGTCATGTAAATATCCCTTCCAGGCAGGGCGGCTCCAGTGCAGATTTAAGCCGCTGGCACCTGGGGCAGTCTCAGTGTTCAGCCTGCTTCCGGACGGGCGAGGAGACTCGTGGTCTGGTTCTGGGACTTCCCTAACAGCATGGCCCCTAAACGCCAGTCTCCACTCCCGCCTCAAAAGAAGAAACCAAGACCACCTCCTGCTCTGGGACCGGAGGAGACATCGGCCTCTGCAGGCTTGCCGAAGAAGGGAGGTACGTTTCTGCGCTAAGTTTTATTGGAGATTTAAGGGATTTGCAAGGATTGACTCTCTGATTTTTACCCCCCAATCCCTCTTGAGATGTGACCCCTAAGCACCCCCAAAGGGTTTTAAACCTGGGATGGTGGATTAAGTTTGCGTGAAGAACCAGAAGGGACTAGACTGGGAGAACGGGAGTGCACGGGAGCTCATCCCTGCCCCCAACTCAACACTGACCCCTGAGCTTGTCTCCCCAGCCCCCAAACTTCCTCCTCTGGGGCTCCCTTTCTTGGCAAGGGGCACTGCCAGCCAGCCTGAGGCCCCTCCTTCACCCCTCCACATCCAGCCAAATCCCCGATTCCTGGTGGTTCTACCTCAGTATCTCTCAGATCTGTCCACCTCTCTCTCTGTTCTTGCTGCCGACGGCGGCCCACAACTCTGGCCTGAATCTCTGCCACCTCCTCATCTTGGCTTCCAGCTTCCTCCTCCTCCCCTTCAGCCTGAGCATAGCCAATCACGTGGCCCACTCCCCGGCTTAAACCCCTCCCTTGCCTCCCCGCGTCCTCCAGGTGCTCAGAAACTTCTCTGGCCCGCCAACCCGGTCCCCGCCGACCTCTCCTGGTTCACACTTCTGAGACTCCCCACCTGGAGGCCTCCCTCAAGGTGGTACCCTTCACCTTGACCTCTTGGGACTCTACCCTCTGATCTCGGGGCCTAGACACCCACTTGCCCTTTCCTCTCCTTACCTGTGCACCACCTCCAGCTCTCTGCTGGAAAGTCACTTCCTGTGGGCAATCTGTGAGCCCCAACACTTGGGAGTTAGGAGTCCCAGAGTCATGCTGCCTCACCCTCTTGTCATTACATTGTAACCAGCAGTTTCATGCCTGCCCTTCCCCCCATTAAACTTAGAGGTGAGGGCTGCATTTTGGGAGACGTAGCTGGAGCTGGATAGAGAGTTGACTGTTCTGGTGACTAGGTCTGGCTCATAGGGGAGGGTTGTGGTGGAGCCTTCCTGGGCTGGGTGTGGATAGGCCCAGGGCCTGCAAGGAAACGGGAAGCTTTGATTGGCTGAGGGCAGGCAACTCTTATGGAAGAAGCACTGAGGAGGAGTCCTACCTCAGGGCTCAGTGTGGACCTGTTGGCACTTTTACTGGGTCTCAGTCCCTTTTCCTCCACATGGGATGCAGAGACCTCCTGCCCAGCTTGAAACCTACCTTGCTGGGTGAGCCACATAAAACAACTTGTGCTTGTTTTCTCTTCTATAAAATGGGATCCACAGTACTGATCTCCAGGCTTGCTGTGAGTCTGAAATCTAAGGGGAGCACTAGACAGCGCCTAGCACATCATCAGTGCTCTAGAGTGCATTTGTGCGCAGCAAAATGTGGGTGAGTCTTCCTAGTTTCCTTCCAGTGAGCTTCCTGGGAGCATTAACAGGACTGGAAGGGATGGAAAGGTGTGAGGGGGTTCATCTAAACCCAAAGAACAGCTCCTGCTGCTTAGTAGGCACTGATGGCATGCCAGAAGCTGTGCCAAGCACTTCTCTATCCTCACAGCCGTATGCTGTGGACATCCCAATTTTACAGATCAGAACAGGAGGCTCAAAGAGATGTGTATGTGTCTGTGGCGGGGGAGATGTTCCAGGCTCTGGAGATTTTTTGGTCTGTGCTTGGGACACTGCAGCACTGTGGGGGAATGCCAGCCTCTCTCTGTTCCAGTCTTTCTGGCGGTGGGGTTCTGTCCTCTTCAAAGGGAGCCGGGGGCCGGGCGCGGTGGCTGACGCCTGTAATCCCAGCACTTTGGGAGGCCGAGGTGGGCAGATCACCTGAGGTCAGAAGTTCAAGACCAGCCTGGCCAACATGGCTAAACCCCATCTCTACCAAAGACAGTTAGCCAGGCGTGACGATGCATGCCTGTAATCCCAGCTACTTGGGGGGCTAAGGCAGGAGAATTGCTTGAACTCCGGAGGCGGAGGTTGCAATGAGCCGAGTTCGTGCCATTGCACTCCAGCCTGGGCGACAAGAACAACAACAACAACAACAAAAAAAAAAACAACCAGAGGGGCCAGGAGGAGAGGAGAGAGGCAAGGGAGGAATTCTGAGTGAGGGGAGAGGCCAAGAAGAGAGAATGCAGAGCTTCTGGTGTTGGAGACGGGGAGAGAGCAGAGTCCTAAGAGTGGGTGAATAACCTCTCAGTGTGCCCCCGGCTCGCCTGTGTTTACTCACACCCCTGGCCCTTTTGCTTTCTCTTTCTCTTCAACTTCCTAGTGTGCTCATATTTATCTTGAGAAGCACTGTGTGGGGAAGGGCAGGAAAAGAGGGGCAGGGAGGTGGCAGGGAGGGTT
This sequence comes from Homo sapiens, assembly GCF_000001405.40. Classification (NCBI taxonomy): domain Eukaryota; kingdom Metazoa; phylum Chordata; class Mammalia; order Primates; family Hominidae; genus Homo; species Homo sapiens. Next base: position 128,686,333 of record NC_000009.12, read on the forward strand.
GGGAGGCCAGAAAGGGAACCTGAAAGCCCACTCCCCCATCAGAAGGCATTACAGGGTTCCCTGGGACCCCTGCAGGTGCTTGGGAAACAGGCAGATAAGGCACTTAGGAGACATTGTGGGTCAGGAGTGACCCTATGGGTCAGGCTTTGAGGATGGAAGCAGCCAGCCCTTGGCATAGTGTTCTCAGACAGACTCAGCCCAGGAGCGGGTCGTGAAATCAATTTGGTGGGGTGTGACCTGCATTTTAAATAGGAAATTAGAATCACATCACCCTTGGTAAGGGTAAGTTTTGGTTTGTGTGTGCTAGGTCATGATGTCAAAAGTACTTCTGACTGTTGGTCACATTAAAAAAACTGAGGCAGGGTGCGATGGCTAACTCTTGTAATCCCAGAGCTCTGGAAGGCTGAGGCTGAAGGATGGTTTGAGCTCAGGAGTTTGAGACCAGCCTGGGCAACATGGTGATACCTCCTCTCTACAAAAGATAAAAACAAAATTAGCCAGGCAAGGTGGCAGTGGTGCTTGCCTGTGGTCCCAGCTACTCAGAAGGCTGAGGTGTAAGAATCCCCAGAGCCCAGGAGGTCAAGGCTGCAGTGAGCCATGGTTCTGGGCGACAGAGAGAGACCCTGTCTCATAATAATAACAACAATAAAAATAGAAAAACTGTTTTAAGGTAAGGGCTTTGTCAATTGCTACTTGGTTTAGAATCTTGGTTCTGTCACTTGCAACAAAGTTTAGTTTATGCTAGGCACAGTGGGTGGCTCATGCCTGTAGTCCCAGCACTTTGGGAGGCCGAGGTGGGCAGATCACCTGAGGTCGGGAGTTCGAGACCAGCCTGGCCAACATGGTGAAACCCCGTCTCTACTAAAAAATACAAAAATTAGCTTGGCATGGTAGTGGGCGCCTGTAATCCCAGATACTCGGGAGGCTAAGACACTCACCGTGCACTGTCTTGAACATGAAAGATGCTGCTTGAGCTTTAAGAGCTGATAGTGGGCCGAGCTCAGTGGCTCATGCCTGTAATCTCAGCACTTTGGGAGGCAGAGGCAGGTGGATCACCTGAGGTCAGGAGTTTGAGACCAGTCTGGCCAACATGGTGAAAACCTGTCTCTACCAAAAAATACAAAAATTAGCAGGGCGTGGTGACTCACATCTGTAATCCTAGCAACTCAGGATGCTGAGGCAGGAGAATCACTTGAACCCGGGAGGCGGAGGTTGCAGTGAGCTGAGATGGCACCACTGCACTCCAGCCTGGAAGACAGAATGAGACTTGGTCCCCTCCCCCACCAAAAAAAAAAAAAAAAAAAAAGAGCCAATGGTAAAGTGTGAGTTCTGGAAGGCAGAATTCCAACCCCAAGTTCTGGTTAAAAATGTCCAAAGAGAGATTTCAGGTATTTTTTTGTTTTTGTTTTAGAGATAGGGTCTTGCTCTGTCACTCAGGCTTCAGTGCAGTGGCTGCATTGGGGCTCATTGAAGCCTGGAATTCCTGGGCCCAAGCGATCCTCCTGCCTTGGCCTCCCAAAGTGTTGGGATAACAGGAGTGAGCTATTGCATGGCCAGGATTTGAAATTGGCCAGCGTATCACTAAAATCAACAAATGGTACTGGCCGGGCGCAGTGGCTCCCGCCTGTAATCCCAGCACTTTGGGAGGACGAGGTGAGTGGATCACCCCAGGTCAGTAGACCAGCCTGGCCAAGGTGGTGAAACTCCATCTCTACTAAAAATACAAAAATTAGCCGGGCATGGTGGCACGTGCCTGTAGCCCCAGCTACTCGGGAGGCCGAGGCAGGAGAATTGCTTGAACCCGAGAGGCAGAGCTTGCAGTGAGCCAAGATTGCGCCACTGCACTCCAGCCTGGGGGACAGAGCAAGACTCCCGTCTCAAAACAAACAAACAAATGCTACTAATCAGGGTTTTTCTGGCTTTTTATGGTTCATGTCTTGGGGTGCTGGAGGGACAGAATGTGGGGCATCCGCATTACTTGAAAAGTATTATTTAAACAAAATGCTTTGGCCCTCCTTAGTGGTTCAGAACTTTGCCTCTCAAGTAGAACTTGTTGGCCCCTTTCATCTCTATGAACAGAACACCGCCTATCGCTTGGGGCTGTTGTGAGGCCTCGGTGAGATAACCGTGCCATGCGCTGCTGAAACTGGCACTTAACGCTCAGTATGATTCTTGCGGGCGCTGGGCACCGCGGACTAATGTGGTACCTCCCTGCCTTCACAGGACTTCGAGTTTAATGTGGCTTCAGTGTCGTAACCTTTATCATTTCATAACAGAAACGGGTTCAGAGAGGAAGGGTGACTTGCTCAAGGGTACAAGCTTGCTGGGCAGGGCTTGGACTAAAACCCAGGAATGGCCCTGCGCGCGGATTACACAGCCTGGGGCTTCGCACACGAGCCCGAGTTTGAGTCCGATCGGCAGTTCCCCATCTGGCATCCAGAATGGGGTGCCCCCTGCTTTCTCCACGAAGTGGAAGGCGCCGAGAGGCCGGGCGGAATTCGGGGCCCCCATACGAGGCCGGGCCTGCACTTTCGGGGTGGTGGGCGCCCCGCTCCCGGTGCCCCGCGGAGCAGGGAAGCCGCTCGCTCACCACGTGACGCGCCGGCCGGGGGCACCCGCGCCTCCGTGCGACGCCCCGCCCACCGGCCTGCCGCGCGCCAGTGTCCTGGGTCGGGCCGGAGAGGGGAGAGCGGGGGAGGGGACGCGGCGCGGGGGGCGGCCGTGCGTCGCCGCGCGCCTTCCTCCCACCTCTCGCCGGGCCCTGTGTCTCCGCGCCGCGACTCCGCCCCCTCATCCCGCCGCCCAGGCCAATGGCGCCGCGGCGCGAGCCTCCCCGGCCGGAGGCGGAGCATCCGCGCGGGGCCTGGCGCGCCTGCGCCCTGCGCCCGCCCCTCGCCGTAGGAGGAGGTGGAGGAGGAGGCGGCTCGGGAGAGCGAGCAGCGAGCTGGCTGGATCGCCGAGCGCGAGTGAGGGAGCCGAGCCGCCCGCCGCCGCCGCCTCCGCCTCCCCTCCGCGAACAGGAGCCCGGGCCGGGGCCCGGCACGCCGCCCCAGCCCGTCCCTCGGCGTCAGGCCGCGAGGGTAGCGCGCGCGAGCGAGCGAGGGGGAGGGAGAGCGAGCGAGCGCCGGGAGGAGGCGGCCGGACCGAGCGGGCGCCCGCGCGTGTGGCGTGAGGGGAAGCCGCTTGCCCGCCCCCTTCGCCTTCCCTTCTCTCCCCCTCCCCGCTCCCCCCCCGACCGCGGAGCAGCACCATGTCGGCGCCGGCGGCCAAAGTCAGTAAAAAGGAGCTCAACTCCAACCACGACGGGGCCGACGAGACCTCAGGTGAGAGCAGCGAGCCCGGGGGCCGGCCCGCGCCGCCATCTTCGCCGCCCGCCCCGGCCCGCAGGCCGCCGGCGGGGCCCGGGGCGCGCGCGGGGGGCGCCGGGCGGGGGGGCGCGGCGCGGCCGGGCGGGGGCCCGCGGACTCGGCGCCCTTTTTTGTGCGCGGCTGGGCTGGGGGCCTGGGTGGCCCGCGCCGCGGCGGCCGCGCTGCGAGGCGGGGGCGCTGCGGCCTGCTCGGCGCGGGCGGAGGAGACCCCCCCTTCCTCTCCCCCCTCCCTCGCTCTCCTCCCCCTCCCTCCCTCCCGAGAAGCCTCTCTTTATTGTGCTCCGCCATGATGCCTCGCTCCCATCAGCCGCCGCCGCCGCCACATGGTGCGGCCGGACGCGGCCCCGCGCCCGACCTCCCGCGCGGTTCCGCTTCGCGCCCGGCCCGCGGCGGCGCCCCCGGCACCCCCGCCCAGAGGCTGGCCCCGGCGGGGCTTCTGCCTGGAGCTCGGGTGGGGTGGGGGCGCGGGGAACACGCGGGCGGCCGCGCGCTGGGCCTTGGCCGGCCGGGAGGATGCTCTGGCCAGCCCGGGCGCACTCCCCACGTGGGGCGGCCGCCCCGTCGCGCCAGCGTGCGGAGAAACCTGGCGCCGCGACCAGTGTATCGGGGGTCTTGGAAATGGCTAAGAAAGCTGGCCTCTGCCTAGGAGGCTCTCGGCAGGGGGGCTGCCAATCCGGGATGGTTACCGGAAATGAACCGCGCGATCTGGCCCTTTCACACCCACTTAGCTTTGTAGGGGGTTTGTAGTCTTTACAGGACAAAAGGGCACCTATTCCAGAGCACACCCCCTTTTCTTCCTCTCCCTTCTGTGCCTCACTGCTTTCCGATCTCATAGTTGCTCCCAGTAAGTGCTCCAAAGTCGTGTGGGGCCGCATCTGAGGTCTGCCCGCCTGAATTGGGTTGGAGGGGTTCATGTTCTGAGAAGGCGAAGGCCAGGGTGTAGGATGGTGCCCCGTGACTTTCCAGTCTTTGTAGGCGTGCCTGGTATCTTCATCGTAATAGCAGAGTCGTCAACTTTCTATGAAAGGTGGTTTTACCTTGATAGGTGGTAGTGGTGGCCTAATTTGTATCATTGTCATGGGTTTAGTTTCCATATTCTAGTTAGCAGCTGCTACTGTTCTCTTGCAAGTGTATAATGTGAAATAATAAACGTGAAGACTTCTGAATAAGGTTATTCTGTGTCTTTCATAGTAGAAACCTTAATGATCGGTCTGTTGTAGTGAAACTCTTTAAAAAGGCGCTATAGAAAACCAATTTCTGAGTAAACCAGCAGACAGCATGACTTGTAAATGGTCTTTTAATTAATTAAAAAGAAATTAGTCAGCTACAAGCATGAACATGTGGAACGCTTGCCTTTGTACTAGGCGTTTTTGTTTTTGTTTTAATGGCTTTTGGAATATTATAGTATTAACATCTGGAAAACTAGGTAAATTTATCTTAGAATTAAGTTTTTTGCTCCTTTTTTGCAGAAAAAGAACAGCAAGAAGCGATTGAACACATTGATGAAGTACAAAATGAAATAGACAGGTAACATTTTTCTTAATATACTTCGGAGAAATTTTCTGAGATGTGTCTAATAGCCCGGTAATTATCGAAGCTATGGTCAAATCTATCCACTGTCAAAGGGGAAATGATTCTAACTTGGTTGGAAATACTTATGTAGATTCAGTGTTTTTTGGTGAAGTGATTGTACAGAAGTTTTTGAAAGTGCATTGACCTTACAAGGTTTGGGTTTGCTTTCAAAGACTGAAAATTGTCTGAATTGCAGTGTAGGTCTTCTGATGGTTTAGCAGTGTGGCATCAGTGGTTGCTCTAACTTGCCTTACAACTTTGTTATGGATTAGCCACTTTATTTAGAAATCGCGCTTGAGGGAAACAATTGAAATTGGACTGGAAATGGAGTGGGCGAAGTAAATACACACGTTACCAGAGTGTTGAGTTTGGGCACTCTTAACAGTCATTATTACTCAGTGTTTATTGATAAATCAGACAAAATTGCCATCTTAGTTTTGAGTGTCTAAATTAGGTGATAATGGTTATTATAATTTGGTTATTTTGCATGACTCAAGCTAGTAAGTAAATACACTCTGTAATCTCAACCAATTTTTTAATTTGTTAAATACTATCATTGTCAACATCTCTTTTCATTTGCTTCAGACTTAATGAACAAGCCAGTGAGGAGATTTTGAAAGTAGAACAGAAATATAACAAACTCCGCCAACCATTTTTTCAGAAGAGGTCAGAATTGATCGCCAAAATCCCAAATTTTTGGGTAACAACATTTGTCAACCATCCACAAGGTATGTTTTGGACAGGGCATTGTTAAAGGATAAACAGTGTTTGTTAGAATGGAGGAAGCTTGGTGAAGACTTAGTCCAGCATGCTGGGTTGCGTGCAACAAAGACAGGCTGGGTGCGGTGGCGCACCTGTAATCCCAGCACTTTGGGAGGCCGAGGTGGGTGGATCACTTGAGGTCAGGGGTTCGAAACCAGCTTGGCCAACAGGTTGAAACCCCGTCTCTACTAAAAATACAAAAAAAATTAGCTGGGCGTGGTGGCGCGCGCTTGTAATCCCAGCTACTCGCTACTTGGGAGGCTGAGGCAGGAGAATCGCTTGAACCCAGGAGGGGGAGGTTGCAGTGAGCCGAGATTGTGCGCTTTTGCATTCCAGCCTGGGCGACAAGAGTGAGACTGTTTCAAAAAAAAAAAAAAAAAAAAAAAAACCTCAAAGACGGGAAAAGATATACAGCTACTGCTTTCTATTCTGTTTAGGAGAAGCTATATTCTAATTGCTTGATGAAAGATAGTGACAGTCTGATATTGAGCAATTGCCTTTAGTTAATAATGGGTTTATAAAACCAAAGATGCTCACTAAGTTCGGAAAAATTTTAAAGGGATCACTTAAATTGTTGTTAGTGTGTGCCTGTTGAAAATTCAGCTGACCTGTAATTTTCTGGCCTAGTGTCTGCACTGCTTGGGGAGGAAGATGAAGAGGCACTGCATTATTTGACCAGAGTTGAAGTGACAGAATTTGAAGATATTAAATCAGGTTACAGAATAGATTTTGTAAGTATCTCTAACTTAATCTTGTTTGCCACTGTGGAAATTAATGTGAGCTTTGGTTGGAAGACCTGTTCATATTTCTAATCTTTCAATTATTTATTACAGTATTTTGATGAAAATCCTTACTTTGAAAATAAAGTTCTCTCCAAAGAATTTCATCTGAATGAGAGTGGTGATCCATCTTCGAAGTCCACCGAAATCAAATGGAAATCTGGAAAGGTATGTTTTGAGGAATTATTTGACAAAAATAGCATTTTGCCTATTTCAGTTTAGTTTTAACCACTTACAAGTGCTTGATACTTTGGTCATGTGGCTAAATACAAAACCTTAAAATATAAAACGTTCCAGTGTGCTGAAGCCAAGTATTACAGTAGTTTAGGGTTCTCATTAGATACTACAGATGTAGGCAGGAAGATCTCTTGAGCCTAGGAGTTTACCCTGGGCAACATAGACCCTTACCTTCCAAAAAACAAAAAAAAAGAGAAAAATCTAGCCCAAGTTTAAGAATTGAGAACTGGACTAAATTTTTTGTTGCTGTTGTTTTCTGCAGTGGTGACTGAGCTCTTCAAATGGCTTGCCATTTCTCAAAATCATTTACATCCGTATTTAGGTAGTAAGACATAGTTTAGATATTTATACTGTGTTGTGCTAGTGGCTGTTAACAGTGGAACTAATTTTATGGAAAACCAAATGTAGTTGATACTACCTCTACCTGCTGCACAGTTTTATAATTGCTCTTAGGTAATAATGGTAGCGTAGATAGTATACTGATATTTGTTTTGCTTAGCTTTTGGGGAAAATCTTATTTTTTAAATTATAGGGAGTTTGGGTGTTATGGAGAGATTGTATCAAAAGCTCTTCCGGTATTCATTTAGGATTTGACGAAACGTTCGAGTCAAACGCAGAATAAAGCCAGCAGGAAGAGGCAGCATGAGGAACCAGAGAGCTTCTTTACCTGGTTTACTGACCATTCTGATGCAGGTGCTGATGAGTTAGGAGAGGTCATCAAAGATGATATTTGGCCAAACCCATTACAGTACTACTTGGTGAGTTCTAATACTCATTTATTCAAGGTTGGACTTGTCTCGGTTGTTTAAAAATGAGTCCTTATATTGTGCTTTTTTTTTTTTAAGGTTCCCGATATGGATGATGAAGAAGGAGAAGGAGAAGAAGATGATGATGATGATGAAGAGGAGGAAGGATTAGAAGATATTGACGAAGAAGGGGATGAGGATGAAGGTGAAGAAGATGAAGATGATGATGAAGGGGAGGAAGGAGAGGTAAAAGAAAATTTGGCTAAACCCACAAAGATAACTTTTAAAGAATTCATGTTATTTTGGGGTGTATATATATATATATAGTGTGGTAGAACTGACCAGAACTGATTGTGGAAAAAAAGTAAGCCATTTTGTTGTTCAAGAATTAAGGAAATGTTTGATAAGCACATGGTACTAATGTTTAACTAGGTTTTTTTTGGTTTTTTTTTGGGTTTTTTTGGTTAGACTTATCACCACCCAAGCTTGTTTTTCCCTAGCCAGTACTTAGGCAATATAGGCAGTGTAGCTGGTCAAATTCTGACATCTCTGAAATAACAAAGTTTCATGTATTTTCGACAAACTGCACAATTTCTGAATAGTCAAATTAGGATAGGTTGGTTTTATTTCGGATTATTTGATCCGAAATATACCTGATTTGGTTAGAACTGAAGTTACTAATTAATCTGAAGCAACATCATCACGGGTGTTTCCTTCGATGCAGCTGACTTACAGGTTTAGAAACTGGAGTGCCCCCAGGGGCACTCGTGGGGTCCATTGTGGTCCATATGAAAGCAAGTCTCAGCATTAATCCTGAAGATTAACTGCCCACTTTTTCTTTCAGGAGGATGAAGGAGAAGATGACTAAATAGAACACTGATGGATTCCAACCTTCCTTTTTTTAAATTTTCTCCAGTCCCTGGGAGCAAGTTGCAGTCTTTTTTTTTTTTTTTTTTTTTTTTCCCTCTTGTGCTCAGTCGCCCTGTTCTTGAGGTCTCTTTTCTCTACTCCATGGTTCTCAATTTATTTGGGGGGAAATACCTTGAGCAGAATACAATGGGAAAAGAGTCTCTACCCCTTTCTGTTCGAAGTTCATTTTTATCCCTTCCTGTCTGAACAAAAACTGTATGGAATCAACACCACCGAGCTCTGTGGGAAAAAAGAAAAACCTGCTCCCTTCGCTCTGCTGGAAGCTGGAGGGTGCTAGGCCCCTGTGTAGTAGTGCATAGAATTCTAGCTTTTTTCCTCCTTTCTCTGTATATTGGGCTCAGAGAGTACACTGTGTCTCTATGTGAATATGGACAGTTAGCATTTACCAACATGTATCTGTCTACTTTCTCTTGTTTAAAAAAAGAAAAAAAAACTTAAAAAAATGGGGTTATAGAAGGTCAGCAAAGGGTGGGTTTGAGATGTTTGGGTGGGTTAAGTGGGCATTTTGACAACATGGCTTCTCCTTTGGCATGTTTAATTGTGATATTTGACAGACATCCTTGCAGTTTAAGATGACACTTTTAAAATAAATTCTCTCCTAATGATGACTTGAGCCCTGCCACTCAATGGGAGAATCAGCAGAACCTGTAGGATCTTATTTGGAATTGACATTCTCTATTGTAATTTTGTTCCTGTTTATTTTTAAATTTTCTTTTTGTTTCACTGGAAAGGAAAGATGATGCTCAGTTTTAAACGTTAAAAGTGTACAAGTTGCTTTGTTACAATAAAACTAAATGTGTACACAAAGGATTTGATGCTTTTCTCTCAGCATAGGTATGCTTACTATGACCTTCCAAGTTTGACTTGTATAACATCACTGTCAAACTTTGTCACCCTAACTTCGTATTTTTTGATACGCACTTTGCAGGATGACCTCAGGGCTATGTGGATTGAGTAATGGGATTTGAATCAATGTATTAATATCTCCATAGCTGGGAAACGTGGGTTCAATTTGCCATTGGTTTCTGAAAGTATTCACATCATTTGGGATACCAGATAGCTCAATACTCTCTGAGTACATTGTGCCCTTGATTTTTATCTCCAAGTGGCAGTTTTTAAAATTGGCCTTTTACCTGGATATAAATTAATTGTGCCTGCCACCACCATCCAACAGACCTGGTGCTCTAATGCCAAGTTATACACGGGACAGTTGCTGGCATGTCTTCATTGGCTATATAAAATGTGGCCAAGAAGATAGGCTCTCAGTAAGAAGTCTGATGGTGAGCAGTAACTGTCCCTGCTTTCTGGTATAAAGCTCTCAAATGTGACCATGTGAATCTGGGTGGGATAATGGACTCAGCTCTGTCTGCTCAATGCCATTGTGCAGAGAAGCACCCTAATGCATAAGCTTTTTAATGCTGTAAAATATAGTCGCTGAAATTAAATGCCACTTTTTCAGAGGTGAATTAATGGACAGTCTGGTGAACTTCAAAAGCTTTTTGATGTATAAAACTTGATAAATGGAACTATTCCATCAATAGGCAAAAGTGTAACAACCTATCTAGATGGATAGTATGTAATTTCTGCACAGGTCTCTGTTTAGTAAATACATCACTGTATACCGATCAGGAATCTTGCTCCAATAAAGGAACATAAAGATTTTTTTTGGACTGGGGTCATTCTCCTTGTTTTATAGAGAAATGTTACTTGCTATTGGATTCAGAAATTGTTCTAGTTTTTTGTCTTCACATCGTTAGTGACTGGGGAAGCGTGGGTTAGCGCTAATGGTATGACATTGGTTTAGAAAGCTTTGAGCTGGTCGGTGTCCGAGTAAAGGACAAATTCAAATATCTTACTTGGATACAGTTTCTGAGTAAACAGTTTCTGAGAGGGTGAGTATAGCATTTTCATTCTGAAGTCTCAAAAGGACTTTTCACTAGGAAGAAAATTGAGTACAGTGGGTCCTGTTATCTGCAGCTTCAGCTACATGTGGTCAACTACAATTCAGATACTTTGAGACTACATTCACACCTATACTGTATGTTAAATGTGTGAATGTATAGTTATAGTATACAATAGTCAAAATTATCCTATACCGTTAATCTCTTACTGTGCTTAATTTGGAAATTAAGTTTTATAGGCAGGTACAGGAAAAATTGTATGGGGCTTGATACTCCTGTGGTTTCAGGCAGCCACTGGGGCATCTTAGAATGTATCTCCTTTGGATAAGTGGGGCTACTGTAGTCATTTGAATCAATATCCACAAGCCTGTGATAACTTTCTCACAAACTTAACAGTGAAACTTAGCACAACTAGTGGTTTTACATGCTGGTGAGCGTCTAGGGCTGTCAGGTTATAGGTCACAATAACGTTTATTTTCGGGAATGTAAAAAATCGGGAGCCCTTTAAGGTAGTAGTAGTTCACTCAACTATTGTGATCTCCTGAGGTGCCACTAATATCTGCAAATCTTGTAAGAGAACTAGGCTGTGAGAAAACAAAATGGCAACCTTACTGTACCAAAAACTTCCATACACAGTAGCCAGCATGCCTTGTGTCCAACTGCAAGACAAGTTCTTGGGCTGGTCTTTAGTGTGTATTGGAATGGGCTCAGCTCCTTTTCTCAAGGACATTTGAAAATAGAAAATAGAAGTTGGGCACAGTGGCGCATACCTGTAATTGCAGTACTTTGGGAGGCCCAGGCTGAAGGATCGTGTAAGTCCAGGAGCTCTAGGCCAACCTGGATGACAGGGACATCCCAACACTACCATTAAAAAACAAACAAACAAAAAAACAGGTGTGGTGGCGCTAGGCTAATCCTAGCTACTTGAGAGGCTGGGGCAGGATTGCCTTAGCCCAGGAGTTTTGAGGCTGCACTGAGCTATGAGTTTGCCACCGTGCTTCAGCCTGGGCCACAGAGCAAGAAGACCCTGTTCAAAACAAGACAAGAGTAATAATGGCTGTTTAGGAAGGGGCTGTGTTCCCAAGCTGTGCTGTATTTGGTTTATGAGGGGTATTTAATAACTGCATGAATTAGGATGGAGGGCAGTAGCTTGCAAGATGTCCTTACATCTAGTTTCAAAACCTTAAGGAATATTCTGCTTTAGACCATCTCGGTTTTTGTTTCTCCAGTGATTTCATTTTATTTGTTTTTGAGACAGAGGTATCACTCTGTCGCCTAGGCTGGAGTGCAGTGGCACGATCTCAGCTCACTGCAACCTCCACTTAGCAGGTTCAAGCCATTCTTCTGCCTCAGCCTCCTGAATAGCTGGGATTACAGGCACGTATCACCATACCCAGCTAGTTTTCATATTTTAGTAGAGATGGGGTTTCATCGTGTTGGTCAGGCGGGTCTCAAACTCGCGACCTCACGTGATCTGCCCGCCTGGGCCTCCCAAAGTTCTGGGATTACAGGCGTGAGTCACAGTGCCCGGCCAGTCACAAGTTTACTCCTTTTTTTTTTTTTTTTTTTTTTTTTGAGACGGAGTCTGGCTCCGTTGCCCAGGCTGGAATGCAGTGGCATGATCTCTGCTCACTGCAAGCTCCACCTCCCGGGTTCACACCATTCTCCTGCCTCAGCCTCCCGAGTAGCTGGGACGACATGCACTGGCCACCACACTCGGCTAATTTTTTGTATTTTTAGTAGAGACGGGGTTTCACCTTGTTAACCAGGATGGTCTTGATCTCCTGACCTCATGATCCACCCATCTTGGCCTCCCAAAGTGCTGGGATTACAGGCGTGAGCCACCGCGCCCAGCACAAGTTTACTTTTTAATAGGCCTGAGGCAAAGGGCTGCAGAATAGCAAGGACTTTTAAAGTGGAGGGTATAGACCAACTGTAGTTGGTGACATTGTGTGCTCAGATTCTACCCAGAGACAAACCGAAATAAAAATGGACTGGTTGTAGGGCCAGGCGCGGTGGCTCACGCCTGTAATCCCAGCACTTTGGGAGGCTGAGTGGGTGTTCACAAGGTCAGGAGTTCGAGACCAGCCTGGCCAACATGGGGAAACCCCATCTCTACTAAAAATACAAAAATTAGCCAGGCATGGTGGTGGGCGCCTGTAATCCCAGCTACTTGGGAGACTGAGGCAGGAGAATTGTTTGAACCCAGGAGGCGGAGGTTGCAGTGAACTGAGATCGTGCCACTGCACTCCAGCCTGGGCGACAGAGTGCGATGGCGTCTCAGAAAAAACAAAAATTGGTTGCAACACCAAGAAGGAAAAAATTGTATTCATGGAAGGGGGAAAATGTTTCCTCATGCAGCCTGTTGACAAGTTTTAGGTTCCTTTCAGTTGAGTTATAGTCTTTTTTTTTTTTTTTTTTTTGAGATGGAGTTCTGCCCTTTTTACCCAGGCTGTAGTGCAATGGCGCGATCTCAGCTCACCTCAATCTCCACCTCCCGGTTTCAAGCGATTCTCCTGCCTCAGCCTCCTGAGTAGCTGGGATTACAGGCATGCGCCACCACCCCGGCTAATTTTGTATTTTTAGTAGAGACGGGCTTTGTCCATGTTGGTCAGGCTGGTCTTGAACTCCCGACCTTACGTGATCCGCCCGCCTCGGCCTCTCAAAGTGTTGGGATTACAGGCGAGCCGCCGCGCCCAGTGAGTTATAGTCTTTTAAAGGCCAACTGGCTAGAGAGTTGGTTTGCACTATTCACGGTCCACTAAATGCTGAACACGAATTTCCTAAGAATTCCAGTCTTATGAAGTGTTATCACTATCAGAAGTAAGGTGCAACTACCTGGTCAGACTCATCCAGCAGTCCAGGACTTGGCTTCCCTGTGTAAGGTGGTGAAAAACACTCCCCAGGTCGGGCGCGGCAGCCACACCTGTAATCCCAGCACTTTGGTAGGCTGAGGCAGGTGCATCACGTGAGGTCAGGAGTTCGAGACTGGCCTGGCCAACATGGTGAAACCCCATCTCTACTAAAAATATAAAAAATTAGCCAGGTGTGCCGAGCGCGGTGGCTCCCGCCTGTAATCCCAGCACTTTGAGAGGCCGAGGCGAGCAGATCACAAGGTCAGAAGATCGAGACCATCCTGGCTAACACAGTGAAACCCCGTCTCTACTAAAAATACAAAAATTAGCCGGGCGTGGTGGTGGGCGCCTGTAGTCCCAGCTACTCGGGAGGCTGAGGCAGGAGAATGGCGTGAACCCTGGAGGCGGAGCTTGCAGTGAGCCGAGATCAGCCACTACACTCTAGCCTGGGCGAAAGTGCGAGACTCCGTCTCAAAGAAAAAAAAAAAAAAAAAAAAATTAGCCAGGTGTGGTGGCATGTGCCTGTAGTCCCAGCTACTCAGGAGGCTGAGGCATGAGAATCACTTGGACCCGGGAGGTGGAGGTTGCAGTGAGCCAAAATTGAGCCACTGCACTCCAGCCTGGGTGACAGAGCAAGACTCTCTCAAAAAAACAAAAAACAAAGCCACTTTCCAACCAAACTTGGAAAACCATCGAATTCAGCTTCCTGCCTGCAGTGAGTGGATAAATGAGCCGGGAGTTGAGATGTGAGCACCCTCCTATGGAGAGTTATCTCAGATTACTCTTGGCTTCCAGAAGTAACATTTAGCCATCAAGGCAAATACACATTTTAAAGTGTTAATTAGCTGGCTGGACTGATTGCACCACTGGAGAATTCCTAAAAGGTGGGGAAGGCTTGTTAGTTTGATTCCTGGGTTTTTGATGAGCTGCAGTGAGAAGCTGAGGACTTTTTTACTTCTTTATTTTACTTTTTTAAGAGATGGTGTCTCACTATGTTGGCCAGGTTGGTCTTGAACTCTTAGGCCTCAAGCAATCCTCCTGCCTCATCAGCCTCCCAGAGTTCTAGGATTACAGGCATGAGCCACTGGGCTTGGTCAGCCTTTTTGCTTCTAAATGATGGATAATAACGTTCATTTAACCTCCATTTTATTTTATTTTTATTTATTTATTTTTCTTGAGACAGAATCTTGCTCTGTTGCCCAGGCTGGAGTGTAGTGGCGTGATCTTAGCTCGCTGCAACCTCTGCCTCCCAGATTCAGGTGATTTGCCTGCCTCAGCCTCCCGAGTAGCTGGGACTACAGGCGTGCGCTACCACGCCCAGCTAGTTTTTCTAATTTTTTATTTTATGTATTTTTTTGAGATGCAGTTTTGCTCTTGTCATCTAGGCTGGAGTGTAGTGGCGAGATTGGCTTACTGCAACCTCCACTTCCCAGGTTCAAGTGATTCTCCAGCCTCAGCCTCCCTAGTAGCTGGGATTACAGGCACCCACCACCATGCCCAGCTAATATTTTTTTTTTGTAGTTTTAGTAGAGACGGGGTTTCACCATGTTGGCCAGGCTGGTCTCGAACTCCTGACCTTGTGATCCGCCTGCCTCGGCCTCCCAAAGTGCTAGGATTACAGGCGTGAGCCACCGCGCCCAGCTGCCTTTTTAATTTTTTTTTAGCAGAGACGGGATTTCACCATGTTGGCCAGGCTGGTCTTGAACTCCTGACCTTAAGTGATCTGCCCTCCTCAGCCTCCCAAAGTGCTGGGATTACAGGCATGAGCCACCATGCCCAGCCAACCCCCATGTCAAAGAACCTACTATGTGCCAGGTGCTTCTGCTAATGTCTAGACCTCAACAACTCTAATGTGTAAATGTCACATTTCGCCTCTGATTATGAAATCTGGGCATGTTTCACAGAGCCAAGTTGCCTTTGCTTATATGTCAATGCCACTTGGGTGATTTCCCATAGCAGGACAACCCAGTGTTGTCCATGGCTCACCAATTTCACTTTTTTCCAGTCCATTATGAAGGAAGTGATTAGTGCAAAGCACAACATGTGGCTTCCTTCATTCAGTAAGAGCACCAGAGCCTGTCTGTTCCAAGTCACTGTCGGTATTTGACCCTTCATCACCTTCCCACCTCCTGGAGGACGCTCCTCCACGAAGTGCTGACACAACCTCCTGTAAACGCAGGATGCCAGGACGGGCTGAATGGCCCGCCATAGACTAGGCAGTGACCAGCACACCTCCCTTGGGCTGAAATAGTGGCGGCTATTTCACCAGGTGTAAATGGCTTTTCTCCCGTGTGGATGGATGGGCTTTTTAGGGTAAAGCCCTAAAAAGTGGCACGGGCTGAACCAGCAAGCTCAGTCTGAGTAAGAGATGGGCCGGAGAGAGGTCTGGTTCATTCATCTGTAATTTGTAATTTATCATAATTTTGGGTGAGGATTTACTTTTCCACAAGTATACGTTCTTTTTTTTTTTTTTTTTTTTTTTTTGAGATGGAGTCTCGCTCTGTCACCCAGGTTGGAGGGCAGTGGCAGGATCTCGGCTCACTGCAACCTCCGCCTACTGGGTACAAGTGATTCTCCCACCTCAGCCTCCTGAGTAGCTGGGATTACAGGCGCCCGCCACCACGACCGGCTAATTTTTGTATTTTTAGTAGAGACGGGGGTTTCACCATGTTGGCCAGGCTGGTCTCGAACTCCTGACCTCGTGATCCGTCCACCTCTGCCTCCCAAACTGCTGGGATTACAGGCGTGAGCCACCGCACCTGGCCTAGTATACATTCTTGTAGTGACTAATATCTAGTCTGGGCCAACCACTCCGAGGAGAGAGACAATTTTGGATTAGCCCACATTACACCAACAACGTGCGAGACAAAGAGAGACTTGAGGGGCTTGGTCGAGGAGGCCCAGCGCGTTAGAGGCGGGAGCCAGGTTGTAGAGGGGCTCAAAGTTAGAGGAGGCGGCCAGCTCCACCGGCTGCACCCGGCTGGGCGACCCGGCAACCTTCAGGGGGCGCTGTTTCCCCCATCCCTGTCCCTAACTGGCCGGCTCCCGCGGGCGCGCGGCGGGGAAGGCCAGAGGACCTGGGCGCGGGCGATGTGCCTCCTGAGCGTCCAAACCGGGGGTGAGGCGCGGTCACGCCCAGCGGGAACCGCAGGCGCCGAAGCCCGGGTACTGGGCCCAGAATCCCGCGGAATTTTGGATCCGAGGGAGGCGCTGGGGCGCGGGACCTCGGGCGTGGGGTCCCGGGCGCTGGATCGGCGCGGACGGGAGGCGGCGCTGGTCCCGCGGGCCAGCGGGTCTCGGGAGGGGGCGCCCGATCCCGCGTCTCCGGCGCCGCTTCCCGGGAAGTTTCAAGTTTGAAAGTCCTGGCGGAGGGTCTGCGGCTTCCGGGACCGGAGTGGCTGAGAGAAGGGCCCCAAGCGGCCGGAGCGGCGCCATGGAGGAGGGGGCGCCGCGGCAGGTGAACGGCGTGGGAGGGGCGCGCGGGCCCGGGGGGTGCGAGAAAGCCTCTGTCATCGCCCCGGAGCCCCGAACCGCGGCCGCTTCCCCCGATCCTCCCCTCACCCGCGCCCCTTCCCTGCCCCTGCCCTGGCCCCGGCCCCGCGACGCCCTCGCAGAGCAGACCTGATCTCCGGGTTCGGTGGTTCCTGGACCTTGCACAGTCTCCAAATCAGTCCGCGGCTGACCCGGAGACTGAACCCCAACCAGCCCGTGAGCGAGGACGGCTGAGTCCGCAGTGTGCGCCACCAGGGTGGTCCCCAGAGTGTCCTTAAGTCGGTTCTCCTCGGTGGGGCTCCAAGGCCGACGGGAATTAGCCGGGATAGAAAGGCGGGGCACAGGGGCCTGGGGGGGTTAGAATGTGCGCGCAGCGGGGGGCGCAGTCTGTGCGCGCTTGGCAGTGGCAGGAGTCCTTCCCGGAGCACAGGAGGCACGAGGGGAGCGTAGATGAGAGGGGAGCGGCCTCCCCCGCCCCAGGGCGGGAACCTTTGGGTACATAGCGGGTTCTAGAATGCGGAGGGGGCTGGGTTTCCTGCCAGAGCTGGCAGTAGGTGCGCGTGGGCCCGGAGGACCGAGGCCATGTCTATCTGCTCCTGAGGAGGGAGAGGTGGTGTCCTGTTCCGGAGCGAGTGGTTGGGAGGGGGGCATTTGCGGACAGGAGTGGGTCCCCGCAAAGAGCGGAAAGGAGGTGGTGTGTGTGTCCATGTTGGAGTTCCAACCCAGGGCAGACGGGACCATGGGGGTGTTGCGGGGTGCGTGTAGACTCCTTGAGCGCCCAAGCCAGTCGTTTAGGCCGCCTTCAGGGCTGGGGCTCGGTCTGCCCCCTCCCACCCCCTTCCTCTGGAGGTCCCTCCGCCTGTTCCAGACGTAGCTTGTACACATTTTCCGATTTCCTGCGGGGCTCCGCCCTGCAGCGGCAGCTGGGTGACTCAGGACCCCGGTGGCCGGGCCCCCAGCTCCATGGGACCTTTGTTTGCTCCGGTCTTTGGCTCTGGCCCTGTGGCCTAGGGCGGTCAGAGGATTTCCTGAGCCTCGCCCTTGCCCTCTGACAGCTGGGCCAGCAGGCCCCGCTGAGGTCTGGGGTGGGGGGGTCCCTGAGTCTGGGGTTGCGGCCCCTTCCACTGGGCTCAGGAGAAGATGGAACACAGAGAGGTAAGATGGGGTTCCTGCAACAGCCCGTGTTGCGGGGCATCATGGGTTACCCGGCCTGAGGTCACCTTTGGCACCGGTTGGTTTGAAATGCTGGCGGCTGGAAAGGAGGTGTTCCTGTTCCTGGCTCCAACCTGGGTGAAGCCGTGAGAGAGCCTTCTACTTCCTCCCGGGAGCTGAGCAGGGAGTGGGCACCCGGAGACCTCCCCAGTTCCTCTCTGTGCCTCTGCTTTGCTACCTGTGGCATTGGGACATCAGGGGAACAAGCCCTGGCTCCCAGGCCCCTGGCTGCCTTCTCATGTGGCTTCGTGTGAACCCCTATTCGGCGTAGCTTTTGTGGCTCCTGGACTCTACTTTGGGTCCCAGATGTAGAGAGAGCAGCCTGATTACCCAGGGCTGCCAGGGACAGCTGGGGCCCGAGAGATGGTGGCCCCTCCTCTGTGTCTTGACTGTGGGCAAGTTACTTCACCTCTCTGGGCCTCAGTTTCCTCACTAGAAAATAGGGGTAATAGTACAGGCGTGGTGGCTCACACCTGTAATCCCAGCACTTTGGGAGGCCAAGGCAGGTGGATCACCTGAGGTCAGGATTCAAGACCAGCCTGACGAACATGGAGAAACCCCGTCCCTACTAAAAATACAAAATTAGCCGGGCTTAGTGGCGTGTGCCTGTAATCCCAGCTACTCAGGAGGCTGGGGCAGGAGAATCGCTTGAACCCGGGAGGCAGAGGTTGTGGTGAACCGAGATCGTGCCATGGCACTCCAGCCTGGGCAACAAGAGCAAAACTGTCTCAAAAAAAAAAAAAAGAAAAAGAAAAAGAAAAAAGAAAATGGGGGTAATGACCACCGCTACCGGGTGGGGTGGCTGGGAGGAGTGATGTGGTAATATATGCAAAGCACTTAGAATAGAACCTGGCACCCATTTACCGTGTGAACTGTCCCCCCCGCCACATCCTTCTCTAACGGGCGGAGGACAGGAGCCTGGCCTAGATGAGTGGCCTCGGAGTTTCCATCTGGCTCAGGCCTGAGCTCTAAGGGGAGAGAGGCTTCCAAAACCCTGTGCGAGTCAGTCCTGGGTGCCGTCCCTTCCTTCGCCTCCATCTGCAGTGAGCAAAGGCTGCTGGTGGCCGCTGCACCCCATGGCTGTTCTCCACCCTCTGCTTTCCACCGGCTCTGCAGCCTGGGCCGAGCCAGTGGCCCCCAGAGGATGAGAAGGAGGTGATCCGCCGGGCCATCCAGAAAGAGCTGAAGATCAAGGAGGGGGTGGAGAACCTGCGGCGCGTGGCCACAGACCGCCGCCACTTGGGCCATGTGCAGCAGCTGCTGCGGTCCTCCAACCGCCGCCTGGAGCAGCTGCATGGCGAGCTGCGGGAGCTGCACGCCCGAATCCTGCTGCCCGGCCCTGGGCCTGGCCCAGCTGGTGAGTGAGGAGCTGAGACCCCCTCAGGACAGAAGGCTCTAGGCCCATCTGGCCCCTGGCCTTGGCCCTGGCCACTGTGGCGAGACCACCTCATTTCCTGCCTATAGATCAGTAGGGGAAGGAGGAAAGGCCACAGTGGGGGTCTCGGCTCTGGGTGAGGGACTCCTGTGCTCGATACCCCCGTGCACAGAGCCTGTGGCCTCAGGACCCCGGCCGTGGGCAGAGCAGCTCAGGGCTCGGCACCTAGAGGCTCTCCGGAGGCAGCTGCATGTGGAGCTGAAGGTGAAGCAGGGGGCTGAGAACATGACCCACACGTGCGCCAGTGGCACCCCCAAGGTAAGGCCCCACAGTCTGATGGCAGGAGCACCCTGGCCCCTGGTCTGACAGGGAAATGCACCTCAGCCATTGGGCTCATAAGGAGACACCATTCCAGCCTGCAGCCTGATGGGGAAAATACAGCCCCAAACCCCAGCTGGGTGAGGAAGGCATGGCTGTAGTCTCTAGTGTGACAGAGAAGGCCTTGCCCTGGTCTAATGGGATCCTAGCCCAGCCCCAGTCCCAACTCCCAGCATGATGTCCAGAACTGGGCCTCAGTCCTTGTCTGACAAGAAGACTTGGCTGTGGCCCTGATATGATGACGGAGGCAGGACCTTAGCCTTGATCTAATGGGGGAGGCTTAGCTTAGCCCCTGCCCTGATCTGATGGGGGAGGCTTATCCCCAGCCCTGATCTGATGGGAGAGGCTTAGCTTAGCCCCTGCCCTCATCTAATGGGGGAGGCTTAGCTTAGCCCCTGCCCTGATCTGATGGGGGAAGCATCAACCCTGCTCTGATGGGGGAGGCATGACCACAGCCCTGATCTGATGGGGGAGAGTTAGCCCCAGCCCTGATCTGATGGGGGAGAGTTAGCCCCAGCCCTGATCTGATGGGAGAGGCATGACCCCAGCCGTGATATGAAAGAGGAAATTTGACCCCAGCCCTTGTTGGTCAGATGGAAAAGGCTCCCCTGACCCACCAACTAGTCCAACAAGGGAGGCTTGACTTTAGTGTTTGGCCTAGAGGTTTCACTTTAACCCTGTTTTGATGGGGGAGACCCGGCTCCAGTTCCTGGTCTGATGGGGGAAGCTGTGGCCCAGGCCTGGTCTGATGGGCCTGTGCTATGGCTCCATAGGAGAGGAAGCTCCTGGCAGCTGCCCAGCAGATGCTGCGGGACAGCCAGCTGAAGGTGGCCCTGCTGCGGATGAAGATCAGCAGCCTGGAGGCCAGTGGGTCCCCGGAGCCAGGTGAGGCCTTGAGACACAGGGAGGGCGGAGCAGGGAAGAGCAGGGCCTGAGAGCCGCCGTCCTTCCCACAGGGCCTGAGCTGCTGGCGGAGGAGCTACAGCATCGACTGCACGTTGAGGCAGCTGTGGCTGAGGGCGCCAAGAACGTGGTGAAACTGCTTAGTAGCCGGAGAACACAGGACCGCAAGGCACTGGCTGAGGTCAGGCCCCAGCCCTGGCCCTCTCCTAAGGCTGGCTTGTTCCCATACCACCCTCAGCAGGGGTGTGAAGGGAGGGTGGCCGTGTAAAAGCAGGACTTCTCTGTTGAGACTTCATGCGGAAGGTGGCTCCGGGTGACCTGGGCTGCTGCCCCCTGCCATATACCCCACGAACCTGGCTCTACGTTGTCCCCTCTGCAGGCCCAGGCCCAGCTACAGGAGTCCTCTCAGAAACTGGACCTCCTGCGCCTGGCCTTGGAGCAGCTGCTGGAGCAACTGCCTCCTGCCCACCCTTTGCGCAGCAGAGTGACCCGAGAGTTGCGGGCTGCGGTGCCTGGATACCCCCAGCCTTCAGGGACACCTGTGAAGCCCACCGCCCTAACAGGTAGTCAGAAGTTCCTCCCCCTTCAAAGCTCTCCTTCTTTTTGGGGGGAGGCCGGAAGCACAAACAACTCTGATGAAGAGTTCAAGAGTTCCAGTCCTGCCCCAGCACCCACTAGCAGCGTGACCTTGGCAAACTGACATTCCTTCTTCAAACCTCAGTTTATCCATCTGTAAAATGTGGATGATATAGCACCTACCTCATAGGGTTGCTGTGTTGCACGTGATGTGCTAAGCACAGTGCCTAGCACAGTCAGCACTCGGACAGCGTAGCTTGTATTTACATAAATAACCAGAATAATGCTTAAAGCACTGGTGTTAGGAAGCTCGCAGCCCTGGAAAGCTTGATACCCAGCACTGGGCAGCTTGGACTGTTAGAAAGTTTTCTAGGCTGGGCGTGGTGGCTCACGCTGGTAATTCCAGCACTTTGGGAGGCTGAGGTGGGTGGATCATGAGGTCAGGAGTTCCAAGACCAGCCTGGCCAAGATGGTGAAACCCTGTCTCTACTACAAATACAAAAATTAGCCGGGCGTGGTGGCGGGTGCCTGTAATCCTGGTTGCTCAGGAAGCTGAGGCAGAGAATTGATTGAACCCCGGAGGCGGAGGTTGCAGTGAGCCGAGATCACGCCACTGCACTCCACCCTGGGCGACGGGGCAAGACGCCGTCGCAAAAAAAAAAAAAAAAAAGGTTTTCTTGGGCCAGGCATGGTGGCTCATGCCTGTAATCCCAGCACTTTGGAAGACTGAGGTGGGCGGATCACCTGAGGTCAGGAGTTCAAGACCAGCCTGGCCAACATGGTGAAATCCTGTCTCTACTAAAAATACAAAAAAGTAGCTGGATGTGGTGGCACATGCCTGTAGTCCCAGCCACTCGGGAGGCTAAGGCAGGAGAATTGCTTGAACCCAGGAGGTGAGGTTGCAGTGAGCTGAGATTGCGCCGCTGCACTTCAGCCTAGGTAACAGGGCAAGACTCCATCTCAAAAAATAATAATAATAATTTCCTTGGAAAAAAAATAATAAAATTAAACTAAAATTGCTGGGTGCAGTGGCTCACACCTATAATCCTGGCACTTTGAGAGGCTGAGGTGGGAAGATTGCTTGAGCTCAGGAGTTTTTTTGAGACCCAGTCTCAAAAAAAAAAGAAAAAAAGAAAGTTTTCTTGGCTGGGCACAGTGGCTCAAGCCTGTAATTCCAGCACTTTGGGAGGCTGAGGTGGACGAATCATTTGAGCCCAGGATTTCTAGACGAGCCTGGGCAACATAGTGAAACCTCATCTTTAGAAACAAAAAAAATTAGCCGGGCGTGGTGGCGCATGCCTGTAATCCCATCTACTGGGGAGGCTGAGGCAAGAGAATTGCTTGAACCTGGGAGGCAGAGGTTGCAGTAAGCCAAGATTGCACTGTTGCACTCCAGCGTGGGTGACACAGCAAAACTCTTTCAAGAAAAAAAAAAAAAGAAAGAGTTTTCTGGTCTGGCTCAGTGGCTCATGTTTATAATCCTAGCAGTTTAGGAGGGTGAGGCATGTGGATCACTTGAGTCCAGGAGTTTGAAACCAGCCTGGGCAACATGACAAAGCTCCATCTCTACAAAAAATACAAAAATCGCCGGGCGCGGTGGCTCACGCCTGTAATCCCAGCACTTTGGGAGGCCGAGGCGGGCGGATCACGAGGTCAGGAGATCGAGACCATCCTGGCTAACACGGTGAAACCCTGTCTCCACTAAAAATACAAAAAATTAACCGGGCGTGGTGGCGGGCGCCTGTAGTCCCAGCTACTCGGGAGGCTGAGGCAGGAGAATGGCGGGAACCCCGGGGGGCGGAGCCTACAGTGAGCCGAGATCGCACCACTGCACTCCAGCCTGGGCCACAGCGAGACTCTGTCTCAAAAAAAAATAAAAAAATAAAAAAATTAGCCAGGTATGATGGTACGTACCTGTAGTCCCAGCTACTTGGGAGGCTGAGGTGGGAGGATTGCTTGAGCCCAGGGAGGTTGAGGGTACAATGAGCCATGATCGCGCCACTGCACTCCAGCCTGGGCAACAGAGAGCCCGTCTCAAAAAAAAAAAATTAGGCTGGGCACGGCAGCTCATGCCTGTAATCTCAGCACTTTGGGAGGCCGAGGTGGGTGGATCACCTGAGGTCGGGAGTTCGAGAGCAGCCTGACAAAAATGGAGAAACCCCGTCTCTACTAAAAAATACAAAATTAGCCGGGCCTGGTGGTGCATGCCTATAATCCCAGCTACTCAGGAGGCTAAAGCAGGAGAATTGCTTGAACCCGGGAGGTGGAGGTTGCAGTGAGCCAAGATGGCACCATTGGAATCCAGCCTGGGCAACAAGAGCAAAACTCTGTCTCAAAAAAAAAAAAAATTTGCAAAAATTAGCTGGGTGTGGTGGCGGGCGCCTGTAGTCCCAGCTACTCGGGAGGCTGAGGTGGGAGAATGGCATGAACCTGGGAGGCGGAGCTTGCAGTGAGCTGAGATTGTGCCACTGCACTCCAGCCTGGGTGACAGAGTGAGACTCCAAACAGAGTGAGACTCCGAGCAGAGTGAGACTCTGAGCTCTGTCACCCAGGCTGGAGTGCAGTGGCGCGATCTCGGCTCACTGCAAGCTCCTCTTCCCGGATTCATGCCATTCTCCTGTCTCAGCCTCCCGAGTAGCTGGGACTACAGGTGCCCGCCACCACACCTGGCTAATTTTTTGTTTTTGTATTTTTAGTAGAGACAAGGTTTCACCGTGTTAGCCAGGATGGTCTCGATCGCCTGACCTTGTGATCTGCCGGCCTAGGCCTCCCAAAGTGCTGGGACAGGTGTGAGCCACCGCGCCCGGCCAAAAAAGTTAATTTTCTTATCTTGCACTGAGATCTGTCTCCTTGTAGCAGCAGCCAAATCATCATCAACAAATAATCTGAGAGCATGGGCTTTGAAGCTGTATCCCACCGAGATACAGTGAGAGCTGGAAAGGCCAGTGCCTGTCTCCACAGAGCACTGCTACAGGGCCGACTGACCCCATTCCATTGTGAGCAGAGCTGAGAAGAGGAAATGCAGGCTCTGGATGGAGCCCTCTCACCTGGCCTTGGGGAATCGAGGAATATTTTCTTTTCTTTTTTTTTTGAGATGGAGTCTCGCACTGTCGCCCAGACTGGAGTGCAGTGGTGCGATATCAGCTCACTGCAACCTCCGCCTCCTGGGTTCAAGCAATTCTCCTGCCTCAGCTTCCCGAGTAGCTGGGATTACAGGCCTGCACCACCATGCCTGGCTAATTTTTGTATTATTAGTAGAGACAGAGTTTTGCCATGTTGGCCAGGCTGGTCTCAAACTCCTGACCTCAGGTGATCCATCTGCCTTGGCCTCCCAAAGTGCTGGGATTACAGGCGTGAGCCAACCATGCCCGGCCCAAGGAATGTTTTCTAGAGGAGGTGGTGTCTTGGCCTTGAAGGACTTACACGGGAGTACTTATGGCCAAGTAGACAAGTTGAGGAACGCAGAAGAAACAGCTTGTTAAAAGGCCTAGAAGTCAACTACTCAAGGCCACCCCATATCCTGTCCCCTGGCTAAACACCCCAGATACTTGAGTTGTCCTTTTTTTTTTTTGAGATGGAGTTTTGCTCTTATTGCCCAGGCTGGAGTGCAGTGACACGATCTTATTGCCCAGACTGGAGTGCAGTGGCGCAATCTTGGCTCACTGCAACCTCCGCCTCCCGGGTTCAAGCAATTCTCCTGCCTCAGCCTCTTGAATAGCTGGGATTACAGGCATGTACCACCACACCTGGCGAATTTTTATATTTTCAGTAGAGATGGGATTTCTCCATGTTGGTCAGGCTGGTCTCGAACTTCCGACCTCAGGTGATTTGCCCGCCTTGGCCTCCCAAAGTGCTGGGATTACAGGCGTGAGCCACCTCGCCCCACCTCTTTTTTTTTTTTTTTTGGAGACAGAGTCTTGCTCTGTCGCCCAGGCCGGATTGCAGTGGTGTGATTTCGGCTCACTGCAAGCTCTGCCTCCCGGGTTCACGCCATTCTTCTGCCTCAGCCTCTCGAGTAGCTGGGACTAACTACAGGCGCCCGCCACTGCGCCCGGCTAATTTTTTGTATTTTTAGTAGAGACGAGGTTTCACCATGGTCTTGATCTCCTGACCTCGTGATCTGCCCACCTCGGCCTCCCAAAGTGCTGGGATTACAGGTGTGAGCCACCACGCCCGGCCTTTTTTTTGGGGGGGGTGGGGGACAGAGTCTTGCTTTGTCGCCCAGGCTGGAGTGCAGTGGCATAATCTTGACTCACTGCAACCTCCGCCTCCCAGGTTCAAGCGATTCTCCTGCCTCAGCCTCCCAAGTAGTTGGGATTACAGGCGCCCACCGCCATGCCCGGCTAATATTTGTATTTTTAGTAGAGACAGAGTTTCACCATGTTGGCCAGGCTGGTCTCGAACTCCCGACCTCAGGTGATCCACCTGCCTCAGCCTACCAAAGTGCTGGGATTACAGGTGTGAGCCACCACGCCCGGCCTCAAGTTTTTGTTTTGTTTGTTTTTTTTTGAGCTGGAGTCTTGCTCTGTCGCCCAGGCTGGAGTGCAATGGCACAATATTGGCTCACTGCAACCTCTGCCTCCCGGGTTCAAGTGATTCTCCTGCCTCAGCCTTCCGAGTAGCTGGGATTACAGGTGCCCACCATCATGCCCGGCTGGTTTTTGTATTTTTAGTTGGGATGGGGTTTCGCCATGTTGGTCAGGCTGGGCTTGAACTCCTGACCTCAGGTGATCTGCCTGCCTTGGTCTCCCAAAGTGTTGGGATTACAGGCATGAGCCACTGCGCCCGGCCGAGCTGTTCTTTCTAAGCTTCTCTTTCTACCCTGGACCCCTGCCTTTGTTTACAAGTTCTCTCTGTGTGTAACCCCCAGGCCCAGACTCTCCCTAAATGATACTCTTGGGCCTGCTTCGTGTCCTCAAAAGCTGCTAGATCCCCACTGCTTTCTCTACCCTTTGAGGGACAACCCTCTAGTGACGTGACACATGAACTTACTCCGTTGACAAAACACGTTTCATATCCATTGGGAGAGGTGGGGCAGAGCTGGGACTCACCTCCACTGTTCAGATGGGGAAACTGAGGCCCAGGGAGCAGGTGGGTCCGGACAGGAAGCCAGGCTTCCTGCTCCCTGTCCCAAGCTCTTATCCTTGCCACAGTGCTCTCTAGGCCCCACTTCTAGGCAGCATCTCGTCATGTGCTGTGGCTCTGTGCAGCCTGGCTAAGGTCTGAGGTCTGAGCCTATGTCCCTGCCGCTCCAGCATGTGGAGGGGAGAGCCAGTTGCTCTGCCCTGGAAAGAGGTGGCTGCCACAGAGAAGTGTGCATTCTGGGACAACGTGGCTCCTCACCTGGGAGTGTCCAGGTCGGAGGCCTCCTAGGGTGTCATCGGGGTCCAAGGGTACCCTTTGGGGGGCTCATGGTGCTTGGGAGCTGCAGGACAGTCAGCAGGCTCCAGTCTAGGCACTCTAGGCCGCCACACTGAGTGAGGTTCCTCAGGTAACTGCCCTGGCCTCAGGTGGGTACGGTCTGGGTTCAGCCACCTCCTGGAGAGGGTGGCCTTCCTGGGGTCCCAGGACACCTTGGTGGTAGCAGTGGGAAGATGGCATCTGACAACGCCCCCCGCTCACTCTCCCCACAGGGACACTGCAGGTCCGCCTCCTGGGCTGTGAACAGTTGCTGACAGCCGTGCCTGGGCGCTCCCCAGCGGCCGCACTGGCCAGCAGCCCCTCCGAGGGCTGGCTTCGGACCAAGGCCAAGCACCAGCGTGGCCGAGGCGAGCTTGCCAGTGAGTAGGGAAGGAGCTTCAGGGGGAGCAGGAGACCCCTGCTTCAGGCCTGCCCTGAGTCCCGGCTCTGGCCCTGCAGGCGAGGTGCTGGCTGTGCTAAAGGTGGACAACCGTGTTGTGGGGCAGACGGGCTGGGGGCAGGTGGCCGAACAGTCCTGGGACCAGACCTTTGTCATCCCACTGGAGCGAGTAAGGCTGGCCTTTGTGTGGTCAGGGGTGACCTTGGGCTGCGGGGTGGAAGGCTGCCCAGGTCGGGGCTCGTTCTGCACCCCACCCTTCAGCCTGGCCTCCCCAATACAGGCCCGTGAGCTGGAGATTGGGGTACACTGGCGGGACTGGCGGCAGCTATGTGGCGTGGCCTTCCTGAGACTTGAGGACTTCCTGGACAATGCCTGTCACCAACTGTCCCTCAGCCTGGTACCGCAGGGACTGCTTTTTGCCCAGGTGCTCACCACCTCCGCCCTCTGACTTGGTGGGACCCTGGGGCGTCAGGGCCAGGAAGGCCTTCAAGACCGATGCACTGCGTGTAGGTGCAGAGACTGACGACCAGAGAGGAGGGCTCCAGGAATAAGGGCTCCTAGCCGCTCTCTCAGGGCTGCATCTGGAGGCCTGGGTCCTTGTCCTGACTGCCCTGCCTCAGGTGTGACCCTGGAAAAGTGCCTCTCCTCCCTGGGCCTCTGTTTCTCCACTAGTATCAATGAGGACATTGAATCTGTTTCTCTGGGTCTTTCTGGCTCTTGCATCTGTTGACCCTGGGGGCTTGGGCTGTAATCCCAGGGGCAGAGGAGGTGCCATGGCAGATGAGATGGGAGGCGACTGGTCCACAACCCTGCCCCTACCCCTGCAGGTGACCTTCTGCGATCCTGTCATTGAGAGGCGGCCCCGGCTGCAGAGGCAGGAACGCATCTTCTCTAAACGCAGAGGTGTGGAGGGAATGGGGGCTATGTGTGAGGGAGCAGGGCTGGGGTCCCGGGACTAAGCTCCCCCTTTTCTCCCAGGCCAGGACTTCCTGAGGGCTTCGCAGATGAACCTCGGCATGGCGGCCTGGGGGCGCCTCGTCATGAACCTGCTGCCCCCCTGCAGCTCCCCGAGCACAATCAGCCCCCCTAAAGGATGCCCTCGGACCCCAACAACACTGCGAGAGGCCTCTGACCCTGCCACTCCCAGGTGAGGAGCTCCCTTGCCCTAGACTGCATGCTCCTCTGTGGCGGCTTCCTGACTCCAGATCCAGGCGGTATCTGTCTGTCTGTCTGCATTGCTCAGCCCGCTAACCCTCTGTCCATCTCACTTTGGGTTGGTGTGTCCATCCTGCCAGCTCTTGCGTCTGCCTGTGCTGGGCACTGTGTCTACTTTCTCCCTACAGTAATTTCCTGCCCAAGAAGACCCCCTTGGGTGAAGAGATGACACCCCCACCCAAGCCCCCACGCCTCTACCTCCCCCAGGAGCCAACATCCGAGGAGACTCCGGTGAGGGGCTGGAGGGACTAGTGGCTCCTAGGGCCGGCTGGGGCTGGCAGGGCCACCCAGCTGTGGGGTGGCAGGCCTGAAGGGAAAGAGAGAAGGAAGCCCAGCCCTGCCCTGAGCTCCTCTATACTCACAGCGCACCAAACGTCCCCATATGGAGCCTAGGACTCGACGTGGGCCATCTCCACCAGCCTCCCCCACCAGGTACCCCATCCTGCGCACCTTCATGTTTGAGACGTTCGTCTGCTTGCTTGAACATTTGTGTATCCATTCATACATTACTCCCTGGCTCCCTGGCGGGTGCGCTGACTGGCTCTCGGGGTCTGATTTACTAAACCCACATTATTGAGCTCCAGCTCTATGCCGGCTTCTAGGAGTCCTTACTGCAGGGCTTTTTCGAGCCCATAGGTCGGGACAGCCCAGGACTGGGCATGGGAGGCTTGGAGTGGCTCTGGGTAGGGGCCCAGCCAGTGCCCTAGGGGACTTCATATACCCTCTCTTCCTTTGCAGGAAACCCCCTCGGCTTCAGGACTTCCGCTGCTTAGCTGTGCTGGGCCGGGGACACTTTGGGAAGGTAGTGGGCTGAAGAGGGTGGTATGGGACGGGATTGGGGGCCTCATCACATGAGCCGGGAGGACCTGATCTGTGGGGGCGGTAAAGGCTCCCTGGTCTGGCCCACCTGGAGCACAACCTCTCTCTGGCCCCAGGTCCTCCTGGTCCAGTTCAAGGGGACAGGGAAATACTACGCCATCAAAGCACTGAAGAAGCAGGAGGTGCTCAGCCGGGACGAGATAGAGAGGTGTGTGGGGGTGCCGCAGGGCACCCAGGATGGCTGGCCTGGGCTGTGGCATCCAGAGGGCAGTTGAAGGTTCCTGGGGCTTTGGAGAGGTGACCCCGTGGGGCCAGCCAGCCTGCATTCTCTTTTGGCACCTGCAGTTGTTAACTGTGTTTCCTTGGGCAGGTCCCCTCTTCTCTCTGTCAGTTTGCTCTACTGTAAAATGGGGGCATTGGTGGCTGTGCACGTTCAGAGCTCCTTGTGAGCCCCTGACATATAGAAACCATCACTCTATGGCCAGGCGTGGTAACTCATGCATGTAACCCCAGCACTTTGGGAGGCCAAGGCAGGCGGATCACTTGAGTCCAGGAGTTCAAGACCAATCTGAATCACATGGTGAAACCCCATCTATAAAAAATAGCCAGACATGGTGGCATGTGCCTTTAGTCCCAGCTACTTGGGAGGGTGAGGTGAGAGGATTGCTTAAGCCCAGGAGGTAGAGGTTATAGTTAGCAGAGATCTCCAGCCTGGGCAACAGAATGAGACCTCATCTAAAAAAACTAATTAAAAAAAAAAAAAGGAGGGGGAGGCTGGGCACAGTGGCTCATGCCTGTAATCCCAGCACTTCAGGAGGCCAAGGTGGGAGGATTGCTTGAGCCCAGGAGTTCGAGGCCAGCCTGGACAACATGGTGAAACCCGCCTCTACAAAAAATACAAAAATTAGCTGGGCGTGGTGGTGCACACCCAGCTACTCGTGAAGCTGTGGTGGGAGGATCACTTGAACCTCAGTGGCGGAGGCTGCAGTGAGCCGAGATCGCACCACATCACTCCAGCCTGGGCAAGAAAGTGAGACCCTGTCTCAAAAAAAAAAAAAAAAAAGGCTGGGCGCACTGGCTCACACTTGTAATCCCAGCATTCTGGAAGGCCGAAGCAGGTGGATAACTTGAGGCCAAGAGTTCGAGACCAGCCTGGGCAACACAGCGAAACCCTGCGTCTACTAAAAATACAAAAATTAGCTGGGCGTGGTGGCGCACTCCTATAATCCCAGCTACTCGGGAGGCTGAGGCACAAAAATCTCTTGAACCCGGGAGGCAGAGGTTGCAATGAGCTGAGATCACACCACAGCACTCCAGCCCAGGCGACAGAGCAAGACTGTGTCTCAAAAAAAAAAAAAAAATGAAAAGAAACCATCAGTCTACTTGCCTGGCACTTTGGCTGAGGGCCCAGTGAGCCAGGGGTGTTGTGCAGGGCACAGGGCACAGCCCAGGGAAAGTTTTCCTTCCCTCTAATACTCTTGCTCTCTCCTGTAGCCTGTACTGCGAGAAGCGGATCCTGGAGGCTGTGGGCTGCACAGGGCACCCTTTCCTGCTCTCCCTCCTTGCCTGCTTCCAGACCTCCAGCCATGCCTGCTTTGTGACTGAGTTTGTGCCTGGTGGTGACCTCATGATGCAGATCCACGAGGATGTCTTCCCCGAGCCCCAGGCCCGGTGGGTTCCATCCCTCCTGCCTGCCTCTTCCAGCAAACTTTGCCTGGTTCCCTACACCCACTCTCTACATACTGCTTTCTCCAAGTGCCCAACAGCAGGGGAGCAGGAGTCAGAGGCCTTGGTTTACATCCTGGCACCAACTGACAGCATTTGTGATCCTGGGTATCAGCTTATGAAGCTGTGCATTAGGTTTCTTTTTTTTTTTTTTTTTTTTTTTTTTGTGAGACAGAGTCTGGCTCTTATTGCCCAGGCTGGAGTGCAATGGCATGATCTCGGCTCACCACAACCTCCGCCTCCCTGGTTCAAGCCATTCTCCTGCCTCAGCCTCCTGAGTAGCTGGGATTACAGGCATGCACCACCACTCCTGTCTAATTTTGTATTTTTAGTAGAGACGAGGTTTCTCCATGTTGGTCAGGTTGGTCTCTAACTCCTGACCTCAAGTGATCCGCCCACCTCGGCCTTCCAAAGTGCTGAGATTACAGGCGTGAGCCACCACACCTGGTGAGTCTCAGATCTTTATTTGAAAAATAGGCATGATTGGCCGGGCACCTGTAATCCCAGCACTTTGGAGGCTGAGGCGGGTGGATCACCTGAGGTCAGGAGTTCGTGACCTGGCCAACATGGTAAAATCTTGTCTCTACTAAAAATACAAAAATTAGCTAGGCATGGTGGCACACGCCTGTAATCCTAGCTACTTGAGAGGCTAAGGCAGGAGAATCGCTTGAACCCAGGAGGCGGAGGTTGGAGTGAGCCGAGATCCCGCCACTTCGGTCTGGCGACAGAGTGAGACTCCATCTAAAAAAAAAAAAAAAAAGGCCGGGCACGTTGGTTCATGCCTGTAATCCCCACACTTTGGGAGGCTGAGGCGTGTGGATCATGAGGTCAAGAGATCAAGACCATCCTGGCCAACATGGTGAAACCCTATCTCTATAAAAACTAAAAAAAAAAAAAAAAAAAAAAAATTAGCTGGGCGTGGTGGCGCGTGCCTGTAGTCTCAGCTACTTGGGAGGCTGAGGCAGGAGAATTGCTTGAACCCAGGAGGTGGAGGTTGCAGTGAGCCGAGATCGCACCGCTGCACTGCAGCCTGGGTGACAGAGTGAGACTCCGTCTCAAAAAAAAAAAAAATAGGCATGATGAATATCCACTGCAGGGACCAACACTTGGTCCCTGGCACCATTTAAGGGCCCATGAAGGGTGAGCTGGAAATGCACGCAACCTTGGGGCGACCTTGGGACTATTGGAGCACCCCCACCCTCAGCATGATGCTTGTCCCAGTCTCACTCATCTCTGACTCTGGCCGGGACATCCGGGATCCCCCCGCTATGGCCATCCTGGTGCCTCCCTGCCCTGCCTCCCTGGTGTGTGTCTTGGGCCTGAGTTCTCCCATAACCACCCCTGCAGCTTCTACGTGGCTTGTGTTGTCCTGGGGCTGCAGTTCTTACACGAGAAGAAGATCATTTACAGGTGACTTTTGTCCCAGGGATGCACGGGGGTAGGGGTGGGGGTGGGGGTGGAGTGGGTAAGGACAGATGCTGCCTCCGCCTGCCTGGGCTGCTCCAGGGGCCGTTACTGTTCCCTGGGTCTAAGCCCCACTCAGTCCCTTTGATCTGCACCCTTGCCCTCAGGGACCTGAAGTTGGATAACCTTCTGCTGGATGCCCAGGGATTCCTGAAGATCGCAGACTTTGGACTCTGCAAGGAAGGTGGGGGCCGCCCATTGGGATCCATATCTCCAGCCTTGTTTACCCACCCTGGCCAATAGGATGATGGGCACATGGCATGTCCCAGGAAATCTCCTCACCTGCGGATGCCCTGGTTCCACCACCCCAGACCTCATTCCAGGGGACAGCTGGGCACACTGGCCCTTTCTTCCTAGTCCTAGAGGCTCGTAGCCCCAGCCTGCACCTGGCCCAAGGGAGAGCCTGTGGTCAGGGATGGGAGAGGAGACTGAGTTCTGCCTTCTGTTTTTTTTTTGGTTTGTTTTTTTTTTTGAGACGGAGTCTTGCTGTGCCGCCCAGGATGCAATGCAGTGGTGCAGTCTCGGCTCACTGCAGCCTCCACCTACTGGGTTCAAGCGATTCTCTTGCCTCAGCAGCCCAAGTAGCTGGGACTACAAGCGAGCACCACCACACCTGGCTAATTTTTGTATTTTTTTAGTAGAGACGGGGTTTCACTGTGTTAGCGAGGATGGTCTCGATCTCCTGACCTCATGATCCACCCACCTTGGCCGCCCAAAGTGCTGGGATTACAGGCGTGAGCCACTGCGCCCGGCTTCTTTTTTTTTTGAGATGGAGTCTTGCCCTGTTGCCCAGGCTGGAGTGCAATGGCGCAATCTCGGCTCACTGCAACCTCTGCCTCCAAGGTTCAAGAGATTCTCCTGCCTCAGCCTCCCGAGTACCTGCGATTACAGGCACATGCCACCACACCCAGCTTATTTTTTGTATTTTTAGTAGAGACGGGGTTTCACCATGTTGGCCAGGCTGGTCTCGAACTCCTGACCTCATGATCTGCCCACCTCGGCCTCCCAAAGTGCTGGGATTACAGGTGTGAGCCACCGCACCCAGCCGAGTTCTGCCTTCTGTGACCTTAGCCTGTGAGCTTGGCTCTGCATGCAGTCAAATGGCGTCATAACCATTCCCACTTCCTTGGGTACAGGGCAGGGCTTGGCACAGGCTCAGCTCCCTGGCATCATAAGGCTTGGCTATTGAAGTTATTGTGAATAGGCCACACCAAGCAGCTATTGGTGTGCCTGTTGGTTTGCAGGGATCGGCTTCGGGGACCGGACTAGCACCTTCTGTGGCACCCCGGAGTTCCTGGCTCCCGAGGTGCTGACCCAGGAGGCATACACACGGGCTGTGGACTGGTGGGGGCTGGGTGTGCTGCTCTACGAGATGCTGGTGGGTGAGGTGAGTGCTGGAGCCTGTTTCCTGGGCCTCTGGGTGGGGGTGGGGTGGCCCGTGCATCCTGCTGAGCCCCCATCTCCACAGTGCCCGTTCCCAGGGGACACAGAGGAAGAGGTGTTTGACTGCATCGTCAACATGGACGCCCCCTACCCCGGCTTTCTGTCGGTGCAAGGGCTTGAGTTCATTCAGAAGGTAAGCACTGCGGGGTCTGGGGCTGGGCTGGATGGCCGCTCAAGGCCCATGTGCCCTCTGCCGTGGGACAGCAGACCCCCTGCCACCCATCCTTAGAGCGCTCTGGGCCAGCGTGCTTGGGGCCTGTGGATGATGGCAGTGCCTGGGGCTGAATGCCCTAAGTGAGCGCCTGTCCTATTGCCCAGCTCCTCCAGAAGTGCCCGGAGAAGCGCCTCGGGGCAGGTGAGCAGGATGCCGAGGAGATCAAGGTCCAGCCATTCTTCAGGGTGAGCGGCTGGGGTGGCGGTGGTCCCCTGTGCCTGGCAGGGTAGGTGGCATGGAGTGACTCCTGGAGCTGCTGTTCCTGCCGTCTCAGGCGCCTCTCCTTTGCCCTCAGACCACCAACTGGCAAGCCCTGCTCGCCCGCACCATCCAGCCCCCCTTCGTGCCTACCCTGTGTGGCCCTGCGGACCTGCGCTACTTTGAGGGCGAGTTCACAGGGCTGCCGCCTGCCCTGACCCCACCTGCACCCCACAGCCTCCTCACTGCCCGCCAACAGGCCGCCTTCCGGGACTTCGACTTTGTGTCAGAGCGATTCCTGGAACCCTGAGGGCATCTCCTGGCACCTCTGTCCCCTTCCCCCACAGACTGTTAGAGCCTCTGCTCGTTCACCCGTGCGCCCTGCCTGGAGGTCCAGGCCTTGCTGGGTACTTCTGAGCCCTTGGGATTCAAAGTGGCAGCCATGGGGCCACTGTTGTGGGCTTTGCTCAGTGTCACTGGGCAAAGTGTGTCCCTTCCCCCTCCAGCTCGCCCTCTTCTACCTCCCAGCGAGACCTGGCCCAGAAAGGGTGCCGCAGCAAGGAGTGATATGGTTTGTCTTTTTAAGACTGGACTTGCTTTATATTAAATTTGTAAAAGTGTGCACTGGCAGCAGCCTGGGCGGGGCTGGGGTGGAGCCCGGGGTCTGCTTGGGCCTGAGCCACCCACAGGTCCTTTTCTTCCCCTTCTTCCTTGGAAGGCAGAACTGCCCACCAAGGCAGGGATCTGTCTGACTTGAAGCTCCGTTCTGGGGTCTGGGAGGCGTGGGCAGGAGTGAGGGCCCCAGGCCCTCTGAGCGCTCACCCCAGCTGGGGACAGGCCCCGTGGTTTTCAGGCACAAGACGGTAGCCCGGCCTCCAGCAACCCTAAACAGCTGGGCTGCTGCCCTCTTCCTCCTCCTCAGCCCAGAGGGTCTCCCAGGACCCTGAGGGCCATCCACAGAAGAAGTGGGCCAGGTTGCGGGTCAGGCCTCGGTCGAAGGGGTTGCTGGGGCGCTGGCGGAGATAGGCGATGCGGTGTGAGGAGATGAATTCCCAGGTGGTGG
Organism: Homo sapiens; assembly: GCF_000001405.40. Lineage (NCBI taxonomy): Eukaryota > Metazoa > Chordata > Mammalia > Primates > Hominidae > Homo > Homo sapiens. The sequence continues at coordinate 128,721,360 of NC_000009.12, forward strand.
TGTTGCTGGCCACCAGGTAGAGGTGCGAGACGAGGAGCAGGCTGGCCACCAACGAGAAGAGGGACAGCAGCAGGAAGGTGGCGAACAGGAGCCCGCTGGACCGCAACCACTGACCCCAGGGCTGGAAGAACCGGAGGCCTGACCTGCGGTGCAGGGGACAGGGGCCTGGTGCTGGGGGAGGGCAGGGGAGCCCTTCCCTCCCCATGCCGGGTCCCTGGGAGTCCTGGCTCTGTCCACCCCTGTGGGAGCATTCATCCCACCCTCCCTCTACACCCGGGCAGCAGCACCCACCATGCCAGGTACAGGCCCCACAGAAGCACCACCAGCTGCAGCGCCAGGTAGACCACAAAGAGTGGGTGGTTGCGCTCTCCCACACAGTTCTCCATCCAGGGGCAGTGGTGGTCGTAGCGGCGGACGCAACGGCGGCACTCACGGCAGTGCCGAGCCCTCAGGGGCTGCTGTGGGCATGGAGGAGAGTGGAGGCTCAGTGCCAGCCCTGCTGTGGGCCCACCACTGAGGGAAGGAATCAGGGCCTGATTCTGGAAGGCCTTCTTGGAGGAGGGGCGAGGCCCAGGCAGTGGGGCAGGAGGAGGTCGAGGAGTCTCAGCTTTGGCCCAACCTCTCCCACGGGTGTCCGTGCATCACTCACCAGCACCAGGCAGTATCTGCAGCGCCGAAGAGGGATGGCTGGAGGAACCATGGCTGTCTGCTCCTCTTTGAGCTCCTCCTGGAATGAGGGGTGGGGTGTAAGACAGGGTCCCCTTGGGAGACAGATGGCATTGGCGGGCAGCTCCCCTAGGGGCCGGCTTAGCTCTGGGTATGGAGTTTGGGACCCATCCCATGCAGAATGGAGGTGTGGGGTATGGCGGAGCACCCTGGACTGAGGGCGGCTGTGTATGTTTGCAAGTCTCTTCCTTCTCTGGGGCCCAGCAGTTTCCTCACTACTGTAGATGGGGCTCTAGGGGTGGCAAGAGGAGTCACTGAACTGCTCCCACAAGAGCCTGCAGCACAGAGCCTGGCATGGAGACTGGTGCTGGTTGTTAGGTCCCTGTTGGTGAGAGTAGGGGCCCCTGGTTACCTGAGGCTGGGGCTGCACATTCACGTAGCCAGGGTCCATGAGTGACACAGCGAGGTAGAGCAGCAGGGAGCCCAGCACCAGGAGCAGGAAGGTGAGGGGCAGGAGCAGCTCCCCCTGCTCCTCCCATTGCCGCAGCTCTGGAGAGGCCGGAGAGCACAGTGAGGCTGGGCCGGGTAGAACAGGAGTGGGTGGGGTTGGGGTGCAGTTGGAGGTGGGGAAGTGTGTTCCTGGCTGAGCAAAGGCCTGGAGATGTTGGTTCCATGAGTGGCTGTGTGTGGCCAGCAGTTCATCTGCACTTTTATCTGGAGGGTCAGAGGGAACCATGGAAGGTTATAGAGCCAGATCTGTTTTGGAAAACCTCATTGCTAAAGAAATGGATCAGGGGAAGCCTGGGGGCAGAGAATCTGGCCAGGAGGAAGAAGAGAGTCGCTACAAAGGCCTGGCAGGAAGTGAGGGAGGAAGGAATGGACAGGGGGCTGCTGGGTCAAGGGAGCCAGACCTGACTGGATGTGGGAGAGAGGGAAGAGGGGTCCAGCGTCTCTGGCTCTGCAATGGTGAGAGACTGGTTAGGTCTGAAATGCCTGAGAGAGATACAGTGGGAAGGGTGCAGCTGGCAGGCTCAGATGCTGCAGAGGGGCATACGGAAGGGTCCAGCAGGCTTCAGCCCAGGGAGGTGACAGGATTTTGGGGAGGTAGGGTGCAGGGCAAGGAGTGAGGGGGCATGAGACCACCAGACAGCAGAGTGTAGACAAATCCTGTGTCCCTTGGTTGTAAGGGGGAGCAGAGAAGAAAGGGTGGGTTTTGAGGGGGGTTTTCTGATACGGAGACCTGAGCAAGTTTTTAGGCTAAAGGGTGAAGGTGGTGGAGGAGGTCTGTCTTGGGAGGAAAGCCAGAAGGGGCCCCAGTCCAGAAACTGAGGCTGGACCGCCATGGAAGGAGGGCTGGGGTCTGCTGTGGGGGACAGTGGGGGAGGCTGCCTGTGGCAGGTGAGGCGCTGGGTAGGGGGCTACTAAGAGGAATGAGGGAAATGGAGGTGGGTGGGTGGGTGAATCTGTGGGAAGATGGGAGACAGGCCGCACCCCATGGAGTGTTCTCTGGCCTGAGGGTTTGCCTGGACTTGGGCAGCTAGTGGCCATGGGGGTGTGGGGGGTGTGGGTGTGGGCAGAATGCCAATCTTTGCATCTAGTTGAGCCTCCTAATCGTATGGATAGGAAGATTTGGGGTCAGTTCCTGGGAAGGATCATGTGGGTCCCAGGATCAGGGGACATGGGGCTCAAGTCGGTCCTTGGATCTGGTGGGCACCGGCTGGGTCCTGGGATGGACAGGGCATTTGGCAATGATCAGGAAGATGCTGGGATTAATTAGGGATCAACGGGGTATCAGACAGAGAGCAGGTGGCTCTTGGAATGATAGATGGGGAGAGGGCTTCAGGAGCTGGTGGAGATCGGGCCAATCCCAGGATCTCCAGGGATTAGGCGGGAGACCCAGTGTGACCAGAACGTCTGGGGAAGTACGCGGGATCGGGTGGGTCCGGGGTCGCTCGGGGTCCGGCTCACCGGTATCGTGCAGGAAGAGCACCAGCGTGATTCCCCAGGTCAGCACGGTGTGCCCGGTCCGCACCAGGACCCCAGGGCTGAGGAGCGCCCAGGGCGCCATCGCCTCGGCCCGGGGCCCCACCCGGAAGAAGCGCCCAGAGGGGCGGGCCCTCCGAGGGAGGGGAACGCCGCCGCCCGGGGACTGGTGGATCTAGGCGTTGGGCGGGGCCGGACTGGGTCAGGGAGGCTGCCTATTGGATGGCATCTGCGGCCGAATGGACCCTCAAGCCAACAGGTGCCTGAAGAGGCTGAGGGTGGGGCCGGCGCGCGCGCAGCTGGTAACTCCCTCAACTCCAGCCCCACCCGCCAGGTAACTTTTGAAAGCGCCGGAGCGCGCGCGCACCTCCCCCGCGCTCCGCTGTGCCCTCCCCCGCGTTCCCCTGTGCCCGCCCTCGCAGCCTCGCGCATGCGCGTAGCTCCCTGGGCGCTTCGAAGATCCAGCGGCTTGCTGTGAGTCCGGGAGGCAAAATTGTACCCATTTCAAAGATGTGATGACTAAAGTCTCGAGAGGGCCAAGGCTCGCCCAAGGTTGCTCTGTGGTGACAGCTTTACCTCCTTGCTATGTATTCTCAGATATTGCAAACGGACGAGAGAAAAGTGGAGGTACGTGGTGCACATTCTGACTATGGGTGATCCAACTTAGGCGGGAGTCAGAAATCCCAGCACTGCCCCTTCCTACCTGTGTGACCCTGGGCGAGTTACTGAGCCCCTCTGAGCTGTTTTCTGTCTCTATAAGGGGGATTACAATAGTGTCTTCCTCCTAAGGTGTTTGGGAGGATTAAATAATGGAAGCGCCTTGTCTAGCACGGGACTGTCTTGCCTCTCCTGCTGTGAGCCACCACCTACAGGCGGACTTTCCTCACCGGAGGCTGCAGGCTGTCCTCCTTCCCTGTGTCCCCAGGGCCTTCTCCACTCAGCCCCGCCTTTCCACAGCACCTCCCACTGATACCAGCATCCTCCTCCGCCTCCCTCTGATTGGCCCCATCCCAGCTCCTCCAGGATACTCCTCTGACATCTGTTGTTTTTCTCAGCTCAACATCCTTTTTTTGGTTGGGGAATCGACTTCCCATCCCATGTGATTGGAGGGACTGCCCCTCACCCCATAGGATGGCGAGCGGCAGGCTGTGGGCTTTCGACTCTGCAGAACCAATCACAGGCCTTCCATGAGATTACTGTCTAGATGCTGAGAGGAAGGAGCATTCTTTTGGATCTCAAGCCTAAGGAATGGGATATAAGGCAACTGGGAGCCGTCTTTACGCTGGGCGGAGAGGGCTTACCCTGTCTGTGGCTGGAGAAAATGAGACCAACTTATAAAGACACATAGAGATGGATAAGCAGCACTAAAGGAGGGAGCAAGAGATGGTCTGAACAACATTGTCTGAGCCCTCTAGATCCGGCTGTCCCTGAAGCTGATACTGACTCTGCATCCCCTGGTTGCAAGAGTCAATGAATGCCCACCTTTTTTTTTTTTTTTTTTTTGAGACAGAGCCTCACTCTGTTGCCTAGGCTGGAGTGCAGTGGCGCGATCTGGGCTCACTGCAACCTCCACCTCCCAAGTTCAAGTGATTCTCCTGCCTCAGCCTCCCAAGTAGCTGGGGTTACAGGCACATGCCACCACGCCCAGCTAATTTTTGTATTTTTAGTAGAGACAGGGTTTCACTATGTTGTCCAGGCTGGTCTCGAATTCCTGACTTCAAGTGATCTGCCTAACTCAGCCTCTCAAAGTGCTGGGATTACAGGTGTGAGCCACCATGCCTGGCCCCAATTCCCACCTTTGACTAGCCTGAGTAGATGTTTGAGTTGGGTGTCTGTCATTTGCAGCTAAGTCTTGACTACTGCACTGGGTGCAGGATCTGATGTGCTCAGTGGGGACATCCAGCACATTATCCACTCAGCACATAATTCTGAAGCTTCCGTGGGTTAGGCACTGTGCTAGTATCAAACATCCCAACACTAGTTCAAATAGTAAGGCCAGATTTTAATTAACAATATACTACTGATAGGGCGGAGAGCCCAGTGTGAACCAACTGAAACTTCTGTTTGTGCAGAGGTGACTGATGTTTTTTGTGGTTTTGGTTTTCTGCTTTCTTGAGATGGGGTCTCGCTATGGCCTCAAACTCCTGACCTGAGGCAATCTTCCCCCTCAGCCTCCAGAGTAGCTGGGACTGCAGGCGTGCTCCACCATGTCTGGCTTAAAGGGAGAATGAGGGAGTGGAGGGAAACGGTGAGGGCTTCAGCAGAATAAGGGAAATGAAAAATTCCAAAGGGTTGGTCATGGTAAATGTGATTAGGCAGCTCCGCGTGCTCGCTGGCAATGGTGAAAGTTAGGACTCTGTTCTCCTGCAGAGACTGGGAGACAGAGGCTCTGTCCTTCCTGATATTACATTTCAATAGAATGGCCTTCAGGTCCTTGAAAAAGACACTTCTGAGTTGTAGGAGATACACACTCATCTCAAATGGACAGAGGAAGGATCACAATTGTAAGTTCCCATCCCACCACACTTTTTTTTTTTTTTTTGAGACGGAGTTTCGCTCTTGTTGCCCAGGCTGGAATGCAATGGCGGGCTCTCGGCTCACTGCAACCTCTGCCTCCCAGGTTCAAGCGATTCTCCTGCCTCAGCCTCCCAAGTAGCTGGGATTACAGGCACCCGCCACCATGCCCAGCGAATTTTGTATTTTTAGTAGAGATGGGGATTCTCCATGTTGGTCAGGCTGGGCTCAAACTCCCGACCTCAGATGACCCGCCCGCCTTGGCCTCCCAGAGTGCTGGGATTACAGGCGTGAGCCACTGTGCCCAGCACTTTTTTTTTTTTTTGAGAGGGAGTTTCGTACTGTTTCCCTGGTGTGATCTGAGGCTCACTGCAACCTCCGCCTCCTGGGTTCAAGCAATTCTCCTGCCTTAGCTTCCAAAGTAGCTGGGATTACAGGCACGTGCCACCACGCCTGGCTAATTTTTTAAAAATTCTTAGTAGACACAGGATTTCACCATGTTGGCCAGGGTGGCCTTGAACTCCTTACCTTGTGATCCGCCTGCCTCGGCCTCCCAAAGTGCTGGGATTACAAGTGTGAACCACTGTGCCCGGCCAGAGGTCACATTTCTTAGGGAGACTCAGTAAAATGGCTTTATGGTTTAGACATCAGTCTATTTTGGAGAGGTAGGTCATGTTTGAAGGTGCTGAGCGGCAAAATTAGTTTCTTTTTTTTTTTCTCTCCAACTTTTATTTTAAGTTCAGGGGTACATGTGTAGGATGTGCAGGTTTGTTACATAGGTAAACATGTGCCACTGTGGTTTGCTGCACAGCTCATCCCGTCACCTAGGTTTTTGTTTTTGTTCGTTTGTTTTTGCAATGGAGTCTTGCTCTGTTGCCTGGGCTGGACTGCAATAGCACGATCTCAGCTCACTGTGACCTCTGCCTCCTGGGTTCAAGTGATTCTCCTGCCGCAGCCTCCCGAGTAGCTGGGATTACAGGTGTGCACCACCACACCCAGCTAATTTTTGTATTTTTAGTAGAGACGGGGTTTCACCATTTTGGCCAGGATGGTCTCAAACTCCTGACCTCAAGGGATCCGCCCACCCTGGCCTCCCAAAGTCCTGAGATTACAGGCTGAGCCACTGTACCCAGCCTGGCCACAGGTTTTTAAAAGGAGAGCCCTCCATGTGCCAGGTTTTGTGCTGGGCTACAGCAGAGCCTTGATGTGGCTTGTTGCTCACAGTCCAGTGGGGGAGACGAGACAAGGCAATTTCAGCCCCATGAGATAAGTAGGTGCTGTGATGGGATGAGCAGGAACTAGAGTGTTCCTGACACAGGAAATGGCAAGTATCAGGCCAGCGAGCTAGAGGAGGAGCACCTGGCACATCTGAGGATCTTGTTTTCCCTCCTTTACTGTGGCAACCTTGAGGTAATAAGTCATGTCAGGCCAGGTATGGTGGCATATGCCTGTAATCTCAACACTGTGGGTGGCTGGAGTGGGAGGATTGCTTGAGCCCAGGAATTTGAGACCAACCTGGGCAACACAGTGAGACCCCATTTCTACAAAAAAACAAAAATTAGATGTGCATGGAGGTGCACGTTTGTTGTCCCAGCTACTTGGGAGGCTGAGGTGCAAGGATTGCTTGAGCCCAGGAGGTCGAAGCTGCAATGAGCTGTGATCGTGCCATTGCACTCAGCCTGGGCAACAGTGAGACCTTGTCTGAAAAAAATAAAAAGTAAAGTCACTTCACCTCTCTGAGCCTCAGTGTCCTTGTCTGTGAAATGGATTATTGCCAGGGTTCTGAGGAAGCGGAAGGTACATGAAGCACTTAGCCCGGGGCCTGGGACACAGAATAAGGTTCAGCAGTGTTGGCTGCTGCTGGCAGGCACTGCCCTCATTCCCTCCGAGGCACAGACGACCCACCAGGGTTCTGAGGCAAACCACTTGATGCCCTTCCTGCCCAGGTCCTGTGGGTGGCCAGTGGCAGGGGGCTGTCAGCCAGGGGAGAGAGAGGCCAGGTCCAGGCCCTGCAGGGGGTGGAGAAGAGGGGACCTCGGCTTCACAGAGGCTGTGGGAGGAGTCAGTGCTCAGCTTCCAGAAATGCTTAATTGGGTCCTGATGCCCAGGCTTAAAACCTCACATAAAGGGTAAAATCCACACACTCACGGTGGCCTATAAAGGGTGTGACCGTATCATTTCTTTTTTGTTTTTTGAGACGGAGTCTCGCTCTGTCACCCAGGCTGGAGTGCAGTGGCACCATCTGTGCTCACTGCAAGCTCTGCCTCCTGGGTTCACACCATTCTCCTGTCTCAGCCTCTCAAGTAGCTAGGACTACCGGTGCCGGCCGCCTAGCGCAGCTAATTTTTTTGTATCTTTTAGTAGAGACGGGGTTTCACCATGTTAGCCAGGATGGTCTTGATCGCCTGACCTCGTGATCCACCTCGGCCTCCCAAAGTGCTGGGATTACAGGCGTGAGCCACCGCACCCAGCCCACCATATCATTTCTTATTCCAACCAGGCAGCTCTTAAGGATGACAAGGCACTGTTGATAGACGTGCGGGGACCACAGGTGTCAGCCAGGACGGCCCTGGGCCATGCTAGAGTCTGGGCACCTCACAATTTGGCACCAGCGACTTCCTGGTCCCCTCCCACTCTACCCTTGTTCCTCACGCTGCCAGGGCCACATGGGGCTGCTTCTCTGTCCACCCTGGCGGGACCCTCTGCTGAGGATGCACTTTTCCTCAGCCCCTCGGGCCAGGCCTGGGCAACCTCCTTCTTTTCCCTGGGTTTGGCTCCACTCTGTCCTCTTGTAAGAAGCCTCCCAGACACATGGGGACATCGTGCTGGCTCCTCCCCCTCTCCCCAAAGCACTGTGGCCCAGCGGACTCCAAGCTTCCCTGATCCGCCTGCCCACTCCCATCCACTGGCAGGAGGCACCTCCTCCGCTGCCTTCTCCCTGATGGTGGCACAGAGTTGTAATCTTCTATTTGCCATCTGTCTCCCCCATCAGGCTGAGCCATCTTAGGCAGGCACCCTGTTGGTCTGGTTGCCAGCTGTGTCCTCAGTGGGCACAGGGATGTGAAGAGAACACATAGGAAACAGGTACTCCAGCTCAGTCCCCTGCCACCTGTCCCCAGCCTGCAGCCCTTTAACCCACCAAACGCACCCCTCCCTACCACAGAACTACCTACACTGCAGCCCCCCTGCCAGGGGTGGCTCAAGCCCTGCTCCAGAGCCTGGAAGCCAGGCTAGCAATCCCCTCCACAAAAAAAGACGCTCTGTTTTCCATTTTGCACAAAAATGTATTTCTGTGACTTCCCAAAGTACAGACATTTCCCCAGGCCCCAGGGGGTAAAGCAATGAGGTGTGAAGTCTGCCAGGGTCTGGCCGGGGCCGCTGAGCGTGGGAAGGAAGGGAGCGCCGCATGCAGCCCATCTGCCAAGCTGGGGGAACACAGGGCTGCGCCCACTTCCCAGGGCCGGGAGGGAGAGGCTCCAGGAGAAAAAGGCCAGGTGTCTCTCCCAAAGCTGCTCACCCCTGCCGTCCTGCCTGGAGGCAGAAATGCTAGGAACACCTGAAAACAGGCCCGCGGGAGGAAAAGGGAAGAAAAAGCCATCACCCAAAGGCTGCCTCCAGGGTTAGCGCTGCTCCCCAGGCCCCTGCGCTCCACAAGTGTCCGATGAGAAGCAATGCAGTGTCCATCGATGGAGGAGCAAGAGAGCCGGCGCCTCTCAGGCTTCCAAGGTAAAGCCTAGGGCAGGGCGGGACCGCCAGGGAGGCCCAAGCGGCCACTGCAGGGCAGTCCGAGTGCTGGTCTGGAGGCGGCTGTGTGGCCGTTGTGGGTCAAAGGCTGTCATGGGACCTCTGCCTCTGAGAGGCGTGGGGTCCTCTGGGCAGCGGGGCAGGCTGGGAGGAGGAGGCAGGCTCAGTTCTGCTGGTGGGAGCGCCTGGGCAGTTGAGGGCTATGGAGCGAGGAAGCAAGCCCCTGGCCCCAGAAGATGCTAGCTTCCAGGGCTGAGGGCAGGTTCTGGATGTGTTTGGCAGAAGGGGCAGTGGAATCTGCCCCTGAGTTCTGACCATCCCTGGGCTGGGGCTTTCCACAGCCTGGGACCTGGTGGGAGACTAGGAGGCAGCCTCCATAGCAGCGTGGCCTCAGGCAGGCCTGGCTGGACAGCAGCAGGGCCACTGGGTGCCCTGCTCCTAGAGGGTCTTCAGGGGCAGGGCTGCCTGGACCTCAGCCTAGGAATGGCTCACTTTCCTGCCCCAGATGGCCCACAGCCGGGAGCACCAAGGCTTTTGGGAGACCCAGTGGGGTAAGTTCTAATCCCCAAACCCCATCAGCTGTGCCCGGGAGCCGAGATGGCGTTCTCAGGCAGGGGCAGTGGGTCAGGATGCTCGATACGCTGTCCAAGGCCTGCTCCTCTCATGAAAGGAAGCCAGGCCGGGATCTGAGTTTCCTGGACAAGGACTGGACACTCACAGCGTTATAGGCATTTAGTCTGGTTGGGGTAGGAGTGTGTGTGTCAGCGATGAAGGCTGAGTGGGTTTGAGAATGGCCAAGGAAGCTGCAAGGACTCAGGAGTGTTGCTTTTGTTTTTGCACAGAAATCATACACACAAAACTTCACACTTCCTAACCAAAAAAAAAATATATATATATAATATATATATATCTCACTAACATTAAGGAAAAGCGTCGGTTGTGCAAAAGTCCCCCATGTCTCTTCACTCCGTGGGAGGCTCCCTCGGAAGGGGCCCGCCCGCTGGGCTGCTTGAGCATGCTTCCTCCCCGCCTGTGGTCCAGAGCGGTGGCGGCCATGGGGACGGAGGCCTCTATCTAGACGTGTCCATGTTCTCCTCTTTAAAGTTACTGCAGTGCTCAATCACCTTGCTGGAGACAATGGGGGAGACAGGATTGGAGGGTGGGCTTGGGTGGGGGTGAGCCCAGCCCCTCCGAGATCATTAGGCAGCTGGGTAAACACGTGTTCATAGTGATGGTGATGCTGACCGAATGATGTGGACAGAGGGGCTGGCAGAGTGGCTGGCATGTGCAGGGGACTCAGGGAATGGCACCTGTGGCCGTGAATGCCATCACCAGCCATCCTCCGCTTCCTTCCTTTCCATGCCCCTCTTCTCCCACCCCCAGTCCCAGGGCATCTGTGGATAGGGGGTCCCCAAATCAGCTCAGGCCCGACCTCCAAAACCCTTTGGAAGTTTCTTTAGCGACCTCTTCTTCATTTTCCCTGCACACTAGACCCTTCTCTTTCCAGAAGTCCACCAGTGGTCCCCAAACTGACTGCACATCAGATTCCCCTAGAGGCCCGGATCCAGTGGCAGGTCCAGGGTCGGGCAGGGGCAGCTGTGCTCGCACAAGGGCCCCCACTACCCTGTGGCAGCCAGGGCTCAGCACTCCAGCTCAGATTTCGAGTCTCGCCCGCCCCAGCCTGACCCCTGCCACCCATCACTGTTGGTTGTCACCTTGGACCCCGGACAGCTTGCCCATTCAACACCAAGCCTGTGGTTTGGGGGCTTCACTGCAGCCTCTGTGTGTTAAAGGGATGCCCCAATACCTTTTAGGAAACAAATACCCAGAGTGGGAGAGAGGTCAGTGGACAGGCCGAGGGCCTTCTCCTAAGCATTGTCCAGGGTCATTTACTCCTTGCTGTCAGACAGGCCAGTGCCTCAGATTCCCATCACAGGCCTTGGAGAAATGTTCAAAGTGACTGTGGTAGGTAACTGGTCAGTCTTACCCAGTGCTTCTCAAATTTCCCGGGAATCCTTGTTAACCATGAAAATTCCAGGGCCACCTCCCACCTCCCGGATGTACTGGAAAAGAAAACCTAGGGGTGGGCCCCGTCCATTTATTTTTAAATTTTATTTTTTTGAGACAGAGTCTCGCTCTGTTGACCAGGCTGGAGTGCAGTGGCACCATCTCGGCTCACTGCAACCTCTGCCTCCTGGATTCAAGTGATTCTCCTGCCTCAGCCTCCCAAGTGGCTGGGATTACAGGCACGTACCACCACGCCGAGCTAATTTTTGTATTTTTAGTAGAGACGGGGTTTTACCATGTTAGCCAGGTCTCGAACTCCTGACCTCAAGTGATGCACCCACCTCAGCCTCCCAAAGTGCTAGGATTACAGGTGTGAGCCACTTCGCCTGGCCAGTAGCGCCTTTGGCCAGATATAATAGCAGAACCAGCTGACACTTCCCTCCCCTGGCCCAGGAAGTGGCTGGCTGAGGAGCCTCTGAGTTTCAGGCCCCTCCTCCATGTGAACTTTTGCTCTATACAGAGCCATGAAAAAGTGTGCTCGGGTCAGCTTGACTGTTCTCCCTTCTAGAATGAATCCTGGAGAAAACAAGGTCGTTCGACGATTTCGACACGTCGCATCCCTGAGAGTCTCTCGTGTCCTGATCAACTCGAGAACTGGAGGCGGTGACATTTTAGATGCTGCAGTGAAAGCCACAGAGCCACGGAAGGCCGAGACTCCACCATGTTTGTGATCTTCACATTCAGCAAACTCACTCGCACTCTGCCTCATCTTATCTCTAGAATGTATTTTACCACACTGTGTCCCTTCTTTAGTGGGAATGTCTTTGGCCAAAAATAATGAATAGTTCTGACCTGACTTGCTAATACCCAGTGATAAAAGGATGGAATTTGTTGGGAATAAAAGAAAACTAAGCTTACAAACGAGGGCCCTGATGCTCCGTTCCGAGCTTGGTCATCTAATTTCCAGCCACAATGTGGTCGAGATGACATTTGGAGAGGCCCCAGGTGGACATCAATACACTGTCAACCTCCATACTCAACTCTAAGCTGTCCCTGGGAATTTCAGCCATTCCTAACCTCCAGAGGGCGCCCGCTATGCCCTTACTCCCCTAAACCAAGGTTCCAGGCAGAAACACACTGCTGGTCTCTTACCGGGCCATTTCCTTGGTCTCCTGCCGTGCGGTCGCCATCTTAATTATGTCCCTCAGAAGGGGCATCCCCCCTTCTTTGATCAGCAGAGGGCAGTACTTGTCCGCTGTGGGATAGGAGCAGACAGCAGAGGATCAGGATGGGTCTTCTTATCAGCCCGAGGCCCAGAAACCCACCCTGTCTGTGAGGACTATCCTGGTGTCGGGGGTGTGAAGGCACAGCCCTTGGTGGGGGCAGTGCTAGAAATGGGGGCAAGACGTGGGCCCAGCCCCATGGGTGGGAGTTCTGCGTCCATGTAGGGGAGGCAAGAGGTGACTCCTTGGTTTGAAGTTGCTGCATTTATTTCCAGAGCTCATTCTTTTTTTTAAAAAAAAATTATATATATATATATATAAAATATATAATCTTAAAATATATATATATATGGCCGGGCACGGTGGCTCACGCCTGTAATCCCAGCACTTTGGGAGGCCGAGACGGGCGGATCACGAGGTCAGGAGATCGAGACCATCCTGGCTAACACGGTGAAACCCCGTCTCTACTAAAAATACAAAAATTAGCCAGGCATGGTGGCGGGCGCCTGTAGTCCCAGCTACACGGGAGGCTGAGGCAGGAGAATGGCGTGAACCCGGGAGGCGGAGCTTGCAGTGAGTCGAGATCGCGCCACTGCACTCCAGCCTGGGCGACAGAGCAAAACTCCGTCTCAAAAAAAAAAAAAAAAAATATATATATATATATATAAAATCTTAAAAAAAATATATATATATATATAATAGATATAATTTTTTTTTTGAGACAGAGTCTCACTCTGTCACCCAGGCTGGAGTGCAGTGGCACGATCTGAGCTCACTGCAACCTCTGCCTCCTGGGTTCAAACGATTATTTTGTCTCAGCCTCCCTAGTAGCTGGGACTACAGGCACGTGCCATCAAGCCCAGCTAATTTTTGTATTTTTAGTAGAGACGGGGTTTCACTATGTTGGCCAGGGTGGTCTCAAACTCTTGGCCTCAAATGATCTGCCCGTCTCAGCCTCCCAATGTGCTAGGATTACAGGCATGAGCCACTGCACCCGGACTAATTTTTTTTTTTTTAAGTAGAGACAGGGTTGCGCTGTGTTGCCTGTGCTGGTCTCAACCTCTTGGGCTCAAACAATCCTCCCACCTCAGCCTCCCTAAGTGCTGGGATTACAGGTGTGAGCCACTATGCCTGGCCTCCAGCGCTCATTCTATGGAAGATGTCACCCAAACCAGTGAAACCAGTGGCTCCTAAAGATGGTGATCCTTTGAGGAATTTCTGTAAAAATATAGATTTCTAAGCCCTGTCTCTGGATATTCTTTTTCAACAAATCCAAGGACTAAGATTTATCTGTATTTTTACCAGGTGATTCTGGTGACCTGCCAGGTTGGAACCAGCTGATGGTATGTGTTTTTTTTTTTTTTCATGCAGACAGCATGGAGACTTTTATTTTACTTCTGGAGATGGGGGTCTCACTATGTTGCTCAGGCCGGAGTGCAATGGCTATTCACAGGCATGATCATAGGTCATTGCAGCTGGAAACTCCAGACCTCAGGCAATTCTCCTGTCTCGGCCTCCTGAATAGCTGGTGTGCACCACTGAGCCCAGCAGGCATGGAGATTTTGGACTGTTCCTGCACATGGAAGCGGGAAGCATTAAGAAAGCTGTCTAGGAACTCTGCACAGGTATTTCGCCTGCCAGGCCTGCTTCTGGTGATGAGGCAGGAGTGAGCCCTTAAGCTGGGTGTCCCACAAACGCTGGAAAGTGGAGGGTTCTGCTCTGAGGCACAAAAGCTGACAGCAGCAATTAATGCCCCCCTCCTGGACTACAAACTCCCTGAGGGCACATCTGCTTTCAGCTGGATGAGTGTCTGAACCCAGGACAAGTTGGCACTCACGGTAGACAGACACGAGGTTATACAGGGCCCAGGTTGCCCAGTGCTGGCTGACAGGAGAGATTCCCTGGGGAAGGAGGCGGAGAATTGGTTCAAATGACCTGCAGGAAAAGAAATCAAGGTCACTGTGGATGCTGAGGGTGGGGAGTGTGTCTTTTCTTGTCTGAGGTTTCCTCCCACTGGAGAATCCTAGTGACCAACCATGATAGGCTGGCAGGATGCCAGGGAGAAGGGACAGCTGGCCCTGCATCCCACTGGCAGGCTGCACAACAAGGTTCCCTTGGAGAGGATAAAGGCACAAGCACATGAGGGAGGCACAAGGGACCCAGATTAGGAGGAGCAGAAAGCTGGAGACCTCAGCAAGGAGCAGAGACCCAGCCTGTGGGGAAGAGGGGAGAGGCACCCTGGGAACAGAAGCACGTGTGACCTGGTTTTTTTTTTTTTTTTTTTTTTTTTTTTTTTTGTGAGACGGAGTTTCGCTCTGTTGCCCAGGCTGGGGTGCACTGGTGCAATCTCCACTCACTGCAACCTCTGCCTCCTGGGTTCAAGCGATTCTCCTGCCTCAGCCTCCTGAGTAACTGAGACTACAGGGGTGTGCCACCACACCCAGCTAATTTTTGCATTTTTTTTTCTTTTGAGACAGAGTCTTGCTCTGTCGCTCAGGCTGGAGTGCAGTGGCATGATCTCGGCTCACTGCAAGCTCCGCCTCCCTGGTTCACGCCATTCTCCTGCCTCAGCCTCCCGAGTAGCTGGGACTACAGGCGCCTACCACCAAACCCGGCTAATTTTTTTGTATTTTTTAGTAGAGACGGGGTTTCACCGTGTTAGCCAGGATGGTCTCGATCTCCTGACCTCGTGATCCACCCACCTCAGCCTCCCAGAGTGCTGGGATTATAGGCGTGAGCCACCGCGCCCGGCCTAAATTTTGTATTTTTGGTAGAGACAGGGTTTCACTATGTTGGCCAGGTTGGTTTCGAACTCCTGACCTCAAGTGATCCACCTGCCTTGGCCTCCCAAAGTGCTGGGATTATAGGCGTGAACCACCATGTCCAGCCCTTTTTTCTTTGTTTTTTTTTTTTTTGAGACGGAGTCTCACTCTGTCGCCCAGGCTGGAGTTCAGTGGTGCAATCTCGGCTCACTGCAACCTCTGCCTCCTGGGTTCACATGATTCTCCTGCCTCAGCCTCCCGAGTAGCTGGGACTACAGGTGCATGCCACCATGCCCAGCTAATTTTTGGTTAGAGCATCATTTTGCTGTTGGCCAGGCTGGTCTTGAACTCCTGACCACCCGCCTTGGCCTCCCAAAGTGCTAGGATTACAGGCGTGAGCCACCATGCCTGGCCTTTTTTTTTTTTTTTTTGGAGAAAGGGTCTCGCTCTGCTGCCCAGGCTGGAGTGCAGTGGCATGATCACAGCTCACTGCAGCCTTGACCTTCCAGGCCATGCAAGTGTTCCTCCCACCTCAGCCTCCTGAGGAGCTGGGACTATAGGTGTGAGCCACCATGCCTGGCTAATTAAAAAAAAATTTTTTTTGGCCAGGTGCAATGGCTCACACCTGTAATCCTAGCACTTTGGGAGGCTGAGGGGGGTGGATTGCCTGAGCTCAGGAGTTTGAGACCAACCTGGGCAACACAGTGAAACCCCGTCTCCACTAAAGTACAAAAAATTAGTTGAGCATGGTAACGTGCACCTGTAATCCCAGCTACTCGGGAGGCTGAGACAGGAGAATCGCTTGAACCTGGGAGACGGGGGTTGCAGTGAGCCAAGATCACACCATTGCACTCCAGCCTGGGTGACAGTGCGAGACTCCGTCTCAAAAAAAAAATTTTTTTTTTTGTAGAGGTGAGGGCTCACTATATTGCCCAGGCTGGTTTCAAACTCCTGAGCTCAAGTGATCTTCCTGCCTTGGCCTCCCAAAGTGGCTGGGATTCTAGGTGTGAGCCACCGCATCCGGCCTGTGACTGCTCTTCTGACGAGGGCCTTCTGTGGGCCAGCCTGGAGTCATGGTCCAAAAGCCTGAAACACGTGTGTGCAAAACTCCTGGGCCAGCGATTCCGCTTCCTTTCTCCCCAAGAACTATAGTACTTGGCACACTGGCAACGCTACCAATGTCAGCCTGTTCCTCCCAGTATGGGTTTTCAACTGAAATGTCCATCTGTACAGGATGGCACAAAGAAAGTGACTCCGTCCTAAAATGACGAGGGAGATCCATGCCTGGTGATTGGCCAGTCAGTCACAAAACAGTAGGAATTGATGCCAGCTTGACTTAAAGTAATGAAATCTGTGCATAGAAACACTGCTGGAAGGAGACACACCAAAATGTCAACAGGAGTTCTCTTTCAGGGAGTGAGATTATGAACGATTCTTGTTTTCTTCTTCTTCTTTTTTTTTTGAGATGGAGTATCACTCTGTTGCCCAGGCTGGAGTGCAGTGGCGAGTTCTTGGCTCACTGCAACCTCTGCCTTCCAGGTTCAAGTGATTCTCCTGCCTCAGCCTCCCAAGTAGCTGGGATTACAGGTGCCCACCACCATGCCTGGCTAATTTTTGTATTTTTAGCAGAGATGGGGTTTCACTGTGTTGGCCAGGCTGGTTTCGAACTCCTGACCTCAGGTGATCCGCCTGCCTCAGCCTCCCAAAGTGCTGGGATTACAGGTGTGAGCCACTGTGCCCGGCCCTGTTTTGTTTTCTTGTTTTTTTTATTCATTTTTATTTTTATTTTTATTTATTTATTTTTGAGACGGAGTCTCGCTCTGTCGCCCAGGCTGGAGTGCAGTGGCGCGATCTTGGCTAACTGCAAGCTCCGCCTCCCAGGTTCACGCCATTCTCCTGCCTCAGCCTCCCGAGTAGCTGGGACTACAGGCGCATGCCACCACGCCCGGCTAATTTTTTGTATTTTTAGTAGAGGTGGGGTTTCACTGCGTTAGCCAAGATGGTCTCGATTTCCTGACCTCATGATCTGCCCGCCTCTGCCTCCCAAAGTGCTGGGATTACAGGTGTGAGCCACTGTGCCCGGCCCTGTTTTGTTTTCTTGTTTTTTTAATTTATTTTTATTTTTATTTTTATTTATTTATTTTTGAGACGGAGTCTCGCTCTGTCGCCCAGGCTGGAGTGCAGTGGCGCGATCTCGGCTAACTGCAAGCTCCGCCTCCCAGGTTCACACCATTCTCCTGCCTCAGCCTCCCGAGTAGCTGGGACTACAGGCGCATGCCACCACGCCCGGCTAATTTTTTGTATTTTTAGTAGAGGTGGGGTTTCACTGCGTTAGCCAAGATGGTCTCGATTTCCTGACCTCATGATCCGCCCGCCTCTGCCTCCCAAAGTGCTGGGATTACGGGTGTGAGCCACCGCGCCTGACCTTCTTCTTTTTTTTAAAGAAATGGTCTCATTCTGTCCCCTAGGCTGGAGTGCAGTAGCATGATGTTGGCTCACTACAGCCTCGACCTCCTGGGCTCAAGTGACCCTCCTGCCTCAGCCTCCCCAGTAGGTGGGACTACAGGTGTGCACCATCACACCCAGCTCATTTTTTTTTTTTTTTTTTTTTGAGATGGAGTCTTGGTCTGTTGCCCAGGCTGGAATGCAGTGGCGCCATCTCGGTTCACTGCAACCTCTGCCTCCTGGGTTCAAGCGATTCTCCTGCCTCAGCCTCCTGAGTAGCTGGGATTACAGGTATGTGCCACCACGCCAGGTTAATTTTTGTATTTTTAGTAGGGACGGGGTTTCACCATGTTGGGCAGGCTGGTCTTGAACTCCTGACCTCGTGATCTGCCCGCCTCAGCCTCCTAAAGTGCTATGATTACAGGCGTGAACCACTGCACCTGGCCTGATTTTTAAAATTTTTCGTAAAGAGGAAGTCTCACTATGTTGCCCAAGCTGGTCTTGAAATCTTGGGCTCAGCTGGACGCAGTGGCTCATGCCTGTAATCCCAGCACTTTGGGAGGCCGACGTGGGCGGATCACGAGGTCAGGAGATCGAAACTATCCTGGCTAACACGGTGAAAACTCGTCTCTACTAAAAATACAAAAAAATTAACCGGGCGTGGTGGCGGGTGCCTGTAATCCCAGCTACTCTGAGGCTGAGGCAGGAAAATGGCGTGAACCCAGGAGGCAGAGCTTGCAGTCAGCTGAGATTGCACCACTGCACTCCAGCCTGGGCGACAGAGCAAGACTCTGTCTCAAAAAAAAAAAAAAAAGAAAAGAAAGGAAATCTTGGGCTCAAGTGATCCTCCTGTCTCAGCTTCCCAAAGTGCTGGGATTATGGGCAAGAGCTACTGTGCCCGGCCCACCTGTATGGTTTTCTGTTGTGTGTCTATTTTCTCCCCACCCCTCCCCACAAATCAGTAGGTATTAGTGGTTTGCAAAGAGCAGGCTTTGGGTACATGCAGATGTTGGCATGTATGACAAATGCTCCAGGCTGCACGGATGAGATCGTGCCCTTATGTATGCTCTGTGCTGTGTGCGGCTACGTATCAATGAGTGAAAGCAGAACCCTACAGAAGACCAGAAGGAAGGTGGGAGCTCTGAGCAGACCTTAATGGTATGAGCATCCTGCCCAGCACTTACCCCATATTCCACACCGCATCCCCGCTCCCTGCCCTGCCCACACCTGTAATTGATGTTTCTCCGAGAGTTTATGTCCCAGCTCTGGATGGCAGCCCACATGCGTTCCTCCACCTCCTCACGCTGGGGCTCACAGACGCCCCAGGCCTCGGGTCCATCAAACATGATGTGGGAGAGGACGCCGCAGGCATTGTAGGAAACCTCGATCCCATCGGCCTTGCTCTCCAACAGGTTGCTGCCAGGAGAAAGACAGAAAAATGGAGTCCCACTCCCCCAGTTTCTCTTCAGATACCAGCGGCAGGACCCCAACTTAAAACCAGAAGCAAGAGGTGCTACTTATTTCTTTATCCCATATCGTCTATATACCCAGACTACTTCTAAAGGGATTTGAGGTCATTTAAGATATAATTACAGGCTGGGCGCAGTGGCTCACGCCTGTAATCCCAGCACTTTGGGAGGTCAAGGCAGGTGGATCACGAGGTCCGGAGATCGAGACCATCCTGGCTAACATGGTGAAACCCCATCTCTACTAAAAATACAAAAAAATTAGCTGGGCGTGGTGGCAGGCGCCTGTAGTCTCAGCTACTCGGGAGGCTGAGGCAGGAGAATGGCGTGAACCCGGGAGGCAGAGCTTGCAGTGAGCCTAGATTGTGCCACTGCACTTCAGCCTGGGTGACAGAGCAAGACTCCATCTCAAAAAAAAAAAAAAAGATATAATTACAAAAGGACCACTTACGAAGGATTGAATGAATAAGAAACCACATTATCGAGGGAAAATGACATTTATAGCAAACCTAGGCTAAGAGCAGTTGTGCAACTGAGCAAACGCTAGAGCTCTGAGCATTGTGGCAGCTAAGGCAAAAAGGGAAAGGATTAAAAATACCAACCTGAAGACGCTGATGAACTGGGAAGTCATTAGTTGAGGCCTCAGCTCCTTCACTTCTGCCACATTCCCCAAAAGTCCTAGCATATTCCTATGCAGTTCCTGCTTCTCTGGGAATTCCTGGGAAAAGGAGAGCCAATGGGCCGCATCAATTAGTACTTAATGACTTAGTATCTGGTATTGTTAACCAAAAAGCTTCATGGGCATCTGGCCATGCCAACTAGACAAAGAGGGGGCATATATGCTGCCCTCCTACCCTCCAATGCTCCTAGGTCAGTGCTGGGTACACACACTAAGGAATTAAAGGGGTGGGATTGCTTGCCACAAAGACAAAGGTTGATTAGAGATCTGACCTATGGGACAGACGTGGTTCTGTTCACCAAAGCTCAAAATACTAGTTTAAGGGACCCTCCTAGAAATTAAAGCAGGAAAACAGAGCATGTGTTTAAGGATGAACAGACCCGCTGTCCAGCTCGTAGCGTAGTGGGCTCTGGCCAGCTGTGGGCAGCCTGAGAACAACGGCCGAGGAGACAGGGAGGGGCTTTCCCTGGGAGTGGGGGCTCTCAGGAGGCCCCACCAGGCCATCTGGGTCTGGAGCTTCTGTCAGCAGCAAATCCTGGGTGGGTGGGCCTGAGTCTGTCCCCACTGCCCTTCTCCAGGAAGCATGGGTGAGGGGTGCTGCGGATTTGGTTGGTGGGGAGCCTAGGGACAGAAGAGGGGCCATGTGGGCAGCTGAGGCAGCTGCTGCTGCAGGAGGTGGACACTACCTTCAGGCAGTCCAGGAAGAGCTTCATGCCGTTGAAATTGAGGAACATCTCGCAGTTGTCAGGAGTTTCATCTGTGATGTTCCACAGGGCACTCCAGGAGAACTCCATGACCTGGTCACACTGTGAGGGCAGGGCAGGGCTCAGCCAAGGCTCCTGGTACCCGGGGAGGGGGGCCCCTGACAAAACACAGACCTCCCCCAGGGGCAGCCCAGGCCCCTTGCGAGGTGGGGAAAGGGTAGCGTGGCTTCGTGAAGACTTGACTTACTGTCTTGTCCAGCAGCTTCTTCTGAATCAGCTTCAGCATGGTCTGCAGGCAGGGACAAGAGTCTGCTAGAGTGCTGGGGCTGAAGAACTCCCACCCCCACGAACCCAAGATGGAGGGGAGGCTCAGCAACGCCATGGCTAGTTCAGGAGTCTTGACGAGATCAAGTCTCCCTATATTTGGGGGAGGCTATTTGAAGGCATCCACGCCTCAGCCCCTTGGTATTGGCATTAGCAGGCCCGGGTGCCGTTCCTGGCCCTCGGGTGACTCCCCTGTGACTTTGGGCACAGCCCTTCCCGCTGGGGCTTGAGCTTCGCTGCCATCAAATGAGACCAGAAGCTCTTGAGCTCCTTTGTCATTCTTTCCTTCCTTTCACCAGTGATATTTATCATCTCCCCACTGGCCTCCAGGGCCCATGCCAAGAAGTGCTGGGGACACAATGACGGAAGGACAGCATGGCATCTTTCCCTACAGAGCTTATGAAAGCAGGATGAGCGCAGGGACTGGGACAGGATGACAGCATGCTCTAGGTGGAAGAAATCTATGAGGGCATCAGCAACATTCAGCATTAAGAAATTCTTCCTTTGGTCTAGCCTAAATCCCTCATGCTTCAGCACACTCTCCCTCTCCGACTCCCAGCCCCAGGCCCTGCTCTGAGACTCTCGCTCAGGGTAGAGGGGTGGGGGAGAGCAGTGAGGCTCAGGAGGAAGGGGGCAGCGCCCCCCACACGTACCACGACAAAGCCCATCTTGCCCACGGCCTCCTTGTGGTCGTTGTCTACCTGGCAGACCAGGGCATTGCACAGGTGCACGGCGATCCGCTGGATAGACTCGTCCTGCCGCGTGGGGTTGAGGATGCTGAGCAGGAGCTCGTTGACCCGGCGGTACTGGAATTCCAGCTCCTCGGGGATGCTGAAGTTGCAGAGCGTCAGGCAGCAGTTCCGCTGCACCTGGGCCGGGACAGGACACAAGTGGGGCACATTCAGGGTCAGACTCAGGAGCAGGGCTCTAGGAACTATCTAGAGGTATGAGCTCATCCAGAGTTGTGGCAGTCCAGCCCGGTTTTCTGGAAGAGGAGGCTATACAAGTCTTCTCTAAAAAATGTTTTTTAAAAATGTGAAATATTCATACAGAAGAATGCATAAAACACAAATGTATAGTTTTATAAATGACATAAAGTGAACTCAATGTAACCACCACCTGGGTCAAGAAACAGAACACTGTCAGCACCCCGAAGTCCCCACTGTCCCTTCCTGATCATAAGACCCTTAGCCCTTCGACCCCCCTAGAGAGAACCACTACAATATCTCTGCTTTTCTTTTTCTTTCTTTTTTTTTTTTGAGATGGAGTGCTGCTCTGTCGCCCAGGCTGGAGTGCAGTGGACCTATCTCGGCTCACTGCAACCTTCACCTCCCTGGTTCAAACAATTCTCCTGCCTCAGCCTCCTGAGTAGCTGGGATTACAGGCGTGCCACCATGCCCGGCTAATTTTTGTATTTTTAGTAGAGATGGGGTTTCCCCATGTTGGCCAGGCTGGTCTTGTACTCCTAGCCTCAAGTGATCTGCCTGCCTTGGCCTCCCAAAGTGTTGGGATTACAGGTGTGAGCCACTGCGCCCAGCCTTCTTTTATTTATTTATTTTTTTTGAGACAGGGTCTTGCTCTGCTACTCAGGCTGGAGCACAGTGGCACCATCATGGCTCACTGCAGCATCAACCTCTGGGGCTCAAGTGATCCTCCCTCCTCAGCATCCTGAGTAGCTGGTACTACAGCTGTGTGCCACCATATGCGCAGCTATTTTGTTTTTTGTAGAGATGGGGTCTCACTATGTTGTCCAGGCTGGCCTCTACTTCCTGGGTTCAAGAGATCCTCCTACCTCAGCCTCCCAGAGTTCTGGGATTCTAGGCATGAGCAACTGCACCTGGCCCCTGCTTTCTTTAATTTTATTTAGTTTTTGAGACAGGGTCTCACTCTGTCACCCAGGCTGGAGTGTGGAGGCACAATGTCAGCTCACTGCAACCTCCCCCTCCCGGGCTCAAGTGATCCTCCCACCTCAGCCTCCCTAGTAGCTGGGATTACAGGCGCCTCCAATGGCCCCTGCTTTTTTTTTTTTTTTTTTTTTTTGAGATGGAGTCTCACTCTGTCGCCCAGGGTGGAGTGCAGTGGCGTGATCTCAGCTCACTGCAACCCCTGCCTGTGGCGTTCAAGCAATTTTCTACCTCAGCCTCCTGAGTAGCTAGGATTACAGGCAACTGCCACCACGCCCAGCTAATTTTTTGTATTTTTAGTAGAGATGGGGTTTCACCGTCTTGGCCAGGATGGTCTTGAACTTCTGACCTCGTGATCCACCCACCTCGGCCTCCCAAAGTGCTGGGATTACAGGCATGAGCCACTGTGCCCAGCATTTTGTTTTGAGATGGAGTCTCGCTCTGTTGCCAAGCTGGAGTCCAGTGGTGCAATCTTGCAGTGGCTCACTGCAACCTCTGCCTCGCGGGTCCAAGCGATTCTCCTGCCTCAGCCTCCCAAGTAGCTGGGATTATAGGTGCGTGCTACCATGCCCAGCTAATTTTTTTGTATTTTTAGTAGAGACAGGGTTTTACCATGTTGGCCAAGATGGTCTTGATCTCATGATCCACCAGCCTCAGCCTCCCAAAGTGCTGGGATTACAGATGTGAGCCACCGTGCAGGGCCTTTTTTTTTTTTTGGATGGAGTTTCACTCTTGTTGCCAAGGCTGGAATGCAATGGCGTGATCTCAGCTCACTGCAACCTCTGCCTCCCAGGTTCAAGTGATTCTTCTGCCTCAGCCTCCCAAGTAGCTGCGATTACAGGCTCCAGCCACCATGCCTGGCTAATTTTTGTATTTTTAGTAGAGACAGGGTTTCGTCATGTTGGCCAGGCTGGTCTGGAACTCCTGACCTCAGGTGATCCACCTGCCTCAGCCTCCCAAAGTGCTGGGATTACAGGCATGAGCCACCATGCCTGGCTGGCCCCCGCTTTTTATAGAGATATTCTATAGGTTTGCAAGATTAACTGTTGTTATACGTAGCTGAAATGCATTCATTTTTCATTACAGTATAGTATTCCATCATGACACCCCAATTTTTTCATCCATTCTACTGCTGATGGATGTCTGGGTGACTCTAAGAGTTGGCTACTGTGAGCCATGTATTATACCTGCATCCTGGTGACCATAAGCATGGGTTTCTTTAGGGCACACATGCCTGGTATGACTTCTGGGTCACAAGATGTACATGTCTTCAACCTTTTTAGGTAACACTAGACTGTTTTCCGCAGTGGCTTTAGCAGTTTACACTCCTACCAGCAGTGTAGGAGCTCTCCAGTTGCTCTACATCCTCAGTTTTCTTTGTACTGTCTGCAGGTTTATTTGCTTATTGATTTGTTTGGGTTTTTTTTTTTTTTTTTTTGAGACAGTGTCTGATTCTGTTGCCCAGGCTGGACCATAGCTCATTGCAGCCTCAAAATCCTGGGCTGAAGCAATCCTCCTACTTCAGCCTCCTGAGTAGCTGGGACTACAGGCGCACATCACCACATCTGGCCAATTAAAAAAAAATTTTTTTTTTGAGATGGAGTCTCATTTACTCTTATCACCCAGGCTGGAGTGCAGTGGCATGATCCTGGCTCGCTGCAACCACCTTCCAGTGCAAGCGATTCTCCCGTCTCAGCCTCCCAAGTAGCTGGGATTACAGGCACCCACCATCATGCCTGGCTAATTTTTGTATTTTAGTAGAGACAGGGTTTCACCATGTTGGCCAGGCTGGTCTTGAACTCCTGACCTCAGATGATCCACCCGCCTCAGCCTCCCAAAGTGCTGGGATTATAGGTGTGAGCCACCTTGCCTGGCCTTTTATTTATTTTTAAGACGCGGTCTCTCTGTTGCCCAGCCTGGAGTACAGTGGTGCCATCATAGCTCACTGCAGCCTCGAACTCCTGGGCTCAAGAAATTTTTCACACCTCAGCTTCCAAGGTGGCTGGGATTTCTGGGTATGTGCCATCACACCCCGCCTTTTTTTCAGTTTAAATTTTATTTTATTTATTTATTTTTTGAGACAGAGTCTCACTTTGTCACCCAGGCTGGAGTGCACTGGCACCATCTTGGTTCACTGCAACCTCTACCTTCTGGGTTCAAGCAATCCTCCTGCCTCAGCCTCCCTAGTAGCTGGGATTACAGGCACACACCACCACGCCCGGCTAATTTTTGTATTTTTGGTAGAGATGGAGTTTCGCCATGTTGGCCAGGATGGTCCAGAACTCCTTGCCTCAAGTGATCCATCTGCCTCAGCCTCCCAAAGTGTGAGGATTACAGGCATGAGCCACTGTGCCCGGCCTTTTTCAAAAAAATTTTACAAGTGAGGATATATCTTTTTCCTCTAAGAACAGTTCTAATTGCAGAATGGCTAGGTCAAAAGATAGATGCATTTAGAATTTTGGCAGGTTCTGCTGGTTGCCCTTCACAAAGGTTGCACGATTCATCCCTTACCAGTAGACAGGGTGTGAGGGTGCTCTTCCCTATCTTTGCAACACTGGGTATCACCAAGCTCTTGAGATGAAATGTGACTTCCTCTTATTTTGATTTCCATTTCTGTGACAGATTTATTAATTCATTTGGGAGTCTCCAACTAGTCTTCTTTTTCTCTCTTCTTTTCCTTTTTTTTTTTTTTTTTTTTAAGACAGGGTCTCCTCTGTTGCCCAGGCTAGAGTGCAGTGGTAGAATCTTAGTTCACTGACTGCAGCCTCCACTTCCCAGGCTCAAGCAATCATCCCACCTCGGCCTCCGAGTAGCTGGGGCTACAGACGCATAGCACCACACCCAGCTAATTAAAAAAAAATTTTTTTTTTTTGAGACAGAGTTTCACTCTCGTCACCCAGGTTGGAGTGCAATGGTACCATCTCGGCTCACTGCAACCTCTGCCTCCTGGGTTCAAGAGATTCTCCTGCCTCAGCCTCCTGAGTAGCTGGGATTACAGGTGCCCACCGGCACACTCAGCTAATTTTTGTATTTTAAGTAGAGACCGGGTTTCACCATGTTGGCCAGGCTGGTCTTGAATTCCTGACCTCAGGTGATCCACCCACCTTGGCCTCCCAAAGTGCTGGGATTATAGGCATGAGCCACTGCGCCGGCCTAAAAAAATTTTTTTGTAGAGAAGGGGCAGGTGGGCAGGTCACTTGAGGCTAGGAGGAGTTCCAGACCAGCCTGGCCAACATGGTGAAATCTTGTCTCTATTAAAAATACAAAAATTAGCCAGGCGTGGTGGCATGCTCCTGTAGTCCCAGCTACTCAGGACACTGAGGCAGGAGAATCGCTTGAACCTGGGAGGTAGAGGTTGTAGTGAGCCGAGATCACACCACTACACTCCAGCCTGAGCAACAGAGACTCTGTCTCAAAAAAAAAGAAAAGAAAAAATATACACACACACATACTGCCCCTGAAATTCTACAACTCTACTTACAGAAATGTATTATAAGGATAACTAATTAAGTATAATTAACAAAGCATTGCTTGAGAGAGCAAAAGATGAAACAGCAACCTAAATTATTTGGCCCTGGGGGCTGTTTCACACACTGGGCAGAGCCTTGACCTTGGCCACTCCCTCCAAGCTCCAGCAGAGTCCTCCACACAGTGGCCTCTCCCTGGATGAGGACACTGAACATATGCTGGTGTCAGCAGTCATGAAAGTGAGCCTTAACACCAGCTGCATCTAGAGGAGGAGAGGTGAGATTGTAAGTGGCTTTCGCTCTATTTAATACATTCTTGTATCACTTGAATTTTTTCATCTTTTAAGCATTTAGGTATCTTTTTTTTGTTTTTGGTTTTGTTTTGACACAGAGTCTTGCTTCGTCACCCAGACTGGAGTGCAGTGGCACGATCTCAGCTCACTGAAATCTCCACCTCCCGAGTTTAAGCAATTCTCCTGCCTTAGCCTCCGGAGTGGAGTAGCTGGGACTACAGGCACCCGCCAGTATGCCCGGCTAATTTTTGTAGTTTTAGTAGAGATAGGGTTTCACCATGTTGGCCAGGCTGGTCTGGAACTCCTGATCTTAAGTGATCTGCCTTCCTCGGCCCTCCAAAGTGCTGAGATTACAGGTGAGGGCCACCACACCTGGCTTAAGCATTAGATATCTTTTGTAATCAGAAAAGAAACATTATTAAACAATTTTTGGGCCTAGTGCAATGGCTCATGCTTATAATCCCAGCACTTTGGGAAACCAAGGCAGGAGGATCACTTGAGCTAGGGGATAGCAAGGGCAACACAGCGAGACCCCGTCACCACATACACACAGACACACACAAATACAAATTAGCTGACTGTGGGCCGGGCATGGTGGCTCATGCCTATAATCCCAGCACTTTGGGAGGCCGACGCAGGCGGATCATGAGGTCAGGAGATTGAGACCATCCTGGCTAACACAGTGAAACCCCGTCTCCACTAAAAATACAAAAACTTAGCGTGGCAGGGTGGCGGGCGCCTGTAGTCCCAGCTACTCGGGAGGCTGAGGCAGAATAGCGTGAACCTGGGAGGTGGAGCTTGCAGTGAGCCGAGATCGTGCCACTTAACTCCAGCCTGGGTGACAGAGCGAGACTCTGTCTCAAAAAAAAAAAAAAAAAAATTAGTTGGGTGTGGTGGTACATGCCTTGTTGTCCCAGCTACTGGGGAGGCTGAGTTGGGAGGCTTGCTTGAGCCTGAGAGGTGGAGGCCACAGTGAGCTGTGATCATGCCGCTATACTCCAGCCTTGGCAACAAAGTGAGACCCTGTGTATTTGTTTTTGTTTTTCTTTGTGACAGAGTCTCCCTCTGTCACCCAGGCTGGAGTTCGGTGGCTTGATCTCAGCTCACTGCAACCTCTACCTCCTGGGTTCCAGCAATTCTCCTGCCTCAGCCTCCCAGGTAGCTGGGACTACAGGCGCCTGCCACCATGCCCAGCTAATTTGTGTATTTTTAGTAGAGACAGGGTTTCACCACGTTGGCCAGGCTGGTCTCGAACTCCTGACTTCAGGTGATCCGCCTGCCTCAGCCTCCCAAAGTGCTGGGATTACAGGTGTGAGCCACCGTGGCCAGCTAATTTTTGTATTTTTTAGTAGAGATGGGGTTTCGCCATGTTGGCCAGGCTGGTCTCAAACTCCTGACCTCATGATCTGCCTGCCTCAGCCTCCCAAAGTGCTGGGATTACAGGCGTGAGCCACCACGCCCAGCCTGAGACCCTGTCTTAATTAAAATATATATATATATATTGTGGCTGAGCACGGTGGCTCACGCCTGTAATCCCAGCACTTTGGGAGGCCGAGGCAGGTGGATCACCTGAGCTCAGGAGTTCGAGACCAGCCTGGCCAACATGGCGAAACCCTGTCTCTACTAAAAATACAAATATTAGCCTGGCATGGTGGCACGTGCCTGTAGTCCCAGCCACTAGGGGGGCTGAGGCAGGAGGATCACTTGAACTCAGGAGGCAGAGATTGCAGTGAGCCAAGATTGTGCACTGCACTCCAGCCTGGGCGACAGAGTAAGACTCCATCTCGAAAAAATAAATAAATAAAAATTATTGTTTGATCCTTTCGTAGTTTATAAGAGTGATGATTAGGTCTTCATGCTCATGTGTGAAATGTGCCTC
Source organism: Homo sapiens (assembly GCF_000001405.40). Classification (NCBI taxonomy): domain Eukaryota; kingdom Metazoa; phylum Chordata; class Mammalia; order Primates; family Hominidae; genus Homo; species Homo sapiens. The sequence continues at coordinate 128,749,420 of NC_000009.12, forward strand.
CCTCAAACCATGTTAGGACGTTGGCATATTGCCCATCTGAAATGAAAAAAAGTTTTTGTTATATAAATATGTTGGCTGGGTGTGGTGGCACATGCTTGTAATCCCAGCACTTTGGGAGGCTGAGGCAGGTGGATCACCTGAGGTCAGGAGTTCAACACCAGACTGACCAACATGGCAAAACCCCGTCTCTACTAAAAATACATAAATTAGGCAGGTGTGGTGGCATGCACCTGTAGTCCCAGCTACTTGGGAGGCTGAGGCAGGAGAATCACTTGAACCCGCCACTGCTCTCCAGCTTGGGCAACAGAGCAAGACTCCATCTGAAAAAAAAATTTGTTGGCTGGCCAGGCGCAGTGGCTCACATCTGTAATCCCAGCACTTTGGGAGGCTGAGGCAGGTGGATCACCTGAGGTCAGGAGTTCGAGACCAGCCTGACCAATATGGTAAAATCCCATCTTTACTAAAAATACAAAATTAGCCGGGCATGGTGGCGCATGCCTGTAATCCCAGCTACTCGGGAGGCTGAGACAGGAGAATCACTTGAACCCGGGAGGTGGAAGTTGCAGTGACCCGAGATTGTGCCATTGCACTCCAGCCTGGGCAATAAGAGTGAAACTCCATCTCAAAAAAGAAAAAAATTGTTGGCGGATAAGGGAGATGTTCATATTCATGTGACAACACAGTTGAAGTAAAAATCCACCATATACAAACAGTATGCAGTTTGTGTATCCCATTTACAAAATATGTGTGCATAGGCTAAAATTCACAATTGATATCCCATGTTAATGGTGCCTGTCTCTGGGTAGTGGGTTTATGGGTGATTTTTATTTTCTGTATATCTGTAATTATAACTTTTCTATAATAAAGGCTTTTATTACTTTTATATTAAAAGCAGCTGTTGGTAAGAAATCCCCCAGCAGAGTGTATGGGCAGAAGGGCTGAGGAGACGGCACAGGCAGGGAGAAGGGCAGGGTCCCTGGGCCCCCACCCCCACATGGGGCAGGGAGGAGGATGGAGGGCAGCCAGGAGTGATGGACTGTGGGAAGGGCCAGGTCCCAAGAGTCAGGGAGTGCTGCTGTGGGAAAGGGAGCTGGGACAGATGCAGCCCAGAGCCGGGGGAGCCCTAGCGGGACGCAAGAAGCAGGAAAGGGGTGGCTGGGCCAGAGCATGCGGGGCCGTGGCGGGTGGGGGCTCACCGTCACCTCCTGGTAGGATTCCATGCCATTCAGCACCACCTGGATAACCTGCCGGCGCAGCTTCACACTCTGCTCTGAGCGGTACTCGGAATTTGTTAGGTAGAAGAGAGCGGCGCTGCCTGTCACTTGAATGTTCCTGTCATATTTGTGGCACTTGAGGGCCGTGATGACCAGCTGTATGAAGACAAGGGGGACCTGGGCTGGCAAGTGCAGGGAGAGGCCTGGGCTCTGCAAGGGGCTGGAACAGGCTCTCTGGGGCAAGGTTTAGCCTGGTCTTGCTCTCTAAAGGCAGAAGTGGGGCCTGGGGAGCAGACACCAGGGTGGGGACCAAACAAGGCCAGTGCTGAAGCAAGTCAAGTGCTGTGAGGCCCAGGCTGGGGTTCGGGTCCTGGGGCCCTGGGGACAGGGTGCAGAAGGACACAGGCTCTGGGGACACGGCTCAGCCAAGCCCGGCAACCTCCAGGTGGGGAGGGACAGGAGGCCAAGGCCCCAGGCTTGGAGCTGACCTTCAGGGCCCGCAGCAGCTGGTTGCAACGCTCGATGCGGGCGATGTCAAAAAGCAAGTTGATGGCCCGCGAGGTGATCTCAGGCCGGTGCTCCGTGTAGGCCTCGATGGCATTCAGCACCTGCTCTTCGTTTTTGTCACCACTTACCTGCGGGTGGGACACGCTCAGAACAACCCAGCAGAGGCCAAGGGCTGGGATGCCAGATCCCAGCTCAGTCTCCAGCCCCAGAATCCAGCTCCTTCTCTCTCCCAAGGCTCCCTGGCCCAGACCCATCCCACTTCCACTGCTCACTTTGTAGGCTGGAATGTGCGTGAGGCGGCACAGAGAGTTCTCAAAGAGCCCGAGGAACTGCAGCGGCCTCTTCAGAGCCCGGAAAGGTATGATGCTGCTCTTGGAAGGCTCAATGCTGGGGAAAGAGGGTGCCGGTGTCAGTGGCTTGGGACCCAGGCCTGAGCTGGGCCTCCCCACTGGGGGTGGTGAGGCATTTCCTTGCTTTCTCTTCTAGGCCCTCCAACCTCATCCCCTACTCCTTTTGTTTTTAATGGTAGGGGACATAAGCACCACCTCCTGATGGAAGCATGGCAAAGCCACATAGTAGGGGAACACATAGGATGGGCAATGCAGCCACCTTTAGAAACCACCTGCCATTCTAGTAAGGACATGGCACCTTTAGGTCTCACCAACAATCACAAAGGGACAAGCTCAACTGAACACCATTAAAGCAGGCTGGGGCCAGGGCTTATGGGTGGCCAGTTACAGCTGGTAGGGTTTGGTCAAACTTCTCAACCAACCAATCCAAGAACCGACCTATGTCCAGCAATACTCCATAGGTGGCAGACACTGCCAGCCTTGCCTCTTCCCCCCATGGCACTGTGCTCTGGTCAGGCTGAGTGTTGGGTAGTTCCCCTGTCGCTCCTCATGCTCTCACCTACTGGCCTTTGCAGGTGCTGTTCCCTCTGCTAGAACACGCTTCCTCTGGCAGAGGCAGAATGAGCTTTCAGGACAGCCAGGATGCGTCCCTCCTCCTCCTTCCTTCCTGATCCTCAGGCCACACCGGGGCCCTGGATTGCCCCTACCATAGCCCTTGTAATGACTTGATTGTCCCCACCAGCTCACACAGCCTCCAAGAGGGCAGGACCTGATTTGTTTCTTTATCTCTAGCACCCAGCACAGCACTTGGCAGAGGGGTACTTGGCAAATACTTTCTTTTTTTTTTTTTTTGAGACAAAGTCCCACTTTGTTGCCTAGGCTGGAGTGCAGTGGCGCGATCTCAGCTCACTGCAGGCTCCGCCTCCCGGCTTCAATTCTCATACCTTAGCCTCCCAAGTAGCTGGGACTACAGGTGTCTGCCACCATGTCCAGCTAAATTTTGTATTTTTAGTAGAAATGGGGTTTCACCATGTTGGCCAGGCTGGTCTCTAACTCCTGGCCTCAAGTGATCCGCCCATCTTGGCTTCCCAAAGTGCTGGGATTACAGGCGTGAGCCACTGCGCCAGCCTAAATGCCTGTTGAATGACACCCTACCAGTAGCCATGGAGGCTGGGGCCCCACCTGGTCTGCCCCGCTTCCTCTTCCATCTTGGAGATGCTGCAGTTCTCTAGGATCATGTGGCCAGAGATGTCCAGGGACATTAGGTTCCCCAGCTTCTGCACAAAGAGGCTCAGCACCTCCCGAGTCAGCTTGAACTTGTAGTAGCTGGAGAGGCGGTCTCGGGAGATGTCCAGGTGTCTGAAGATTGGGGTAGGGGGTGCAGGTTAGGAGCTGGGTACAGGGTGGGGCTGCCTTGCAGATCCCAGCTCCTTTAGTCTGTAGCAGGGGAGGGCCCATTCCTGCCACAACTTCCCCAGGGCATTCTGGGAAGAAACCCCAAACAGCCCCAATCCAGCTGAAACACTGGGTTTAAGGAATGGGACTGTGTCTTCATCCCCACCCTCTGCCTAGCCAAGCGCTCCTGAACCCTGAGGGCGTGACAACACCCACCTCTACTCCTCCCCACCTGCCCCCCAAACCCCACCCTGGTGAGCTCTGGGCCAGGAGCTCACCGCAGCTTGTGCAGCTGCACGATGACCCGGATGTGGTCGTCGGACAGGTCCATGTTGTAGAGGACGAGGGACACCAGGCTGTCTTTCCACTGGGTGAGGAAGGCGGCGTCGCTCGTCTGAATGCCTGAGAGGTCCAAGGCAGCCAGGGAGTTAAGCGGCCGCAGCAGGGACTCCACAGGGACCCAATCAATCATGCGGCCCAAGTTGAGGAAGCGGAGGCGGCTGAAGCCCTCGAAGGTGAAATCCTTAACCAGCACCTGGCAGGTGGGGTTGACGAGGTACTCATCTTCACAGCCCCCTGGGTTCTCCTCCTCATAGAAAATGTTTGTACAGCCGAAGAGGCTCAAGGACACCAGGGTGTGGCTGAAGCTCCTCAGTGTCTGCAGGCTCTTGGCGGACAGCTTCTCGCAGTTAGTCAGGTACAGCTCCACCAGGTCCTGGGAGTGGGCACAGCTCCATCATCATCACCACCCTTGCCCCTTCCCCCGGCCCCAGGCCTTGCCCTGGGCTACAGGTGGGTTGGAAAGGGGGATGTGCACAGTCACGGTGCACACTGGCTGGGCTGGGGATGGCTGGGCTGGAGGCGAGCAGCCTGGCCCCTGCTTGGTGTGGGCCCTCCTGGCGCTGTGGCGGGGCAGGTCTCACCTGCTTGCGGATGGCCTCCAGGTCCTGGTCCTGCACCAGGTCCTCACGGAGGTGGATCCGCGTGAGGCGGGTGCTGCGGGGGTCCGAAAAGAGGCTGAAGAAGCTCTCGTGTGGCTCGAAGTTACAGGCAGCGTTCACCAGCTCCACATACCTGGGAGAGAAAAAAGCCTGGCTCAGGAGAGGGCCACAGGGACTCTCATCCTCGCTTCAAAGCCAAGCCCTCCTCCCCCTGAAGCTTTCTTGGATCACCCCAAGTAGCAACCTCCTTCTCCTAAGAGTATCTGGTCAGATCCTGACTAAACTACCAGTAAGATTAAGGGTGCCCAGGAACCAGGAATCTAAAGGCAGCTCTCTGGGAGACCTTCTAGGTGATGCAGGCGCCATCTCTCCCAGTGCACATGCCTGTCACACAGCCTCCACGCACGCACACTGCAGGGGCAGCAGCCCCACTGGCATGGCCACTCTCGTCACCTTCTTTAAGCCCCTCCTGCGACCCTTTTAAACAGGCAAACTAAGCCAAGTAGTTCAGAGTTCCCAGCTGGGTACAGGACAAGCCCTTAATGAAGCCCTGTTGAGACATCAGCTCATGCAAGAATCCTGGTCTGCTGGGAAATGCTTTGGATTCAAACGCTTTAGACTCTAAATCTTGGCTTGGCTGCTTCCTACCTGGGCAACTTCACACAAGTAAATGAACTTTCCCAGACCTCAGTTTCTTCATCTGTAAAGTGGATATAACTATGGCCTGCAAAGTGTCCAACCTAAAGCCTGACCCACGGTAAATGCTCAGGACGTTATTACAGGTCCACCTCTGTCCTCAGGCCCACACAGGCTTCTAGTTTCCTATGCAGCTGTCTAATAATTTCCCTTCTGGGAATCTTTTTCTTTTTTTTTTTTTGGTAGAGACAAGGTCTCGCTATGTCACCCAGGCTGATCTTGAATTTCTGGTCTCAAGTGATCCTCCTGTCTTGGCTTCCCAAAATGCTGGAATTACACGTGTGAGCCACCATGCCTGGCCACCATCTGGGCCTGTAGATTGAACTCCCAGCATTCAGTGACTGCATAGCATGCTTCTAGGAGCCCCTAGGAGTGGGGAGGCCCTCGGAGGGCCATTCAGATTTTCTGGATGATTCACTCCCTGATCATGGATCCGTTATTCTGGCACCGGCATGTACATGCATATGTGGCCATGCTCACTGAATTCACAAGCACAGGTATGTGCATGTGAATGTACATACACGTGTGGGGCAACACTTAATTCCTTCATTTATATGCAGATTTTGACACAATCACATCTCTAAATGCACACATGCAGTTTCACAGTCAGAAATAACCTGTGCTGCATAAGCTTACATGTGTACACACACCCATGCCTTCACGTGCACACCCCTCCACACACACACCAACACACACACATATACACCTTTACGGTTATGGATACACCACTATTCTCTTGCAGCCATGAACATCCATGTGCACACACACACACCCTCACACATTCATCTCCATAGCTACTCCCCACATAGTGCACACACGGTCCCAATCTCTCTATACACATTCATGGTAAGACCCCTGCCCCTCCTCAGCCCTGGGTCTGCTCACTCATTGACGAGCCGGTCACAGATCTCGCTGGGCAAGAAGATGTCCGGATGTAGCCGCAGGGTCTCCTTGTCCAGCAGGTAGCCCAGGGTGCCATCCAGGTTGCGCAAGCAGAAGTCAGTACAGAGGGCCATCAGCGACTCGGGAGTGTCGGACGCCATGCTGGGGGCAAGCAGGTGGGCCACTCCAGGACAAGGATCCCCAGGGGCAACAGTGATTCCTGAATACTCACAGGATCATTGGCAGAGCCACTGCCTGGGGAGTGGACAAGATGCCAAGTGAGCCACACACAAGGGCTAGAACTATCAGTGGTCCCATGTCCACGCTCTGAGTAGGGAAACTGAGACCACACTCCAATTAGCAGCTTAGCAGGGCCAGGCCCAGGTCTCCTGACTCCTTCTTTCACCCGCCTCTGCTGTGCCACTATCTATGCACAATTTGACCTGCAAAGAACATGGAGCCTTGTCCAAGCACTTATTTGCCTGTGAGCAGACGTGTGTGCTGGGGACCCAGTGCTTGGGTGGGGATAATACAGATTTTCACTCTTCAGCTTCCCACAGTCTGAAGAGCTACACTGGGGTGTTCCATGCTGTGCAGTACTTCCTAACCTGTATACAGCTATGATTGATTGAGCACTTAGGCTGTGCCAGGGCTTAATAGACATATAGACATGATATCACTGAATCTCATGGTGTCTGATTAAAAATGAAGGCTCCTTACAAGAGCAATGAAAACATATGTCCACATAGAAACTCAGACGTGGCCGAGCACGGTGGCTCATGCCTGTAATCCCAGAACTTTGAGAGGCCGAGGTGGGCGGATCACAAGGTCAGGAGATGGAGACCATCCTGGCTAACACGGTGAAACCCTGTCTCTACTAAAAATACAGAAATTAGCCGGGCGTGGTGGCGGGCGCCTGTAGTCCCAGCTACTCGGGAGGCTGAGGCAGGAGAATGGCGGAGTGCGGTGAGCCGACACCCTGCCACTGCACTCCAGCCTGGGCGACAGAGTGAGACTCCATCTCAAAAAAAGAAACTCAGATGTGACCATTCATAGCAACATTATTTGTAAGAGCCAAAAAGTGGAAACAACCCAAATGTCCTTCAACTGGTGAACGGATCAACAAAATGTTACATATTCATACAGTGGAATATTATTCAGTCATAAAAAGTAGTGATCCATGCTATAATGTTGGACCTTGAAAACATTATGTTGAGTGAAAGAAATCAGTTTAAAAAAAAAGTCATATACCGTATGATTCCTCTGATAGAAATGTCCAGTGACGATAGGCAAATCTATAGAGACAGAAGTAGGTTTGTGGTTGGGAAAAAGGAGAGTAACTGCCAGTGTGTATGGAGTTTCTTTTTGGGGTGATGAAAATGGTCTAAAATTGACAGTGGTCATGGGTGCACTCTATGAATATACTAAAAATCATGGAATTATATACTTTATATGGATGAATTGTGTGACATGTGAATTATATATATCTCAGTAAAACTGTTATTTAAAAAAGTGAAGTCTCCTACTAGCTTCATGACTTTAGCACAGCTAAAGATTTCCTAACTAGGACTCAAGAGGTGCTAACCAGGAGGTAGAAAATCATAAACTTATCTACACCAAAGCAAAGAAACTTCTGTTCATGCATACACAAAAATTAATTTGAGATAGATGATAGATATAAATGTGAAAGTTAAAACAATAAGGTTTCTAGAAGAAAACACAGGAGTATATCTTTATGACTTTAGGCAATGATTTCACATGAAGAGAAAAAAACTGATAAATTGGACTGCCTCAAAATTAAAAACTCTGTTCATCAAAAGTTACCACACAGAGCCTGGGTGCAGTGGCTCAAGCCTGTAATCCCAGCACTTTGGGAGCCAGAGGTGGGCAAATTGCTTGAGCCCAGGAGTTCAAGACCAGCCTGGGCAACATGGCGAAACCCTGTCTCTACAAAAAATACAAAAAAAATTAGCTGGGCACGGTGCCATGTGCCTGTAGTCCCAGCTACTTGGGAGGCTGAGGTGGGAGGATCACCTGAGCCCAAGAGGTTGAGGCTGCAGTGAGCTGTGATTGCACCACCGCGCTCTAGCCTGGGCAACAAAGCCAGACCCTGTCTCAAAAAAAAAAAAAGAGTGAAAGATTTGAACAGGCATTTCATGAAGGAAGATAGTGAAACAGACAACAAACATGTGAAAAGCACTCAGCTTCTTTACTATTAGGGAAGTGCACAGTAAAGCCACAATGAGATGCCATTTTCCACACGCCCACTGGCTCAACTGAACGCAACTGCAGCAACAACAACATGGGCAATACCTGGCATTGGGGAAGACGGGGAACAGTGGGAAATCTCCCACAGGGCTGGCGGCAGGGCAAATTGGTGTGAACTGGGAATACAATGGGAACAGTGTTTAACACTATTCACTATTTACTAAAGCTGAACGTACATACGTTCAACACTTAGCAACTTGACTCCTAGGTATATACCCAACAGAAATGCATAAGTAAATGTGCACCAAAAGATCTACACTAGAATGTTCACAGCAGCACTATTTGTAATGGCCAAAACCAGAAAAGAACCTACATGTCCACTGGCATTGGAATGGATAATTATGGTATATTCATCTACTAAATACTGCATGGCAATGAGAAGGCACAAACTCCTGTTAACAGCTTGGATAAGGCTTACAATGTTTTTTTTTTTTAATTTTTAGTTTAGGTTTTTTTTTTTTTTTTGAGATAGAGTCTTGCTCTGTTGCTCAGGCTGGAGTGCAGTGGCATGATCTTGGCTCACTGCAACCTCCGCCTCCTGGGTTCAAGTGATTCTCCTGCCTCAGCCTCCCGAATACCTGGGATTACAAGCGTGCGCCATCACGCCGGGCTAATTTTTGTATTTTTTTCTTTTAGTAGAGACAGGGTTATCCATGTTGGCCAGGCTGGTCTCGAACTCCTGACCTCAGGTGATCTGCTCGCCTTGGCCTCCCAAAGTGCTGGGATTACAGGTGTGAGCCACTGTGCCTGGCCTTAATTTTTAATTTTTGAGATAGAATCTCATTACCTGGGCTGGAGTGCAGTGGTGTGATCTTGGCTCACTGCACCCTCTATTTCCCAGGCTCAAGCGATCCTCCCACCTTAGCCTCCTGAGTACCTGAGACTACAGGCATGCATCACCACACCCGGCTAATCTTTCTGGTTTCTTTGTTTTTTGTTTTTTGTTTTGTAGAGACAAGATCTTGCTATGTTATTCAGGCTGGTCTCAAACTCTTGTGCTCAAGCAATCTGCTTACCCCCGCCTCCCAAAGTGCTGGGATTACAGGCATGAGCCGCTGCACCTGGCCAACCCTTACTGCATTTAATGAGAGGAGTCAGACACAAAAGGATCTACACTGTGTCACTCCACTAAGTTCAAAATCAGGGGAATCTCATCTGTGGTGGGAGAAGTGAGGACTGTGGTTACCCGGGGAGGTGATTGGAAGGGAGTTTCTGGGTGCTGAGGAGCTTCTAGTCTCCTTGATCAGAGTACTGGGTATCCAGGCTCGCTTACTGTGTGAATCTTCACCGACCTGTGTATCATGATGTGTGTACTTTTTCAAGTGAATTTTTTTTTTTTTTTTTAGACTGAGTCTTGCTCTGTCACCAGGCTGGAGTGCAGTGGCGCGATCTCGGCTCACTGCAACCTCCACCTCCCGGGTTCAAGTCATTCTCCTGCCTCAGCCTCCCGAGTAGCTGGGATTACAGGCATGGGCCACCGCGCCCAGCCAGTGAATATTGTTTTTTTTTTTCTTTTGAGACGGAGTCTAACCCTGTCATCTAGGCTGGGGTGCAGTGGCACGATCTCAGCTCACTGCAACCTCCGCCTCTCAGGTTCAAGCGGTTCTCCTGCCTCAGCCTCTGGAGTAACTGGGATTACAGGTGCCTGCCACCACACCCAGCTAATTTTTTTTTTTTTTTTTTTGGTAGAGATGGGGTTTCATCATGTTGCTCAGGCTGGTCTCGAACTCCTTACCTCAGGTGATCCGCCCATCTCTGCCTCCCAAAGTGCTGGGATTACAGATGTGAGCCACCGTGCCTGGCCCGAATATTGTAATTGAATAGAAAGTTAAGAAAATGGCGGCTGGGCATGGTGGCTCACGCCTGTAATCCCAGCACTTTGGGAGGCCAAGGCAGGTGGATCATGAGGTCAGGAGATTGAGACCATCCTGGCTAACACAGTAAAACCTTGTCTCTACTAAAAATAGAAAAAATTAGCCGGGCGTGGTGGCACGCACCTGTAGTCCCAGCTACTTGGGAGGCTGAGGCAGGAGAATGGCGTGAACCCAGGAGGCGGAGCTTGCAGTGACCCAAGATGGCACCACTGCACTCCAGTCTGGGCAACAGAGCGAGACTCCGTCTCAAAAAAAAAGAAAAAAATTAATCAGACTCTATACTCATATTTTGTGCATCTTTCCTTATGTATGTATTTTTTTGTTTGTTTGTTTGGTTGGTTGTTTTTTTCTGAGACAGAGTCTCATACTGTTGCCCAGGCTGGAGTGTGGTGGTATGATCACGGCTCACCGCAGCCTTGACCTCCTGGGCTCAAGCGATCCTCCCACCTCAGCCTGTTGAGTAGCTGGGACCACAGGCATGTGCCACCACGCCCAGTAAATTTTTTAATTTTTAGTAAAGACAGGGTCTTTCTGTGTTGCCCAGGTTGGTCTCGAACTCCTGGGCTCAAGCGATCCTCCCATCTTGGCCTTCCAAAATGCTGGGATTGCAGGCGTGAGCCACTGTGCCTGGTCTCTCATGTATGTTATACTTCATAAAAGTTTTTTATTTTTTTGAGACGGAGTCTTGTTCTGTCACCCAGGCTGGAGTGCAGTGGGGCAATCTCAGCTCACTGCAACCTCTGCCTCCCAGGTTCAAGCGATTCTCCTGCCCCAGCCTCCCGAGTAGCTGAGACTACAGGCGTGTGCCACCACGCCCGGCTAATATTTTGTATTTTTGGTAGAGATGGGGTTTAACCGTGTTAGCCAGGATGGTCTCAATCTCCTGACCTTGTGATCCGCCTGCCTCGGCCTCCCAAAGTGCTGGGATTACAGGCGTGAGCCACCGCACCCAGCCCCAAAAGTTTTCTTTTAAGTGCAGGCTCTGTGGTCAGACAGATCTATGTTTTGACCCAGTTATACAATTCACTGTAAAATTACTTAACCTCTCCATTGAGGCCAACATAGTGAAACCCCGTCTCTACCAAAATACAAAAAAAAAAGCTGGGTGTTGTGGTGCACACCTGTAATCCCAGCTACTCAAGAGGCTGAGGGAGGAGAATCACTTGAACCTGGGAGGCGGAGGTTGCAGCGAGCCAAGATTGCGCCACTGCACTCCAGCCTGGTGACACTGCACTCCAGCCTGGCGACACAGCGAGACTCCGTTTAAAAAAAAAAAAAGTTACTTAACCTCTCCAGACCTCAGTTTCCTCATCTGAAAAATGGGGATAATAGGCCAGGCGCGGTGGCTCACGCCTGTAATCCCAGCACTTTGGGAGGCCGAGGCAGGCGAATCATGAGGTCAGGAGATCAAGACCATCCTGGCTAACACAGTGAAACCTGTCTCTACTAAAAATACAAAAAATTAGCTGGGCGTGGTGGTGGGCACCTATAGTCCCAGCTACTCGGGAGGCTGAGGTAGAAGAATGGTGTGAACCCGGGAGGCGGAGCTTGCAGTGAGCCGAGATCGCGCCACTGCACTCCAGCCTGGGCGACAGAGCCAGACTCTGTCTCAAAAAAAAAAAAAAAGGGAGGGGGGGATAATAATCTCTACTTCACAGGGCTGTGGTACTAAATGAGATAATGTTGAAGAAATGCTTAGTCCCAGCCCAACAGACTAAGTACACAACATGGTGGTTATGACCCCACCTTTTTTTTCTTTTTTCAGAGTCTTGCTCTGTCACCCAGGCTGGAGTGCAGCGGCACCATCTCAGCTCACTGCAACCTCTGCTTTCCAGGTTCAAGTTATTCTCCTGCCTCAGCTTCCTGAGTACCTGGGACTACAGGCACCTGCCCCTACACCCGGCTAATTTTTGTATTTTTAGTAGAGACGGGGTTTTGCTATGTTAGCCAGGCTGGTCTCGAACTCCTGAGCTCAGGTGATCCACCCGCCTCGCCTCCCAAAATGGTGGAACTACAGTCATGAGCCACCATGTCCAGCCCTATGACCCCATAATTTGTTTTTTTTTTTTTTTTTTTGAGACAGAGTCTCACTCTGTCACCCAGGCTGGAATACAGTGGTACGATCTCGGCTCACTGCAAGCTCCGCCTCCTGGGTTCATGCCATTCTCTTGCCTCAGCCTCCCAAGTAGCTGGGACTACAGGCGCCTGCGACCACGCTCGGCTAATTTTTTGTATTTTTAGTAGAGATGGGGTTTCACCATGTTAGCCAGGATGGTCTCGAACTCCTGACCTTGTGATCCGCCCGCCTCAGCCTCCCAAAATGTTGGGATTACAGGCGTGAGCCACCGCGCCCGGCTGACCCCATCTTATAGAGGAGGAAACTCAAGGTCAAACAGAGGGAGCTGTGTAAACTAGACTGGAACCTGGTCTCGTGGAATCCCTCACATCTCTTAGAGCAAGCTTGTCCAACCTGTGGTCCATGGGCTGCATGTGGCCCAGGACAGCTTTGAATGCAGCCCAACACAAATTTGTAAACTTTCTTAAAACATTATGACATTTATGGACTTTTTTTTTTTTTTAGCTCATCTGCTGTTGTTAGTGTTGGTGTATTTTACGTGTCGCCCAAGACAGTTCCTTTTCCAGTGTGGCCCAGGGAAGCTAAAAGATTGGACACCCCTGACTTAGAGGGTTCTGGAGTTCTGGGGCCCAGCATTGTCCCAGCTTCTGGGAGCCTCCCTCTGTGCCCATTTGTAAACCTTCCAGACTGCTCAGGAAATCCAGCGGGAAGCCACAGGGCACACTGGGCTTTGGAATCAGCCAGTTCTGAGTTCAACTGTGGCACCACTGTCTACTGGGGACTGTGTGTGGATGGGCTGTGGATTCAGGCAGGCATAGCTCACATTTCAGCCTTGCTGCTCACGAGGAGACAAACTTGGGCAAGTGTCTCCACCTCTCTGTGCCTCAGTCACTTTTCCTCTAAAATAGAAGCAGCACAATACCTCATCCCCAGCACGGTGTGAAGATTCCATGGAATAATATCAAAAGGGCTTAGAACGGTGTCTGGCATGTAGTCATTGCTCAATAAAGACAACCGTTATTATGTTGTTGTTATAATCATTACCTTCTCCTACCTCATCTGCCCTGGCTCCCAGCTCCGGGCCTGTGCTCCCCGGCCTGGGTCTCCCACAACAAGGCTCATTGTGTCAGCTGTCCCACTGGCAGCATGGCACCCTCGAGGGAAGGCACAAAAGCCAGGATGCCTGGGCCCCGGGCATGGCCTTCCTTTGCCTTCATTTGCTTCAAGATCTTTAAGAGCCCAGCAGCCTCTCTTGCCTGGGAAACTGGAACCAGAGGGAGCACTGCTGGCAGAGAGTCCCCACTCTTGGAAAGCAACTCTTTTCAAGCCCACCGGAATTACAGCCAGCTTTCTGGCCTACTTGGTCCCCACTGCCCCCCTACTCCAGCCAGCCTGGCCTCATCATTCACTGTCCTGGCAAAAGGCCCTCGGCACAGGTCACCTTCAGACCTTTGCCCAGTCTGTTCTCTTTCAACCAGGACCATCCAAATTCAACTAATTACTGCACTTTCTAATTTAAATACTGCCTTCTCCCCTCCCCTACCCAAATACACTCCATGTCCTTCCTCCAGGAAGTATCTCCTGGCCACTCCAGCCCACATGATCTTTGAACTCTCCTTTCACGTAGCTGATACCTATGGTCCCAGTGTCAAAGTTACTTCCTCTGGGAAGCCATGCTTAACCCACCAGGGTGTGCCTGCTGAGTCCCCCCACAGGCCCGATCTACCACAGCAATGAACACTTGGTACGATGTGGCTTTGATGATTCAGCATCCTTGATGGATGGCCAGGTCCATGAGGGCAAAACCAGGCTGTCTTGTTTGGTATCACCTCCCTGGACCTGCTCACTCAGTCCCTGCTGAGCACTGGGGGTCCTTGGTGAGCGAGCCGGACAAGGTCCTTGACCACATGGAGCGTACTGGCTCCGGAGGGAGACAGATCCACCTACAGGGCCCATAAGCGCCTGTCGCGTAACTGGGACCAGTGTCTTGCAGGAGAAGGGGCCTGGGGCTCTGGATGCCCAATCAGGGGACTTGCCCTGGACTGGGGAGTCAGAGCAGGTATCCTTAGAAGTGACATTTCAGGCCAGGTGCAGTGGCTCACACCTGTAATCCCAAAACTTTGGGAGACTGAGGTAGGTGGATCACCTGAGGTCAGGAGTTCGAGACCAGCCTGGCCAACATGGTGAAACTCCGTCTCTACTAAAAATACAAAAATAAGCTGGGCTGGTGGCGCACGCCTGTAATCCCAGCTACTCGGGAGGCTGAGGCAGGAGAATTGCTTGAACCCGGGAGGCGGAGGTTGCAGTGAGCCAAGATCACACCATTGCACTCTAGCCTGGGCAATAAGAGCAAAACTCCATCAAAAAAAAAAAAAGAAGTGACATTTCAGCTGGGACCCAAAAGATAAGTCCTAGTTAACTCTGGTGGAGGGGAGAGAAGGGGAAGGCGCTTTGGGAGGAAGCAAAGAAGTACCTAAGCTGCAAGGAGAGGGGGTGCATGGGACGTTGGCACTACGGGCCCAGGTCCATGACTATTTGCTAAATGAACAAAGGAAGCACTGAACACTCAATGTGGGGCCTGCCACAAGGTGAGGTTTCAACAAAGGCCTGTGGAAGGAATGACAAAGTACTCGCCATCAGAGGTCTGCACGAGGCCTGGGAGGTATAGTACACTCTCGCATTCTCCCTGCTTGCTGCACTCAGGACACTGCTGGGCGCCCAGTGGCTGCAAATGATGCCTCTTGGCTCGGAGGCTCTGAATGAGGGAGAGCCACTGGGGTTTTGCCTTTTCTGCAGGTCTGAGCCCAGTTACCTAGGCAGCTGCTCTGCCCTTACCATGCTCCCCAAGTGGAAGAAACACCACCACGTCAGTTGTCACGGTCACCAAAAGCCCCCAAAACATAAGCCAGGTAGATGGCGCCATCTGCTAGCCTCCCCTTAGCAGTGTTGACCTTGCCACTCAGGGCTGGAATGAGCTGGAAGAGGAAGCAGCCATCTTACATCCTGGCACAGAGACTGAAGGGCCCCGGGGCTACCATGCCCTGAGACCCATCCAGCTGCGGGCCTGGCACCTGCCAGAGGCAGCCATCTCTACCTACTCCACTCTACCTACTCCATTCCTTAGGGATTGTCATTCTCAGGGCAGTCACAGGCCATCTGGAATTCCAGCAACTGAGGACAGAGGGAGCTCTGGTTATGACCGACCACCACACTGGGAGAACCCTGTGTCTTTCTCCATCCCTTTTCTTGCATGTTCTCTAATACTAGGTCTATCATGAACATTCGACATCCTGGGGAATGAAGGAAGTGGGAGAGAAGAGAGAGAAAAACAGCACCAGCAGCAGCAGCAGCAGAAGGCACCGCCATACCACGTCCATGTTGGCTGCTTCCAGATGTGGTCCTAAGCTCCTTACAGGCTTTACTCCCTCGAGTCTCTTACTCAACCGACAAAATATTTCCTAGTACCCTGTACTTGCAACTAATTAATCATTTACATAACAATTTGTCAACTGACACCCTCCTACTGCCTGTGAGCTCTGGGAGGACAGAAGCTGTATGCTTGCTTGCATGCCTGCATCCATGCACATGTACACACACACACACACACACACACACACACACACACACGTGCGCAAGCGCGCACGCACCTGTATCCTTGGTGTCTGACTTCGGTGCCCAATTTATGCCTGGTGTTTAATAGAACAAAGGTTTGCTGTGGCTGGAATTCCCTTACTCTAGTACTGCAAGATAGAGATTATTACCCCATTTTCTGATGAAGATACTGACGCATACACAACTAAGCAGAAGCTTGCCTGAGATCACAAAACTGATGAGAGTGGGATGCAAACCTAAAGCAGACCCCCGCTTCTCACCAAATATTTGGTCTTCAGTCCATCCATCCAAACAATGGGAGGGAAAGAGAAACTGAAGTCTGGAGGTGGGAGCATGGGATCCCACCAGTGTCCTGATACCCAGAGGACAGAGAGGTTGGGGGAGCCAGAAGCTCTGAGCCTTGGAGCAGTACTCACCCTGTGAAATATTAACCTAGGAGCTGGGGGGAAAACCCAAACAAATGCCCTATTTACAGAGGCTAGACGCTTTCCAGGAGGCAGCAGATCAAGGGCCAGAGACTGGGGGTGTGAGGGGAGTCACAGCAAGTGTGGGGATCTCCAGGTGGTCGGGAAACAGGTGAAAACCAGACGCCACCTGGCTCTGAAAAGTCTGCAGAGATTAAATCTATGAGTTGGGTTATGTCAGAAAGATGCAGACACACAATAATTGGGGAGTGTGCCTCACAGCTAGGTGGCTGCTCATGATGCTGGAGACAGAGAGGCCTTGAGGAGGCTGCATTCGGCTAGTAATCAGACTGGTTGGGTTCTATTCTTGTAACCAAATGTATTAATGATCCTACCCATACTGAATACCAAGTATATACCAAGAATTCTGGCTGGGCGTGGAGGCTCACGCCTCTAATCCCAGCACTTTGGGAGGCCAAGGCGGGCGGATCACGAGGTGAAGAGATTGAGACCATCCTGGCCAACATGGTGAAACCCTGTCTCTACTAAAAATACAAAAATTAGCAGGGCGTGGTGGCGGGCGCCTATAGTCCCAGCTACTCAGGAGGCTGAGACAGGAGAATTGCTTGAACCCGGGAGGTGGAGGTTCCAGTGAGCCAAGATTGCACCACTGTACTCCAGCCTGGCAACAGAGCAAGATTCCATCTCAAAAAAAAAAAAAAAAAAAGAACTCTGTTAAGTATTTTATATGTGTTAATTAATTGAATTCTCTCAACACCCAACAAGGCAGGAGTTACCATCTACAACTTACAGAAAAGGCAGCTGGAAGGAAGGGGCTATGGCTATGCAATTTGCCAGAGACTATGGATCTGAACAGACAGATATGTACACAGGTAGTTCATTAGTTCAAGACGCAGTGTGTCAGGCTGGGCACAGTGGCCTACGCCTGTAATCCCAGCACTTTGGGAGGCCAAGGCAGGTGGATCACCTGAGGTCAGGAGTTCGAGCCCAGCCTGGCCAACATGGTGAAACTCCATCTCTATTAAAAATACAAAAATTAGCCAGGCATGGTGGCGGATGCCTGTAATCCCAGCTACTTAGGAGGCTGAAGCAGGAGAATCGCTTGAACCTAGGAGGCAGAGGTTGCAGTGAGCCGAGATTGCACCACTGCACTCCTGCCTGGGTGACAGAGCAAGATTCCGTCTCAAAAAAAAAAAAAAAAAAAAAAAGACCCAGTGTGTCCAGCTTTCCAAGCAGTTCGCATCAAAGTCACAGATAACTTATTTATTTATTTATTTATTTTTCTTTCTTTTTTTTTTTGAGATGGAATTTTGCTCTTGTTGCCCAAGCTGGAGTGCAATGGCACAATCTCGGCTCACTGCAGCCTCTGCCTCCTGGGTTCAGGCAATTCTCCTGCCTCAGCCAACCAAGTAGCTGGGATTACAGGTGCCCGCCACCATGCCAGGCTAATTTTTGTATTTTTAGTAGAGACAGGGTTTTGCCATGTTGGCCAGGCTGGTCTCGAACTCCTGACCTCAGGTGATCCACCTGCCTCGGCCTCCCAAAGTGCTGGGATTACAGGTGTGAGCCACTGCGGTCGGCCTATTTATTTATTTTTCTTTTAAGAGACAGGGTCTCACTCTGTCACCCAGGCTGGAGTGCAGTGGTACGATCTCAGCTCGCTGCAACCTCCACCTCTCACGTTCAAGCAATCTCCCACCTCAGCCTCTGGAGTAGCTGTGACTACAGACGTATACCAACAGACCTGGCTAATTTTTTTATTTTTTGTAGCGATGAGGGCTCACCATGTTGCCCAGGCTTGTCTCAAACTCCTGGGCTCAAGCAATACGCCCACCTCAGCCTCCCAAAGTGCTGGATTACAGGTGTGAGCCACCGCACCCAGCTGCCACAGATAACATTTTATCAATATGATAATACATTATCATTTTGTTTCCCAGATAAGGAAACAATGGTTGAAAGATGAGCAATGAGTTGTTCCTCCGGTAAGTGTGTGACCCTAAAGTTCGAGCCCCTTGCCATTATGCTATGGGGAGGGACCATTTCTCCAACCTCAGCTTTCCCTTCTGTTCCACGAGCCTCCGCCGCTTCCTTACAACTCAGGCACTGAGCTCACATGATCCAGTACTGCTGGTAACCACTCCGTGGCATGTCATTTTTTGGCCACAGCATTGAAAGCTTCCTGAGGGCAGGGACCCTATGTGATTTCTGGGGTCTCCATTACAGAGTATGTGAGTGGCTCAATGCCAGTGACAGGGCCTCGGCTCCACAAGATCCCCAGCCAATGTTTTCCAGCCTCAATATTTATCAAGGTCCTTACCTGTCAGCATGTTGCGAGTGGCACACGCTGTGTTGCGCGTGTTGTGAACAGGGTTGCTGAGGAGATGCCATGAAAGGATGGCAGGAAGGTGGTAACCAATAATTATGAAGAGTGATGTTCCTGAGAATAATGCTTCAAGAGACCCTTCTGCATCTCTGAAGCTGGAAAATCAGTTTCAGCGATTGCGCCAGATATAAGACAGTGGTCCACAAATAGATAACCAGACAGGGGTCTCTGCACTCACCTCTCAGGACTCCAGAACAGATGAGGTACTGAAGCCAAGCAAAAAAACCAGAGTGCCAAGAGCAGTCTTCCAGCTAGTGGGCCCCCAAAACGTGTCTGCATAATCCTAGTGGTACTAATGATAATACCTTTGTAGAGAGCTTCAGAACACACCTAATTCTTTCACAAGCTGTGTCTCATTTCATCCTCCCAACAGCCTTTAGAGTTAGTCGGAGGCAAGGGAAGGCCATTATTCTTAATCTACAAATAGGAAAACTGAGGCCCAGAGAGGAGATGGAACCTGCCTAACTCACACAGCAAGCCAACAGCAGAGCCGGGATTTGAACCAGGTCCGCAGGTCACCAGCCTGGGGTTCTACCCACAACAGCCTACCCCAACATGCTGGCTCTCAGCTCCTAAGTGCTCTGACCTTTCATTTTCAAATTCTCTGGCCCAGTTGCCCTGCTCAGCCTGTGTCCCAGGCCTGAGGATATAGTCCGGGCTTGGGGTATAAGGAGGGAGATCAACTGTGGTTCTGCTTCCTATAAAGCAGGCTGGAAAGTCTCAGCCTCTGCCGGGCACTTCCGGATCACCAGCCTCTACCCGTAGATCAGCCACGCACACTCCAACCACATATCTAGGCCCAGCATACACTGCCCCTCCCCACCTGTCTCCAAGTCACATTCATTTCAACACCCTCATTTTGCCTATTTTACGTGGTAGAATGGAAATTTGCTGGGCTCATTTTAATTCTTTTTTTTTTAGAGATAGGGTTTCCCTATGTTCTCCAGACTGGTCTCAAACTCCTGGCCTCAAGCGATCCTCCCAAAGCGCTGGCAGTGCTGGGCTCTTTTTTAAAAGTCCCCATCACCCTCCGCTGCTGTCAGAAAAGCCAGGACCAAGCTAACGTCTTCTCTGCAGAATATTAACCCAGTTACCTCTGAGGGGTGTCAAGAAGTTTCTGTCTTGCTTTCCCCAATATTTCCTCAAATCCTACTAGTTGATGGAGGCAGCTAGAGCTGGTGACACCACCAGCTAGTGCTAAAACGAACGGCTCTGAGGCAGACATACATGCCCACATTCCTCATCATCACATCATCCTCATCAGCGTGACCGCTATGTATTGAGCACTTTGTGTGAAATACTGCATTAAGCACTTCAGCCCATGATTTTATCTAATCCAACAGCCCTATTTTCTTTTCTTTTCTTTCTTTCTTTTTTTTTTTTTGAGATGGAGTTTCGCTCCTGTCGCCCAGGCTGGAGTGCTGCAGTGGCATGATCTCAGCTCACTTCAACCTCCACCTCCCAGGTTCAAGCGATTCTCCTGCCTCAGCCTCTCCAGTAGCTGAGATTACAGGCATGCGTCACCACACCCGGCTAATTTTTGTATTTTTAGTAGAGATGGGGTTTCACCATGTTGGCCAGGCTGGTCTCGAACTCCTGACCTCAGGTGATCCACCTGCCTCCCAAAGTGCTGGGATTACAGGTGTGAGCCACCACACCCAGCCTGCTGTATTTTCCAGATGAGAAGATTGAGGTGGAAAAAGGTCCCGTGCCCACCTTCTCACAACCAGGAAGCAGCGGCATAACTTAACTTGATTTAATCGCAGTTCTCTGTGACCATGATTCTTTGTATTTGTTCCATCAATGGTCATTACAAAGATGGAAGAAGGGTACTTACAACCGAAGCCCCAAGCACAATGGCCATTTGTCATCTAAAACAAATCTGTATTTTCTCCAACCACCAGACACTTCAACAAGTACGGTTCTGAAAGGGTGTCCCATTAGACACCCTGTGACCCTGTATCACAAGGACAGCCCCTGATGTCTTCCCCACCTTTTTCTGGTCCCCACTGTTCTCTGACTTTCTTGCCAACCACTCTTCCCTTTCTTCAACCTGCTCCAGTCCCCCATCCTCCCACTGTTTCTTTCTTTTTTTTGAGACAGAGTCTCACTCTTGTCACCCAGGCTGGAATGCAATGGGCACAATCTCGGCTCACTGCAACCTCCACCTCTCAGGTTCAAATAATTCTCCTGCCTCAGCCTCCTGAGTAACTTGGATTACAGACATGAGCCACCACGGCCAGCTAATTTTTTTTTTGGTACTTTTAGTAGAGATGGGGTTTCACCATGTCGGCCAGGCTGGTCTTGAACTCCTGACCTCAGGTGATCCGGCTGCCTCAGCCTCCCAAAGTGCTGGGATTACAAGCGTGAGCCCTTATGCTGTTTCTTCAAATCACCAGGCATATGACCACAGGACCTTTGCATTTGCTGCGGAATGCTCTGCCACAAGAGAACTACCTGGCTTGCTCCCTCACTTATCTCTGCTCAAAGGTCACCTTACTAGAGACCTTCCCTGAACACCCTCTATAAAATGACAACTCCCAACTCCTTCCCCATGGTCCTTCCTTCTCTATTTTTCTCCAAACCACTTATTACCTCCTTACATATCATGTTTATTATTTGCTGAATGAACAAATGAACCAAAGTAGCGAGGCCCTTCACCCCTGGCCACCACTTTCTGCTCTAAGTATAGCCTCCCGTGACCCTTTTCAAGGCTATGCTTTTATGCTCATCCTAACCAGTTTGAAGTCTGAAGAGAAACATTCTGTGAAAGATCATATATGGAAGGATTTTCCCAAGACATCAGACATTCCATTCCCCTCCCCCTTAAAAATCAAATGCACTAGCTGAGCGCGGTGGCTCATGCCTGTATTTCCAGCACTTTTGGAGGCTGGAGCGGGCGGATCACTTGAGCCCAGGAGTTCGAGACCAGCTTGGGTAACATAGTGAGACCCCATCTCTATTTAAAGAAAAACAAAACAAAACAAAACGAATGGACTGACAAACACAGGCAAAGACTGGAAATCTTGGGCTCTTTCGGTCAAAGAGCAGCCAAGACAAGTTCCACCCAGAGAGCTATAGTGGCCAGCACAGTCAGTTTCACTATCAACTCACCTGTCGGGCTCCCTTGGCCCTCCGGTTGCAACCTCACCCTGTTGGATTTCCCTATACTTTGTGTCATCCCTTTTGGGAGCTGATCCAGAATCCAAGTCGTCCTTGAGCTTCTAAGCACTTCTCTGGGGGAACTTAAGCTCATCCAACAGGTAGGAGGGGCAGAGGGTGGCCCTTTCAGCCCTACACCGATCCCCCATCTTGTAGGGGCAAACGACAGAGCGTCATTTTCTTTCTGGAGGAAGGGAGCTCAGTTTTAAAGACACGATTCTCAGACCTGGCGGCAGGGATAGAGAAAGGAACCCTCCCACCACTGGCGGAGATGGACCTCAGAGAGTGGTTGCAGCGGCGATGCTTAGGCCCCGTAGGCAGGAGGCGAAGGAGGAGGACGCAGGTACGTCCCTTGGCCCGGGGTCCGGGACCTACCCTGGACGGGGCTGCCCTCAGCGTCGGGAAGCGGACGTGATGCTTCGCAGGCGAGGAGGAGCAGAGAATGCAGCCCGGGAGAATCCGGGGCCAGAGCACCTCAGGAGGTTGGGGATCTCGTCAGGCTAGAGCCGGGGTCCAGGGGAGACGGGGGTCGGCGGGGCGGAGCTTGGGATCCCGGGGACGGGAGCTCCGGGAGGGAGGGGGTCGCGACGGGGACCCCGTGGCGGTTACCTTGCCCTTAGGGCTGCCGGCGGGGCTGAGGCTCCTGGGCCCGGCCCCTCCCCCGATCCGGCTCCTACGGCTCGGAGCCTGCAGCCGCCGCCGCCTCCGCTGTCAACAAACCCGGGGCGCGTCACTTCCGGGGCCGCCCCTTAGCAACAGCGATCGGGTTCCCCCGACCCGTCCCGCGGCTAACGCGGGCGGCGGCGGCAGAAGGTTCCGGGGACCGGCGGGCGGCTCCTTTCCCCGGGCCCGGCACGTTACGCCGGTGGAGGAAGCCGCGGGATGCCCCCCCCAGGCCACCCGAGAGAACGCGTCATTCAGGGCTCTCCCTGGCCTCCGAGGGGCCTGTTCGTGGGACCCTAGGATCGGTGCCCGCCCTGGCGCTGCGGTTCACCTGAGCCCAACACTGCTGAATAGCAGGACTGACTCTGGGCGCCAGCCCCCTCCATCCAGCGCCCTGTTGAACATGTCTTGCGTTCTCCACGGGTGGCTCACACTCGCGTGTCAACCCGCAGTCATCACCGTCCCCCAAAAGGTGCTCCTAACCTCCATCTAGGGCATGCGCCACCAGGCAACCGAGCTTCCAAATGGGAAATTGGGCGGCGACCTCGGCCCCTACATTTTCCTGGGCCCCTCGTCCAGTCTCCAAGTCCTAAGGATCCTGTCAAACCAGTTCCTTCTGGCCGAGCGCAGTGGCTCACGCCTGTAATCCCAGCACTTTGGGAGGCCGAGGCACGCGGATCACCTGAGGTCAAGAGTTCGAGACCAGCCTGGCCAACATGGTGAAACGCCGTCTTTACTAAAAATACAAAAATTAGCCGAGCGTGGTGGTGCGCGCCTCTAATCCCAGCTACTCAGGAGACTGAAGCAGGAGAATCGTTTGAACCCAGGAGGCAGAGCTTGCAGTAAGCTGAGATCGCACCACTGCACTCCAGCCTGGGCGACAGAGGAAGACTCCATCTCAAAACACCATCATTTCTTCTCTGGATTTCTCTTTTTTTTTTTTTTTTTTGAGAGACGGAGTTTCTCTCTCTTGTTGCCCAGGCTGGCGGGCAATGGCCCTCAGCTCACTGCAGACTCCCCGGGTTCAAGCAATTCTCCTGCCTCAGCCTCCAAGTAGCTGGGATTACAGGCGCCTACTATCACGTCTGGCTAATTTTTGTATTTTTAGTAGAGATGGGGTTTCGCCATGTTGGGCAGGCTGGTCTCAAACTCTTGACCTCAGGTGATGCGCCCACCTCAGCCTCCCAAAGTGCTGGGATTACAGGCGTGAGCTACCACACCCTAGCTAGATGCTCCTTTCTTGAGGAACCCTTTCTTGACAGGTGCCTCAGTTCCATTCCAAGAACTAATTTTGTGGATTTCTTTTTTCTTGCATAGCACCTTTTAATCTTTGACCAGCTACAACTATGTTCGTACAGTCTTGAATCCTTAAAAAAGCTGTTGGGCTTGGCACAGTGACTCACAACCTATAATCTCAGCAGATGGGGTTGTCGAGGCTGAGGCTTGAGCCCAGGAGTTGGAGATCAGCCTGGGCAACATAGGGAGACCCCATTTCTACAAAAATTAGCAGGGCATGGTGGTGCGCATCTGTAGTCCCAGCTACTCGGGAGGCTGAAGTTGGAGGATTGCTTGAGCCCAGGAGGTGGGGAGGTACGGTTTTATGCTCCTTAAGATGGACATCATCAGAGAGACAATAACAAATGTTGACGAGGATATGGCTAGATGGGAACTCTCATATTAATACATTGCTTGGGCCAGGCGTCGTGGCTCAAGCCTGTTATATCAGCACTTTGGAAGGCCAAGGCAGGCAGATCACGAGGTCAAGAGTTTGAGACCAGCCTGGCCAACATGGTGAAACCCCGTCTCTACTAAAAATACAAAAATTAGCTGGGCATAGTGGCGCACGCCTGTAATCCCAGCTACTTGGGAACTTGGGAGACTGAGGTAGGAGAATCGCTTGAACCTGGGAGGCAGAGTTTGCAGTGAGCCAAGATTGTGCCATTGCACTCCAGCCAGGGCAACAGGAGTGAAACTCTGTTTCACAAGAAAAAAAAAAAAAGCCCGGTTTGGTGGCTCACGCCTGTAATCCCAGCACTTTGGGAGGCTGAGGTGGCCTGATTGCCTGAGCTCAGCAGTTCGAGAACAGCCTGGGCAACACGGTGAAACCCTGTCTTTACTAAAATAAAAAATTTTAAAAAATTATCCAGGTGTGGCAGCATGTGCCTATAGTCCCAGCCACTCTGGAGGCTGAGGCAGGAGAATTGCTTAAACCCTGGGGGCGGAGGTTGCAGTGAACGGAGATCACGCCGCTGCACGCCAGCCTGGGCAACACTGTGAGACTCTGTCTCAAACAAAAGAAAAAGAAAGAAAACAGAAAACAAATAGGAAATAAGAAACAAATAACAGGCCAGGCGCGGTGGCTCATGCCTGTAGTCCCAGCACTTTGGGAGGCCGAGGCGGGCAGATCACGAGGTCAGGAGACCGAGACCATCCTGGCTAACATGGTGAAACCCGGTCTCTACTAAAAATACAAAAAAATTAGCCGGGTGTGGTGGCAGGCGCCTGTAGTCCCAGCTACTCGGGAGGCTGAGGCAGGAGAATGGTGTGAACCTGGGAGGCGGAGCTTGCAGGGAGCCGAGATGGCGCCACTACACTCCAGCCTGGGCAACAGAGCGAGACTCCGTCTCAAAAAAAAAAAAAAAAAAAAAGAAACAAATAGCAAAATGGGCTTAGATTAAACCAGGAAAATAATCATAGTGAATGTAAGGGTCTAAACACTTTAAGTAAAAGGCAGAGTTTGTCACATTGCATAGAAAAGCAAGCCCCAGGCTCATGCCTGTAATCCCAGCACTTTGGGAGGCTCAGGTGGGCGGATCACTTGAGGCCAGGAGTTTGAGACAAGATGGACAACATAGTGAAACACTGTCTCTACTAAAAATACAAAAAAAAAAAAAAAAAAATTAGCCAGGCGTAGTGGCATTTGCCTGTAGTCCCAGGTACTTGGGAGGCTGAGGCCAGACTGGGTGACAGAGCAAGACTCTGTCTCAAAAAAAAAAAAAGAAAGTAGGAAGGAAGGAAAGAGAGAGAGAGAGAAAGAGGGAAAGAGAGAAAGACAAGAAAGGAAAAAAAGAGAGAGAAAGAAAGAAAGAAGGGAAGGAAGGAAAGAGGGAAAGAGAGAAGGAAAGAAAAAGAAAGAAAGAAAGAAAAAGAAAGAAAGGAGGAGAAGAAGAAGAAGAGAGAGAGGGAAGGAGGGAGGAAGGAAGGAAGGGAAAGAAGGAAGGAGAGAGAGAGGAAAAGAGAGAAAGAAAAGAAGAAGGAAGAGAGAGAGAAAGAAAAAAGAGAGAGAGAGAAAGAAAGAAAAAAGAAAAGAGCGAGCTGGGCAGAGCAGCTCACACTTGTAATCCCAGCACTTTGGGAGGCTGAGGCGGGCAGATCACCTGAGGTCAGGAGTTCACGACCATCCTGACCAACATGGAGAAAACCCATCTCTACTAAAAATACAAAATTAGCCGGGCGTGGCGGCGCATGCCTGTAATCCCAGCTACTCAGGAGGCTGAGGTAGGAGAATTTCTTGAACCCGGGAAGTGGAGGTTGCAGTGCGCTGAGATGGCATCATTGCATTCCAGCCTGGGCAACAAGAACGAAATTCCATCTCAAAAAAAAAAAAAAATGGCTGGGCACAGTGGCTCATGCCTTCATGCCTGTAATCCCAGCACTTTGGGAGGCCGAGGCTGGTGGATCATGAGGTCAAGAGATCAAGACCATCCCTGGCCAATGTGGTGATACCCTGTCTCTACTAAAAATACAAAAATTAGCTGGGTGTGGTGGTGCATGCCTGTAGTTCTAGCTACTTGGGAGGCTAGGGCAGGAGAATCACTTGAACCCAGAAGGCAGAGTTTGTGGTTAGCCAAGATGGCGCCAATGCACTTCAGCCTGGGCAACATGAGCGAAACTCCATCTCAAAAAAAAAAAAAAAAAGAAAGAAAGAAAGAAAAGAAAGAAAGAAAGAAAGACAAGCTCTCACTTTGGGAGGCTAAAGTGGGAGGGTCACTTGAATCCAGGAGTTTGAGACGAGCAAGGGAAATATAGTGAGATCCTGTCTCTACAAAAAATTTAAAAATTAGTGAGGTATGGTGGCATATGCCTGTAGTCCCAGCTACTCAGGAGGATCTCTTGAACCCAGAGGGTTGAGGCTTTAGTAAGTCATGATGGTGCACTGCACTCCAGCCTGGGTGACAGAAGGAGACCCTGCCTCTAAAATTTTTACTTTTAAAAAAGCAAGCCCCAACAAAATGCTGCCTATAATAAGCCCACTTTAAATGTAAAGACAGAAATAGGTTCAAAGTAAGAGGCTGAAAAAAGATATAGTTTCGATATAGCAAGCCAAATTCAGCAGCATATTAAAATAGCAATATACTATGACCAAGTGAGATGTGGGAATGGGATTTATTGTTGGAATTCAAGGATGGTTCAACGTATGAAAATCAAGTACTGTAGGCTGGGCTCAGTGGCTTATGCCTGTAATCCCAGCAATTTGGGAGCCTGAGGCGGGCAGATCACCTGAGGTCAGGAATTTGAGACTAGCCTGGTCAATATGGTGAAACCCCGTCTCTACTAAAAATACAAAAATTAGCCAAGCATGGTGGCAGGTGGCTGTAGTCCCAGCTACTCAGGAGGCCCAGGCAGAAGAATCGCTTGAACCTGGGAGGTGGAGGTTGCAGTGCGCTGAGATCAAGCCACTGCACTCCAGCCTGGGTGACAGAGCAAGACTCCATCTCAAAAAAAAAAAAAAAAAAAAATTCAGCCAGGCACCGTGGCTCATGCCTGTAATCCCAGCACTTTGGGAGGCCGAGGCAGGTGGATCACCAAGTCAGGAGTTCGAGACCAGCCTGACCAAGATGGCGAAACCGTCTCTACTAAAAATCAAAAATTAGCCGGGCATGGTGGCGGGTGTCTCTAATCCCAGCTACTTGGGAGGCTGAGGCAGGAGAATCGCTTGCACCTGGGAGGCAGAGGTTGCAGTGAGCCGAAATCAGGCCACCGCACTCTAGCCTGGGCAACAGAGCAAGACTCTGTCTCAAAAAAAAAAAAAAAAAGAGAAAAGAAAACCTTAAATAATGCACAAAAATTTATTAAAGCCAATAAATGAATTTAGCAGAGTTGCAAGATACAAAAGCAACACACAAAAATCAGTTGCATTTCCATATACTTTAAAAAAACCATCTGAAAAAGAATTTAATAAAACCAATTCCATTTGCAAGGGCATCAAAAAGAATAAAATAGAATAAATTTAACCAAGGATGTAAAAGACTTGTACACTGAAAACCACAAAACATTGCTAAACAAAATTAAAGAATACCTAACTAGGCTGGGTGCAGTGGCTCACACCTGTAATCCCAGCACTTTGGGAGGCCGAGGGTGGCAGATCAACTGAGGTCAGGAATTCAAGACCAGCCTGGCCAACATGGTGAAACCCCATCTCTACTAAAAATACAAAAATTAGCCAGGCATAGTGGCAGACGCCTTTAATCCCAGCTACTTGGGAGGCTGAGGCAGGAGAATCACTTGAACCCAGGGGGCAGAGGTTGCAGTGAGCCAAGATTGTACCACTGCACCCCAGCCTGGGCAACAGAGCAAGACTCTGTCTCAAAAAAAAAAAAAAAAAAATCCCTGCTGGGCGTGGTAGCTCACATCTGTAATCCCAGCATTTTGGGAGGCCAAGGTGGACAGATCATGAAGTCAGGAGTTCGAGACCAGCCTGGCCAACATGGTGAAACCCATTCTCTACTAAAAATACAAAAATTAGCTGGGCATGGTGGCACACCTGTAGTCCCAGCTACTCGGGAGGCTGAGGCAGGAGAATCGCTTGAACCCGGGATGCAGAGGTTGCAGTGAGCCAAGATCACGCCATTGCACTCCAGCCTGGGAGACAGGGCAAGAGTCTGTCTCAAAACAAACAAACAAACAAACAAACAAACCCAATGGTGGTTTTTGAAATACAGAAAAATTCATTCTCATATTCAGATGGAATCTCAAGGAACCCTTAATAGCTGAAACAAACTTGAAAAAGAACAAAGTTAGAGAACTCACATGCAAATCAAAACCACAGTGAGAGGCCACTTCTCACCTACTAGGATGAGTATCATTTAAAAAAAGAGAGCTGGCGTGATGGCTCACACCTGTAATCCCAGCACTTTGGGAGGCTGAGGTGGGTGGATCACCTGAGATTGGGAGTTCTCGAGACCAGCCTGACCAATGTGGAGAAACCCCGTCTCTACTAAAAATACAAAATTAGGCCGGGTGTGGTGGCTCACGCCTGTAATCCCAGCACTTTGGGAGGCTGAGGCAGGTGGATCACGAGGTCAGGAGATCGAGACCATCCTGGCTAGCATGGTGAAACCCCATCTCTACTAAATATACAAAAAAGTAGCTGGGTGAAGTGGCGGGCGCCTGTAGTCCCAGCTACTTGGGAGGCTGAGGCAGGAGAATGGCGTGAACCCGGCAGGCAGAGCTTGCAGTGAGCCGAGATCACACCACTGCACTCCAACCTGGTCAACAGAGCAACACTCCGTCTCAAAAAAAAAAAATTAGCCAGGCATGGTGGCGCATGCCGTAATCCCCACTACTCGGGAGGTTGAGGCAGGAGAATCGTTTGAACCCAGGAGGCGGAGATTGCAGTGAGCAGAGAATGCACCATTGCACTCCAGTCTGGGCAACAAAAGCGAAACTTCGTCTCAAAATAAAATTAAAAAAGGAGTCATGGTGGCTCATGGCTGTAATCCCAGCACTTTGGGAGGCCAAGGCAGACAGATAACATGAGCTGAGGAGTTCAAGACCAGCCTAGGCAACATGGTAAAAACGCATCCCTACAAAAAATAAAAAATTAGCCAGGCATGGTGGCACGTGCCTGTGGTCTGAGCTACTTGGGAGGCTGAAGTGGGAGGATTGCTTGAGCCTAGGAGGCAGAGCTTGTAGTGAGATGAGATTGTGCCACTGCACTCCAGCCTGGGTGGCAGAGTAAGACCCTGTCTCAGAGAAAAAAAAAAAAAAAAAGCTTTATTAGCAATAACAAGAGATTGGAATCACAAGGGATTGGTTAATAAGAAGTTAAAAAAAAAACTCTACAGAATATGGGAGTAGCAGATACAAGGAGCAGATAATGCCCCTTGGGGTAAGATATAGCTCTTAAAGAAATGGACTTCCCCAGAGATCCAGACCTTGTTAGAAAGACAAGGCAACTGGGGGCAGTGGCTCATGCCTGTAATCCCAGCACTTTGGGAGGCCGAGGAGGGTGGATCACGAGGTCAGGAGATCGAGACCATCCTGGCCAACATGGTGAAACCTCGTCTCTACTAAAAATACAAAAAAATGGGGCTGGGCGCGGTGGCTCACGCCTGTAATCCCAGCACTTTGGGAGGCCAGTGAGGGCAGATCACGAGGTCAAGAGATTGAGACCATCTGGCTAACACAGTGAAACCCTGTCTGTACTAAAAATACAAAAAATTAGCCAGGTGTGGTGGAGGGCGCCTGTAGTCCCAGCTACTCAGGAGGCTGAGGCAGGAGAATGGCATGAACCTGGGAGGTGGAGCTTGCAGTGAGCCGAGATCACGCCACTGCACTCCAGCCTGGGTGACAGAGCAAGACTCCATCTCAGAAAAAAAAAAAAAAAAAATTAGCTCTCCCTCCTCTCCCCCTCCCCCTCCCCCTCTCCCCACGGTCTCCCTCTCCCTCTCTTTCCACGGTCTCCCTCTGATGCCCAGCCGAGGCTGGACTGTACTGCTGCCATCTCGGCTCACTGCAACCTCCCTGCCTGATTCTCCTGCCTCAGCCTGCCAAGTGCCTGCGATTGCAGGCACGCGCCGCCACGCCTGACTGGTTTTCGTATTTTTTTGGTGGAGACGGGGTTTCGCTGTGTTGGCTGGGCTGGTCTCCAACTCCTAACCGCGAGTGATCCGCCAGCCTCGGCATCCCGAGGTGCCGGGATTGCAGACGGAGTCTCGTTCACTCAGTGCTCAGTGGTGCCCAGGCTGGAGTGCAGTGGCGTGATCTCGGCTCGCTACAACCTCCACCTCCCAGCCGCCTGCCTTGGCCTCCCAAAGTGCCGAGATTGCAGCCTCTGCCCGGCCGCCACCCTGTCTGGGAAGTGAGGAGCGCCTCTTCCCGGCCGCCCATTGTCTGGGATGTGAGGAGCCCCTCTGCCTGGCTGCCCAGTCTGGAAAGTGAGGAGCGTCTCTGCCGGGCCGCCATCCCATCTAGGAAGTGAGGAGCGCCTCTTCCCGGCCGCCATCCCATCTAGGAAGTGAGGAGCGTCTCTGCCCGCTGCCCATCGTCTGAGATGTGGGGAGCGCCTCTGCCCTGCTGCCCCGTCTGGGATGTGAGGAGCGTCTCTGCCCGGCTGCCCCGTCTGAGAAGTGAGGAGACCCTCTGCCTGGCAACTGCCCCGTCTGAGAAGTGCGGAGCCCCTCCGCCCGGCAGCCACCCCGTCTGAGAAGTGAGGAGCCCCTCCCCCTGGCAGCCACCCCATCTGGGAAGTGAGGAGCGTCTCCGCCCGGCAGCCACCCCGTCCGGGAGGGAGGTGGGGGTCAGCCCCCGCCAGGCCAGCCGCCCCGTCCGGGAGGGAGGTGGGGGGTCAGCCCCCGCCAGGCCAGCCGCCCCGTCCGGGAGGGAGGTGGCGGTCAGCCCCCCGCCCGGCCAGCTGCCCCGTCCAGGAGGGAGGTGGGGGGGTCAGCCCCCCGCCCGGCCAGCCGCCCCGTCCCGGAGGTGAGGGGCACCTCTGCCCGGCCGCCCCTACTGGGAAGTGAGGAGCCCCTCTGCCCGGCCACCACCCCGTCTGGGAGGTGTACCCAACAGCTCATTGAGAACGGGCCATGATGACGATGGCGGTTTTGTGGAATAGAAAGTGGGGAAAGGTGGGGAAAAGATTGAGAAATCGGATGGTTGCCGTGTCTGTGTAGAAAGAGGTAGACATGGGAGACTTTTCATTTTGTTCTGTACTAAGAAAAATTCTTCTGCCTTGGGATCCTGTTGATCTGTGACCTTACCCCCAACCCTGTACTCTCTGAAACATGTGCTGTGTCCACTCAGGGTTGAATGGATTAAGGGCGGTGCAAGATGTGCTTTGTTAAACAGATGCTTGAAGGCAGCATGCTCCTTAAGAGTCATCACCACTCCCTAATCTCAAGTACCCAGGGACACAAACACTGCGGAAGGCCGCAGGGTCCTCTGCCTAGGAAAACCAGAGACCTTTGTTCACTTGTTTATCTGCTGACCTTCCCTCCACTGTTGTCCTGTGACCCTGCCAAATCCCCCTCTGCGAGAAACACCCAAGAATGATCAATTAAAAAAAAAGAAAAAAGAAAAAAATTAGCTGGGCCTGGTGGCATGTGCCTGTAGTCCCAGCCACTTGGGAGGCTGAGGCAGGAAAATCGCCTGAACCCGGGAGGTAGAGGTTGCAGTGAACTGAAATTGTGCCACCGCACTCCAGCCCGGCAACAGAGCAAGACTCTGTCTCAAATAAAGAGAAAGGACAAGGCTGTGGCTCACTGAATGGTAGCAAAGTCATGGTGATGCTGCACTGATGAAACTTTCTGGAAATTCTACGTTTGAAACTTGCTGGAAATCAGCTGTGGTGTCATGTTGAAACCAACCCAATTGTCCCACAGAACTGATATTTATGGTTTTTTTAAAATAAATGTAGAAGTTGACCTTCATGAGTCTTGAAACTTGAAAATGTTACACTTGTCTTATCTGAATTTATTTCTCAGGAAACCAACTATCAGGCCTCCCAGATAGTATCAAGGAACTGAAACTTCCCAGATCACAGCATCTGTACAATGAGACACCAGACCCTTCACTGGTCATGATTACCTGACCACCTGCCACCTGCTTCCTGCTGAACAACTCTTCTTTCTTATCCTCCCCTAATTCCTGTTTTCCTGTATGTAGCTACATTTCTTTTCTGCTGTATAAACTCCTAATTTTAGTTGGTCACGGAGATGGATTTGAAGCTGATCTCCCACCTCCATGGCTGCAGTACCTGATTAAAGCTTTCTTTCCTGGCAGTACTGGTTGTCTCAGTGACTGGCTTTCTGTGCAGCCAGCAGCAAGACCTAGACAAAACCCCTGGTGTTTTGGTAATAATGTCACAGAACTTGCCAGAAATCAGCCATCTAAGGTTCTTGGGAAAGCTATTTACAGGAAAGTGTCCCACCAGAGGCTCCTTTCTGAAAATAATGCCAGAGAAGAGTGTTGGGAGACGTTCCTGGCTACTGGCAATGAAGTAGTAGGCAGGCGCTGGACAAGCCCCTTGTTCTGCAGAAGCCTGTCTACCAAGCACACTAAAATTGGAAAGGAAAGCCCATTCCATGCAGGAAAAATAGTTAAAGGTCCCAAATCCATTTTCTCAGAGCAGGAAATGATGAGAGAATTTGAAGCTGAGAGTCAAGAAATTGATTACTGGCACACTATGTAATCTTTTTACATTGTTTAACTTTTACGTTAGCAGCTTTGGAAACTATTTATTTCCAAAATTACTTTGTTATTGTTTGTTTGTTTTTGAGACAGCGTTTTGCTCTGTTACGCCAGCTGGAGTGCAGTGGTGTGAGCACAGCTCACTGCAGCCTCAAACACCTAGGTTCAAGCAATTCTCCTGCCTCAACCTCCCAAGTAGCTAGGATTACAGGTGCGTGCCACCATGCCCTGCTAATTATTTTTGTTAAATTTTTGTAGGCCGGGTGTGGAGCTCACTCCTGTAATCCCAGCTCTTTAGGAGGCTGAGGCAGGGGGATTGCTTGAGCTCAGGAGTTCGAAATCAGCCTGAGCAAGGTGGCAAAACCCTGTCTCTACAAAAAATACAAAAAATTAGCCAGGCATGGTGCCACAGGTATGTGCTCCCAGCTACTTGGGAGGTTGAGGCAGAGGATCTCTTGAGCCCAGAAGGTTGAGGCTGCAGTGAGCCAAGATCCCGCCACTGTACTCAGCCTGGGTGGCAGAGTGAGACTGTGTCTCAAAAAAAAATTTTTTTTTTTAAAGATGGGGTCTTGCTATATTGCACAGGCTAGTCTTGAACTCTTGACCTCAAGTGGTCCTCCTGCCTTGGCCTCCCAAAGTGCTGGGATTACAGATCATCTTGCTCAGCCTATTTCCAAAATTTTTCATTACCCCAAATAGAAACTGTAACCATTAAGCAATAACTCCCCATTCTCTATCTCTGTAGTCCCTGGTGACATCTAATCCACTTTTATTTTTTTATAAATTTGCATATCCTAGCTACCTTATACAAGTACAATCATACAGTGTTTGTCCTTTTGTGACTGGCTGTGATACTTAGCATAATGTCTTCACGGTTCATCATGTTGTAGCATGTAAAAAAGCCATGATATGTATATACAACATTTTGTTTATCCATTCATCTGTTGATCGTTACATGAAGTGTGTCCACGTTTTGGCTATTGGGAATAGTGCTGCAATTGGCATACAACTATCTGTTCCTGCTTTCTCTCTCTCTCTCTCTCTCTCTCTTTTTTTTTTTTCTCACTCTGTCACCCAGGCTGGAGTGCAGTGGATTGATCATCATGGCTCACTGCAGCCTCCAACCTCCCAGGCTCAAGTGATCCTCCCACCTTAGCCTCCTGAGTAGCTGGGACACCAGGTGTGTGCCACCATGCCTGGATAAATTTTAAGATTTTTTACAGAGACGGGGGTCTCATTATGTTGCCCAGGCTGGTCTGGAATTCCTGCCTCAAGCAATCCTCCTGCCTTGGCCTCCCAGAGTGCTGCGATTACAAGCAAGAGCCACTGCACCTGGCCCTGTCCATGCTTTCAATGCCTAGGAATGGAAGTGCTGAGTCATAGGGTAATTCTATGTTTAGCTTTTTGAGGAACTGTCATACTATTTTCCATAGCAGCTGCACCATTTTACATTCCCTCCAGCACATGTGTGGGTTCCTATCTCTCCACATCCTTGTCAGCAATTATAACTGTCTCTTTTTTTTTTTTTTTCTTTTTTTTTTAAGACAGGGTCTCACTCTGTTGCCTAGCCTGGAGTGCAGTGGCATGATCTCGGCTCACTGCAATCTCTGCACTCCAGCCTGGGGACAGAACAAGACCTCATCCTGGGGAGGGGGGGAAAAATGTGGTGGTGGGGATTTAAAAATGTACAATAGGCCAGGCGTGGAGCCTTAAGCCTGTAATCTCTGCACTTTGGGAGGCCGAGGACAACAGATCACGAGGTCAGGAGATCAAGACCATCCTGGCTAACATCGTGAAACCCCGTCTGTACTAAAAATACAAAAACTAGCCGGGTGTGGTAGCAGGCACCTGTAATCCCAGCTACTTAGGAGGCTGAGGCAGGAGAAGCACTTTAACCCGGGAGGCGGAGGTTGCAGTGAGCCGAGATTGCGCCACTGCACTCTAGCCTGGTGACAGAGTAAGACTCCGTATCAAAAAAAAAAAAAAAAAAAGTACAATAGGCTTGGCATGGTGATGCACGCCTGTAATCCCAACACTTTGGGAGCCCGAGGTGGGTAGATCACCTGATGTCAGGAGTTCGAGACCAGCCTGGCCAACATGGTGAAACCCCGTCTCTGCTAAAATACAAAAATTAGCCAGGTGTGGTGGTGGGCGCCTGTAATCTCAGCTACTTGGGAGGCTGAGGCAGGATAATTGCTGGAGGCAGAGGTTGCTGTGAGCCAAGATTGCGCCATTGCACTCCAGCCCAGCCAAGAACAGAGAGACTGTCTCAAAAAAAAAAAAAAAAAAAAAGTACAATAAAGAACGGGCAATAGGGACAGGCATGGTGGCTCATGACTGTCATCTCAGCACTTTGGGAGGCAAAGGTGGGCAGATCGCCTGAGGTCAGGAGTTCAAGACCAGCCTGGCCAACATGGAGAAACCCGTCTCTACTAAAACTACAAAAATTAGCCAGGCATACTGGCGCGCGCCTATAATCCCAGCTACTTGGGAGGCTGAGGTAGGAGAATTGCTTGAACTCAGGAGGCGGAGGTTGTGGTGAGTGGAGATTGCACCACTGCACTCCAGCCTGGGCAACAGAGCCAGACTCCATCTCAAAAAAAAAAAAAAATTAGAAGGCCAGGTGCTGCCAGGCATGGTATCTCACGCCTGTAATCCCAGGATTTTGGGAGGCCGAGGAGGGAGAATAACCTGAGGTCAGGAGTTTGAGGCCAGCCTGGCCAACATGATGAAAACCCGTCTCTACTAAAAATACAAAATTTTTTTTAAATCAAAAAATATAAAAATTAGCCAGGCAGGGTGGCATGAACCTTTAATCCTAGCTACTCGGGAGGCTGAGGCAGAAGAATCGCTTGAACCCGGGAGGCAGAGGTTGCCGTGAGCTGGAGATCACCCCATTGCACTCCAGCCTCGGCAACAAGAGTGAGATTCCGTCTCAAGAAAAAAAAAAAAGAAGGCCAGGCATGGTAGCTCATGCCTGTAATCCCAGCACTTTGGGAGGCCTGAGGTGGGCAGACACTTGAGGTCAGGAGTTTGAGACCAGCCTGGCCAACATGATGAAACCCTATCTCTACCTCAAAATACAAAAATCAGCTGGGCATGGTGGCATGCGCCTGTAGTCCCAGCTACTCAGTAGGCAGAGGTTGCAGTGAACTGAGATTGCGCCACTGCACTCCAGCCTGGGGTGACAGAGTGAGACCATGTCTCAAAAAAAAGAAAGAAGAGTATATATGCATAGCAAACGTGTGAAGAGATGCTCAACATCATATGTCTTTAGGGAAATGCATGTTAAAGCAGGAGATACCACTTCACATCTACTAGAATGTCTAAGATTAAAAAGACTGACCACATCAAGTATTGGTGAGGACGTGGTACAACAGCAACTCTCATATACTGCTGGGGTAGGTGTTAAATAATACAACCATTTTGGAAAATATTTAAGCACTTTCTTTTCTTTTTCTTTTTCTTTTTTTTTTTTTGAGATAGAGTGTCGCTCTTTCGCCCAGGCTGGAGTGCAGTCGTGCAATCTCCACTCACTGCAAGCTCTGCCTCCCAGGTTCATGCCATTCTCCTGCCTCAGCCTCCCGAGTAGCTGGGACTACAGGCACCCACCACCACGCCCGGCTAATTTTTTTCTTTGTATTTTTTAGTAGAGATGGGGTTTCACCGTGTTAGACAGGATGGTCTCGATCTCCTGACCTCATGATCCGCCCTCCTTGGCCTCCCAAAGTGCTGGGATTACAGGCGTGAGCCACCGCGCCTGGCTAGCTGTTTCTTTCTTTTTTTTTTTTTCTCAAGAAAAAGGTGTTAAATAATACAACCATTTCGGAAAATCTTTAAGCAGTTTCTTTTCTTTTCTTTTCTTTTTTTTTTTTTTTTGACAGGGTCTTGCGTTTTTGCCCAGGTTGGAGTGCGGTGGCGCTATTGGAGTGCGGTGGCACTATCTCGGCTCACTGCAAGCTCCGCCTCCCGGGTTCAAGCAATTCTCCTGCCTCAGCTTCCTGAGTAGCTGGGATTACAGTTGTGCGTCACCACACCCGGCTAATTTTTGTATTTTTAGTAGAGACGAGGTTTCACCATGTTGGTTAGGCTGTTCTCAAATTCCTGACCTGGTGATCTGCCCGCTTCAGCCTCCCAAAGTGCTGGGATTACAGGCGTGAGCCACCACGCCCGGCCTACTCAACTAATTTTTACATCTTTTGTAAAGAAGGTAATCTCGAGGAGCTGGGATTACAGGCGCCTGCCACCACGCCCGGCTAATTTTTGCATTTTTGGTAGAGACGGGGTTTCACCGTGTTGGCCAGAGTGGTCTCCAACTCCTGACCTCAAGTGGTCTGCCTGCCTCGTCCTCCCAAAGCACTGGAATTTACAGGGATGAGCCACCGCGCCCGGTCCAGCCTATTTTTCTTAAGATATCATTTGTGTTTTTTTCTTTCTTCCTAACTTACATTTTATAGGGTTTGCTGGTATAGTTTTTATAAAAAAAAAAAAAGTTGGGCCGCGCACGGCGGTTCATGCGAGTCCCTGCTATACAGGCCTTGAGGATTCTGCAGAGACCAAGATAAGCTGGGGGGCCTGAACAGTTTAGCAGGGGAGGCCGAGACTCCTGTAACAATCATGCAGTAGTTAATTACAGGGGGGTGAGTGCAGGGAAGACGACAGGGTGACAGGTATATTGCGTAAGTAGACACTGAGGCCCAGGGAAGCGCAAGGAATAGTCCAGAGACACACAGTCTGCGCTGTCACCGGCGGGTTCTCAAATTTGGCCCGCAGGGTCGGCGGCGCTGGGGCTCCCGGCCCGCGATTGCCACGCCCACCAGACCCGAGGTTGCCCCGCTCAACCCGGCCGGCCGTAGCCGCCAGTACCGTGTGGAAGCGTGAGAGTCGAGGGGTGGCACGTGACTGGCGGGGCGGGGCGGGGCTGAGGCGGTGGAACGCGCAGGCTAGTGGCTGTGTTTCCCGCCGGAGGCTTTTGCGCAGAGCCCCGCGTCCCTGGGGGGCGGCGGCGGCGGCGGCAGCGCAGGCGGCAGAGGCGCAGGCGGCGGAGGCGGCTGGGGGGTCCGGAAGTCAACACCATGTCAAGTCTGCACAAGAGCCGGTAAGGGGCCATGGGGCCTGACCCGGCTGGGCCACTCCTGGCCAGGCTGCCCCTTCTGCCCCTCAGAAGGGGGAAGCGCGGGTGTGGCCAGGAATCGGCAGACCCCCTCGGCAGAGGGTCTCGAGCGTCCACCTTCTAACCTCATTGCCTGTGGGCTGCAGGAACGACGGAGGGGCGGCCCTTCTCCTGCCCCTGATGTCACTGCTTCTGCCTCCCTCATCCTGGACCCCTGGTGTCCCCCTTCCCCTGAGTCTTCCTCATCCAGACCCCCATGCCCCGCCCCCGTGCCTTTCCCCCTTTTGATCCCCCTGCTCCCGTACTCTCTCCAAGTGCACCCTGTCCCCCGTGCCTTTTTCTTACTAGGATTGCTAGAGAACTTGCATTCTCCAGTCTGGCCCCTCCCCCAGGCCAGATCCTGCAGCATTGGCTGAATTTTGCTCACTCTTCAGTTTTCCTTCAGGACGTGTTTTTTAAACCCTTTGTCCTTGCCTTCTGGCAGGCCCAGAGGTCTTGTAATGGTTATATTTGTGAGCATGGTCCATTGTCTGCATATCAAATTACTCCTGGTTCCTGAGGTCCAAGGAGTTCAGTTGGTGGCTGTGCGTGGACCCGGCCTGGCCGGCAGGAAGTGCCCAGTAAATGTCAGCTCACTAAGTATTAGAATGTTGGAATATGTCTAATTTTATGGTCCTCATTTGGGAACTTCTAGACAAGAATATCTCTCAAGTTTCTTCCCTGGCATTCTGTGTTTCTGGTTGTAGAGGAAGAAGTGAAATATAGTTTTGTTGTTCTCCAAAGCTGTCTTTGGTGAGGACCTTGACTAAGCTGTGTGATTTTTATGTCCTAAAGGGGAGAGAGGCACAGGTTGGAAACTGGCAGTGTGAGGGAGCTGAGGGCTGTGGGTCTCACTGAGCCGATATCAGCATGCTTCATTTGCCGCCCTATCTCCCCTTCCAGAATTGCAGATTTCCAGGATGTCCTGAAGGAGCCCTCAATTGCATTGGAAAAGCTGCGGGAACTCAGCTTTAGTGGTAAGAAGCCATTCTGTATTTTCACGGTTTCCCTACAGCAGCCCTGTGGCTAGAATACAGGGGGAGGCCACACCTGGTCAGCTCTGGGGCCCAGCTGCTGGGGGCTGGGGCCTTGGAAGGAAATTACACACAGACTCTTGGGGCCTTTTCCAGATTCTGTAGAGCTGAACAGGCAGTGACTGCCTTGAGCTTGGAGGGGTTTCCCAGAGGGGCAGTGGCCACACTTAGCATGCCCTAAGCTTTCCTAAGCTTTCCGCAGGAGGTGCCAGATTCCTGAGAGTAACAGGACAGGACTGAAGCCTGGAGAATGAGAGTTGGGACCTTTTGAGCCCAGGACAGTCTTTCCTCATTCCTTAGCTAGCTTCCTGTGTTGGTGAGTTTGGTTAACTGCAGGGTTGTTCCTTGTTCTCTCCCTGGCTTGGGGTCTAAGCTGCCTGAACTAAACCTTGGCTAGTGGTAAAATGGGTAGCCTTGGGACACTGACTTTAAGGAGCTGATCCTGCTGTGTTAGACTTTGCCCCAATGAGCACAAAGATAACTCTCTTTTTGCCTGTTTTAAAAAATATCCCAACGTGTTCTGCATAGCTTCTTGTCACTTTTTTGCCCTTGTAACTTTGCCAGCAAGAACTTCTGGCCGGGTGCCGTGGCTCATGCCTGTAATCCCAACATTTTGGGAGGCCAAGGCAGGTGGATCACCTGAGGTCAGGAGTTCGAGAACAGCCTGGCCAACATGGTGAAACCTAGTCTCTACTAAAAATATAAAAAAGTAGCTGGGCTTGGTGGCACTTGCCTGTAATCCCAGCTACTCGGGAGGCTGAGGCAGGAAAATCACTTGAACCTGGGAATTGCAGTGAGCCGAGATTGCGCCATTGCACTCCAGCCTGGGCGACAAGAGTGAAGCTCCATCTCAAAAAAAAAAAAAAAAAAAAGAACTTCTTATATTGTCCCTGTCATCCTCATATAGATTCTGAAGTGGAGGTATTCACTCATGTTCATGGTACCAGGGATACTACAGCAGCAACTGCGGTAGTGAGCTTCCTGATCTTATTGCAGGATAACTTTGTCTTTCTGTTTAGGAGTGAAATATAGGCCCCAAAGGAGAGGCAGTCAGTGTTAGTAGTTAAGAGTTTTACAGATAAGTTTCCTTCTTACGACAATTACGTTAATCTTCCCTACTTACTGGGGTAATAATGAAGATTAAATGAAATAATATCTGTAAAGCACAAAATACTTAGCATTCGTAGCTTAGTTTATATTCCACAAATATGTATGGAATATCTTCTATGTGCAGTGCTCTGTGCTATGCACTGGGAATAATAGATGTGGTTTTTGTCCTTCTGGGGCTTACCCAGTAGTAGGGGTTACAGACGTTAAGAAAATACACCATATATATATATATATATATAATAATTCCACTTATGACAGATGCTATGAAATAGTCACAGAGCCATTATTGCTTATAACAGGGGGAACTGACCTGAATTAGGATGACATGGTGGTGGTAAAGGCTGCTCCTGAGGAAGGAATATCAAGGATGAGAAGGTGTTATCCTCAAAAGAACATTTCAGGCCGGGCATGGTGGCTCACACCTGTAATCTCAGCACTTTGGGAGGCTGAGGCAGGTGGATCACCTGAGGTCAGGAGTTCGAGACCAGCCTGGCCAATATGGTGAAACCCTGTCTCTACTAAAAATACAAAAATTAGCCAGGAGTGGTGGCACACATCTGTAATCCCAGCTACTTGCAAGGCTGAGGCAGAAGAATTAGTTAAACCGGGGAGGCGGAGGTTGCAGTGAGCAGAAATCACGCCATTGCACTCCAGCCTGGGCAACAGAGCAAGACTTTGTCTCCAAAAAAAAAAAAAAAAAAATTAGCATCCAGTCTAGGCTGGGTATGGTGGCTCACGCCTGTAATCCTAACAGTTTGGGAGGCCGAAGTGGGGGGATCACCTGAGGTCAGGAGTTCAAGCCCAGCCTAGCCAACATGGTGAAACCTTGTCTCTACTAAAAATACAAAAATTAGCTGAGCACAGTGGCGCGTGCCTGTAATCCCAGCTACCTGGGAGGCTGAGGCTGGAGAATCGCTGGAACTCGGGAGGCGGAGGCTGCAGTGAGCCGAGATTGCGCCACTTCACTCCAGCCTAGGTGTTAGAGGGAGACTCCATCTCAAAAAAAAGAAACCATCCAATCTAGTCATCTTTCTTGGGGAAATGATTCTTGAAGAAGTACTTCTTGCCCACTCTACTCCCCGCCAGTTGGCTCCACGGTGAAGGGCTGGGGGTTCTGGGACTCTGGCCTGGGGCATGACCTTTGCCTGCTGTGTCCACAGGCATCCCCTGTGAGGGCGGACTGCGGTGCCTCTGCTGGAAGGTGGGTGTGCCTGGGGTGGGGCTTCTGCTCTGCTGAGAGTCCCTGGGTTTTCCTGCATGGGCTGCCCCTACCCCTGGCTTCTTCCTCCTGTTCTGCACCTTTCCTTGCTTGTCTGAGGGAGCTTTTCTGGGAAGTCCTGGGTTTTCTGTTCCTCTTGGTGTCTTCTCTGGGATCCCCTTGGGGATGGGACACTTTGTAATGCCAACAATGAAGACCTCTGCTTCCTGGTCCGTGAAGTACAGTGAAAGTCATGCTTATTGGGACAAAACAAAGGCTGTGCTTTGCCCAAAGCTCCCAGCTCAGGTGGCCATGGAAGCCCAGTGTCCTGGTTTCCAGCCCTTTAGAGCACAGGGTCTGATGATCATGTGGAAGAGTCTGTGTGAGGAAAAGCAGAGGGAAGGGCTGGTTTGGGTTAAAGGAGGAGGGAGGCAGTGGGGAGGAAGGGGGAGGCTACCCCTAGCTCATGCTGGCATTCCTGGATTTTAGCCCATCTTGTCTTCTTGGGACTTTATGAGATGTTTTTCTTGAGGCCTGTCATCCCCGCCTAAAGACTGACGTTGGTGCAGGAGGGTCACCAGAGCTTTGCCCTTCTCCCTCTGTGCAGATTCTCTTGAACTACCTTCCCTTGGAGAGAGCCTCATGGACCTCCATCCTGGCCAAGCAGAGGTGAGACCCCGTGTAAGGGCAGTGACAGGAGGGCCCTTGCATGTGACAGAGCCAGTACCGCTGGGGCCGCCCTGCCTCCTGCGGCTGCTGCTCTGCTCTGGGCTCCCTGGGCAGGACCGTTGGGAATCATCCTTCTCACTTGTCTCCTGCAGGGAGCTGTATGCCCAGTTCCTGAGGGAAATGATCATCCAGCCTGGCATTGCCAAGGCCAACATGGGTGTGTCCAGGGAGGATGTGACTTTTGAGGACCATGTGAGTAGAGGTTGACAGCGGAGACCCAGGATACAGAATGTGGAGGGGTGGCGGCCTTGGAGCAGGCAAGGGCCCCTGCATGCCAGGGGGTAGGTGCAGTCTGGTGTCAGTCCCCTCTGGACCTCCCAGTTCCTCCTTTCTGCGTTGGGTCACTAAGCTTGGGGGCCCTGGGCTCAGTAAGACAAACGATAGTTGGGGTCCAGGGAGCATTGCAGGGGCAGCCCTGCGTCAGGTGCTCTGAGGACATGGTCTATTTCAACCCTCATCCCTGTTCCTTGAAGAAAGTCAGAGCAGGGCGGGAGGGAGGCTAAGCTGCCAGGAAGCCTTGTTCTCCTCAAATGCTGAGCTCCTCCCTGGGCTTCACAGCACGTGAGAAAGAAATCGATGGGCCCCAGGCCCAGACTCACAGATAGGAATTGACGACTCAGAGCATCGATGAATGAGAGCCGAAGAA
This sequence comes from Homo sapiens, assembly GCF_000001405.40. NCBI lineage: Eukaryota > Metazoa > Chordata > Mammalia > Primates > Hominidae > Homo > Homo sapiens. The sequence goes on from NC_000009.12 coordinate 128,792,148, forward strand.
ACCAAATTCATTCATTCAGCAAGCAAACATTTACTGAGCACCTGTTATATGCAAAGTTCTTGAGCTAGAGCAACGGACAGAAAAGGAACAGAGTCCCTGCCCAGCAGAGAAGTCCTCAGAGCTGGTCCCCAGGCTGGGCTCCCGGCTGTGGAGTTTGAACGGATTCAGGAGGCTGAGGGAAGGGCTGTGTTGGCTCCTCTGAGTATCTTGCAGGTGGTGTCAGGACCACACCTCAGTGTGCAGTGGGATTGTTGCAGCAAGGCCACTGCTCAGGTTTCCGGGATAGAATCGGGCCCCGGGGCCTAGCTGGGCCTTGGACAGAGCATCTTCATTTCTCCCCACAGCCACTCAACCCCAACCCTGACAGCCGGTGGAACACGTACTTCAAGGACAACGAGGTGCTGCTGCAGATCGACAAAGATGTCCGGTAGGCAGGGTGCCTGGGGCCGGGAGCTGGCCCATGGGACTTCTGGGGCTCTCTGCAGCTCTGTCTTTTCCATTTGCAGGCCGGGCCTATGGGTGAGTGTTTGCGGAGCTGCTGGTGGATTGTCCCAGCGGTTGGGTCCAGGCACTATTGATGATAGGCTGAGAACGAGGCTAGCGAGGGAGATTCTGTGCTTGCATGTACCTGGCTGTTCTTATCTGAGCTGTAGTTTCATTTGTACCCCAGGTGTTTATGGATTCATCTGACATTCATTCAACAAGTATTGAGCCCCTTTTGTGTGCCAGGCTTAGCACTAAGTTCAGGGTTGAGCACTGGTGTGTTCCCTCTCCTTAAGGATCTTAGAACCTAGAAGGGAGGATGGCAAGACAGACATTCAGCCCATTAGATCTTAGCAGATGGCATTCGTGGTAAATGCTCCTGAAGGAAAATTTGAGGGGGTTTGGGGAAACCTCACCTGAGAAGCAGTGATTCAGCTGAGATCTGAGGAGTGGGAGGCCTCAGGGGAAGAGTGCAGCAAAGGCCATGTTGGGCAGGGAACTGCCCTTGGCAAGGTCCAGAGAGCCCGCAGAGCTTGGCACATCTGAGGAACAATGCCAAGGCCAGGGTGGGAGATAGGGGCTGGACCTTGGACTTGATTCTAAGAGCATGAGGCAGCCATGCAAAGGTTTTGAGTAAAGGAGTGACAGGGTCAAATACACAGTTTTTAAAATCTTGAGCTACAATGTGTTTGTGCTTTTCCACTTGGTAAAGAAATGTGGAGATGCTGGCTGTGCGGCCCTGTCGGGCTGGGGAGTTTGGCAGCGTGTTGGGCTAGGTGAGGAGCTAGAAGGCAGGCCTTGTCCACAGGTGGGTGGAGTGGCCAAGGGCTTGGGTTCTGGAGTCCATTTGCCTGGTTTCCATTCCGCATTTACCAGTTGTTAGCTGTGTGACCTTGGGCAAGTGACTCACACCTTCTGATCATTACTCTATTGTGAAGTAGGAGTAAGGTGGTTCAGGCTAAGGGCACAGAACGGGCTGGGTCTCCACAGATACGTGGGACTTAGCACTTACAGAGGCCCTTAGAATGATCAGATCTCCATCAGAGAAGGGTCCTGGGAGCTTATCCTGTTCCTTTTACAACAGCCTGCCTGGGACCCCCGGCACTTGGTTAGACAGAACAAGCTGGCACTCTGACCCGCAGTGACCCTTCAGAATCTCCAAGGGGCAGCTCTCAGGTGCCCAAGTCAGTCTGCACCAGTACAGACAGGTGCCCCTCCATTCAGCTCCTTCTCAAGGAATGGCCGAGTGCCGGTGTCAGAAGGGGTTTAGGAGTGAGCAGGACTGAAACAGTCTCTGCCTTCTGAGAGCTTCCAGTGTAAGTCAGGAGACATATACTAAACCTGGAAACAGATATGTAATTGCAAATACTGTAGTGCTGTGAAGGAGGGAAAAACTGGTGCTTTTAGAGAATCAGAGGGAGGCCCTGTTTTCCTTTGGGGGATCGAGGAAAGCCTTTCCAGGGAGGAGGCTCAGGATGAGATATGAAAGAGGAGGAGGCAGCAAGCTGGGTGGAAGAGTCTGCTGGGCTGAGGCACAGCACATGAGAGTGCCCTGTGGCCGGGGAAGAAGGCGCATGGCAGGATAAAGCAGGGTCCTCCTTTCCCTTGCCACCCTGGGTGCTGCTCCTCAGCCCAGGCTCATCTTCAGATGGCCCCATGTGACCCCCGCACAGGGCAACTCAGCCAGGCTGCAGGAAAAAGGAGGCACTGCCTCTTGTGCTCTCAGGCTAGGGTTGGTGCAGTGTTTACCCACGAGGTGTTCTGATTGCTGTGTTCAAGTCAAGAACCACTCCGTGACCTGGGGAAATAGGTTCTGTTTTTTTGTTTTCTGTTTTTTTTTTGTTTTTGTTTTTGTTTTTTTTTGAGACAGAGGCTCCCTCTGTCACCCAGGCTGGAGTGCAGTGGTGCAATCTCGGCTCACTGCAACATCCGCTTCCCGGGTTCAAGCGATTCTCCTGCCTCAGCCTCCCTAGTAGCTGGGATTACAGGCATGTGCCACAACGCCTGGCTGATTTTTGTATTTTTAGGAGAGACGGGGTTTCACCAGTTGGCCAGGCTGGTCACGAACTCCTGACCTCAAGTGATCCACCCGCTTCAGCCTCGCAAAGTGCTAGCATTACAGGCATGAGACACCATGCCTGGCCAGGTTCTGTTTTACATGGGTAGTGATCCTTTGGTGCTTCTAGAAGCGTGTTTGCAATGTGCTAAGTATAAGAAGTCTGAAAAATGTGCGTGTACTGCAATACATATATTTTAAAAACTTGATCACATTCTAGACACCATCTCCCAACTTGTTTTCCCTCTCACTCTGTCTTGGACATCTTTCCAGTTCAGCTGTATAATATTCTGTTGTACAGTGTGAAACTTATGGAACCAAATCTCTTTTGCTACTACAAACCACCCTGTGTTTGTGCATGTTAGATAATTTTTTTTTTTTTGAGATAGGGTCTTGCTCTGTTGCCCAGGCTGGACTGGAGTACAGTGGCTTGATCTTAGCTCACTGAAGCCTTGAACTCCCAGGCTCAAGTGATCCTCCTGCCCCACCTCCTGAGTAGCCAGGACTGTAGGCACATGCCACCACACCCAGCTAATTTTTTTTTTTTTTTGAGGTGGAGTCTTGCTCTGTTGCCCAGGCTGGAGTGCACTGGCGCAATCTTGGCTCACTGCAACCTCCGGGTTCCAGTGATTTCTCCTGCCTCAGCCTCCTGAGTAGCTGGGATTACAGGCACATGCCACCACACCTGGCTAATTTTTTGTATTTTTAGTAGAGATGGGGTTTCACCGTGTTAGCTAGGATGGTCACCATCTTTTTTTTTTTTTTTTTTTTTTTTTTTTTTTTTTTTTTTTTGGGAAGGAGTCTCACTCTGTCACCCAGGCTGGAGTGCGGTGGCACGATCTTGGCTCACTGCAAGCTCCGCCTCCCGGGTTCACACCATTCTCCTGCCTCAGCCTCCTAAGTAGCTGGGACTACAGGTGCCCGACACCACACCCAGCTAATTTTTTGTATTTTCATTAGAGACGAGGTTTCACCGTGTTAGCCAGGGTGTTCTTGATCTCTGGACCTCGTGATCCGCCTGCCTTGGCCTCCCAAAGTGCTGGGATTACAGGCGTAAGCCACCGCACCTGGCCCCAACTAATTTTTTTTACAGATGGGGTCTCCTTTTGTTGCCCAGGCTGGTCTTGAACTCCTGGGCTCAAGTGATCCCTCCTGCCTTAGCCTCCTGAAGTGCTGGGATTACAGTGGTGAGCCACTGTGCCTGACCTAGATAAATATTTTTACATGGAAATATGTTTGGAGTTTAAAAGAGGAGTTAGGTTGTATGACCATAATGACACTTTAAAAAAAAAGTATATATCTATTTGCAAATACACATAAAATGTGGGCATGTATACATATACAATGACTACAGCTTTTTAAAAAAATACTGTTTTTAAAATAAAATGTTGTAATTGTTGTTGTTATTATTATTTTTTTGAGACTGAGTCTCATTCTGTCACCCAGGCTGGAGCGCAGTGGCGCGATCTTGGCTCACTGCAATCTCCTCCTCCCAGGCTCAAGCAATTCCTGTGTCAGCCTCCCCAGTAGTTGGGATTACAGGCACCTCCCACTGCGCCTGGCTAATTTTTTTTTTTTTTGAGACGGAGTTTCGCTCTTGTTGCCCAAGCTGGAGTGCAATGGCACGATCTCGGCTCACTGCAACCTCCGCCTCCCAGGTTCAAGCGATTCTTCTGCCTCAGCCTCCTGAGTAGCTGGGATTACAGGCATGCACCACCACGCCCGGGTAATTTTGTATTTTTTTAGTAGAAACGGAGTTTCTCCATGTTGGTCAGGCTGGTCTCAAACTCCCGACCTCAGGTGATCCGTCTGCCTCAGCCTCCCAAAGTGCTGGGATTATAGGCGTGAGCCACCGTGCCCAGCCAATTTTTGTATTTTTAATAGAGGCAAAATTTACCATGTTGGCCGGGCTGGTCTCAAACTCTTGACCTCTAGTGATTCAAAACGTTGTAATTAAAAACAAACAATGCTGGCCAGGTACAGTGGCTCATGCCTGTAATCCCAGCACTTTGGGAGGCTGAGGTGGGTGGATCACGAGGTCAGGAGATCAAGACCATCCTGGCTAACATGGTGAAACTCCATCTCTAAAAAAATAAAAAATTAGCCGGGCGTGGTGGTGGGCGCCTGTAGTCCCAGCTACTTGGGAGAATGAGGCAGGAGAATGGCGTGAACCCGGGAGTTGGAGCTTGCAGTGAGCAGAGATCGCTCCACTGCACTTCAGCCTGGGCGACAGTGCAAGACTCCATCTCAAAAACAAAAACAAAAACAAAAAACAATGCTTTTGGGGAGTCTTGGGGTCTCCTGGCAGATGGGATGGCGAAAACTTCCACCTTGAGTAACAAGATTATTTCCTGTTCCCTCTTGACAGGAGGTTGTGCCCAGACATTTCCTTCTTCCAGAGGGCCACTGACTACCCTTGCCTCCTCATCCTGGACCCCCAGAATGAGTTTGAAACCCTTCGTAAGAGAGTGGAACAGACAACACTGAAATCTCAGACGGTGGCCCGGAACCGGAGTGGGGTCACAAATGTGAGTGCCAACCTGGGGTCCCCAGGGACTCCCCCAACAGTATTTTCTTTCCTTTTTCTCTTAAACTCCTGGCCACAAGGTGTCGGGCCATGACCATCTGCTTGACAGTTACTCAGCGCAATCCTGATGCTGCCAGATCCTGGGGTGCTTTCTAAAAGTTGGGTAACAGAGGTTCACTGTGTCCCATCTGGGTGTAATGGCTGCTGGGAAGGGCCCTGCATCACAGTGAGTGAATGAGCCAGGCTTCTAATCTTATAGTGGGGATGGCTCTGAGAAGGTCATTACAAATGTGAGAAAATGTGATAGGGCTGGGCACAGTGGTTCACGCCTGTAATCCCAGCGCTTTGGGAGGCTGAGGCAGGAGGATTGCTTGAGCCCAGGAGTTCAAGACCAGCCTGGGCTACATGGTGAAACCCTGTCTTTACAAAAAATACAAAAATTAGCTGGGCATGATGGCATGTGCCTGTAGTCCCAGCTACTCAGGAGGCTGAGGTAGGAGGATGGTTTGAGCCTGGGAGGCAGAGGTTGCAGTGAGCCTACATCACACTACTGCCCTCCAGCGTGGGTGACAGAGCCAGACCCTGTCTCAAAAAAATAAAAATTAAGAAAACGGCCAGGCACAATGGCCCATGCCTGTAATCCCAGCACTTTGGCAGGCCAAGACAGGCAGATCACTTAAGGCCAGCAGTTCAAGACCAGCCTGACTAACCCGGGGATTTAACCCCATCTGTACTGAAAATACAAAAATTTGGCCCTGGCCAGGTGTGGTGGCTCATGCCTGTAATCCCAGCACTTTGGGTGGCCGAGGTGGGTGGATCACCTGAGGTCAGGAGTTCAAGACTAGCCTGGCCAACATGGTGAAACCTTGTCTCTACTAAAAATACAAAAATTAGCTGGGCATGGTGGCAGGTGCCTGTAATCCCAGCTACCCGGGAGGCTTAGGCAGTAGAATTGCTCGAACCCGGGAGGTGGAGGTTGCAGTGAGTCTAGATTATACCACTGCATTCCAGCCTGGGTGACAAAACGAGACCCTGTCAAAAAAAAAAAGAAAAGAAGAGAACATTCCAGGTGGAGAGGAGGGCATATGCCGAAGTCCTCAGCGGGAGAGAGCGTGGTGTGTTCCAGGTCAGGGAGGCCACGGGGTGGCTAGAAGCAGAGAGCGAGTGAAGAGGTTGGTGCTGGTAAGGCCACTTGGGGCCTTTGTCATGAGGGGTGGGGAGAATCCTTTACAGCAGTGTAAGCAGGGCAGTGACATAATTCACATCTGCTTGTGTCGGAAATGCTTTAGGCACTGTGGAGATACAGGAGTGGCGGTAGAGAGGCTACCTGGAAGGCCACTGCAGTTGTCTAGGCAAGAGGTGGTGGGGGCAGGGATGCAGCAGGGTTAGATCTGAGAGACTCTGGGTGGAACTGATAGGACCCCCAACTTTTAATAGATTCCTGTCACTCTGAGAAGCTCCTTGTAGTCAAACAAGTATATTATCTTATTCCTTAATTTACACCCCCTACTTTGGTCTCTGGAATAGTGGCTTGTTCCCCTAAACTTTTCACTGTCTTCCATCAATGGAAAAACCCTTTTCTGTAGCCTCCAACAAGCTAGGGCAGATACTGCTGCAGAAGTTTTTCTCCCCCTGGGGAATGACTTTGTTTTTTGTTTGTTTGTTTGTTTTATTTTTTTAAATAGAGACAGAGTCTTGCGATGACACCCAGACTGGTTTTGAACTCCTGAGCTTAAGCGATCCTCCTACCTGGGCCTCCCAGAGTGCCAGGATAACAGGCGTGAGCCACCACACCCAGCTGGAAATGACTTTGATCGAAGCTCTGACAGGCAGGGGCAGATATGGCCGATCCAGGGTTGCAGGTGCCTACGAGAGTTGGGTGCCCAGCAGAACTGCTGTGCAGTGCAGATTGCGTGACTAGATAACCAGGAGGCTGGCTTTGTGGGCAGTACTCTTGGCTGCTGATTTCCTGGCTGAAGGGCCGGGAGGGGACTGGCTCCTGTCATTCCTTTCACTGTAGTAACTAGGTGTAAAGAGCACTGTTACCTGGTTTAACTTTTGGTCCTGGTAGCAGAGAACCCACCAGAAACTTCATCCCTAAGCCTCTGGGTTCGTGATTGGGCAGTTTGAGTTAAAGACCATCTGTGTGACTCTGGGCAAGTCACACATATCCTGGCCTTTGTTTCCTAGACCATAAACTGGGCATAATCATTTCTGCCCTGCCTGAGCTGCCAAGAGGATGAAATGAGGTCATGGCTGTGCAGATTCTTCAAAAGCAGAAAGCCCTGGGCATCCTCAGGAGGCAGCCTGCCCTGAAGTCCTGGACCTTAGGTTTGGGAGTCAGCCAGTTCAGGGTCAAGTCCTGATGCCAACACCTAATGTTAGACATTTAAGGAGTGGCCCGACATTTCTGAGCCTCAGTTTCCTCATCTTGAAAATGATGTTGAGAGAATATTTTAGATTGTTCAGTGGATTAAATGGAGGAATACCTGTACAGCATTGTCTGCCGCATAAAAAGCTCTTGTTAAGGGCCAGGCGTGGCTCACGCTTGTAATCCCAGCACTTTGGGAGGCTGAGGCGGGCGGATCATGAGGTCAGGAGATCGAGACCATCCTGGCTAATATGGTGAAACCCCGTCTCTACTAAAAATACAAAAAATTAGCCAGGTGTGGTCGCAGGCGCCTGTAGTCCCAGCTACTCGGGAGGCTGAGGCAGGAGAATGGCGTGAACCCGGGAGGCAGAGCTTGCAGTGAGCCGAAATCGCGCCACTGCACTCCAGCCTGGGCGACAGAGCGAGACTCCGTCTCAAAAATAAAAAATAAAAAAGCTCTTGGTAAATGTGGCTGATGTGTGTCTGTGTGTGTGAACATCCCTGCATGTGTGCGCATACATATGTATGTGTATGTTAGGGGAGAGAGAGTTTAATGTCTCCAGGACCCTATGCTTCCAGGATGGCTTCATCCACTGTCACTGCCTGGGTTCTCGCATATGGGTCACTCACCTCTGGAGCTTCCGCCTGAGCAGGCCTAGGGCCGGGCCCAGCACTTGATTTACAAAGTTCCCAAGGGATCCTGGCAGGCAGCTGGTGTTGGGGACCCGTGCTCATTGTAGGAGTCTTCAGTAGGGATCATCATCTCTTTATTTATCTTCCAACTTTTTTTTTTTTTTTTTTTTTTTGAGACAGTCTCGCTGTTTCTTCCAGGCTGGAGTGCAGTGGCACAATCTTGGCGCTCTGCAACCTCTGCCTCCTGGATTCAAGCAATTCTCGTGCCTTAGCCTCCTGAATAGCTGGGATCATCGGCGCGTGCCACCACACCTGGCTAATTTTTGTATTTTTAGTAGAGATTTTTGGCCAGGGTGGTCTCGAACTCCTGACCTAAAGTGATCCACCCACCTCAGTTTCCCAAAGTGCTGGGATTACAGGTGTGAGCCACTGTGCCTGGCCTCCAACCTTTTCTTATGAAAATTTTCAAACATTCAGGAAAGTTGAAAGGAGAGTACACTGGATAACTATCTGTATACTTTCCATCTAAATGCAACAGTTGTTAACGTTTTTCACATTGCTTTATTTGTGTGTGTATTATATATAGAGAGAGTAAGTTGCAGGTGTCTGACCTTTTACCATCGAGTACTTCGGTAGGATCTCCTGAGAATAAGGGCATTGTCAGCCAAGTGCGGTGGCTCACACCTGTAATCCCAACACTTTGGGAGGCCAAGGCAGGTGGATCACCTGAAGTCAGGAGTTTGAGACCAGCCTGACCAACATGGTGGAACCCCCTCTCTACTAAAAATACAAAACAACAACAAAAAAATGCCAGGCGTGGTGGTGAGCACCTATAATCTCAGCTACTTGGGAGGCTGAGGTGGGAGAATAGTTTGAACCTAGGAGACAGAGTTGCAGTGAGCCAAGATCACTCCATTGCACTCCAGCCTGGGTGACAGAGCAAGACTCCATCTCAAAAAAAGAAGAAGGGCATTCTCCTACTTACCATTAGCACATCTGGGAAGATTAACCATGAGTCCATAATATCACCTGATACCCAACCCATGAACAATTGAGATGTCCTCAGCTGGTGCCAGTGGTATCTTTGGATATTCTCTTTCTTTGGTCTCTTGATTTGGACTAGGCCTCCCCTCCCCAACCCCATCCCCTCAACAGCTGACTTTTTGAAAAGGCTTGGCCAGCCTGGACGCGGTGGCTCATGCCTGTAATCCCAGCACTTTGGGAGGCTGAGGCGGGCGGATCACGAGGCCAGGAGTTCAAGACCATACTGGCCAACATGGTGAAACTCTGTCTCTACTAAAAATACAAAAAATTAGCTGGGCATGGTGGTGGGTGCCTGTACTCCCAGCTACTCAGGAGGCTAAGGCAGGAGAATCACTTCAACCTGGGAGGTGGAGGTTGCAGTGAGCTGAGGTCGCACCACTGCACTCCAGCCTGGGTGACAGAGCAAGACTCTGTCTCAGGGGGGCAAATAAAAGAAAGAAAAGTCTTGGGCTTGGCCAGTTGTTTGTTTTTGACATATTTAAGATTTTTTTGTTTTTTGTTTTTTGTTTTTTTTTTTTGAGACGGAGTCTCGCACTGTCACCCAGGCTGGAGTGCAGTGGCACGATCTCCACTTACTGCAAACTCCGCCTCCTGGGTTCATGCCATTCTCCTGCCTCAGTCTCCCGAGTAGCTGGGACTACAGGTGCCCGCCACCACGCCTGGCTAATTTTTTGTATTTTTGGTAGAGACAGGGTTTCACCGTGTTAGCTAGGATGGTCTTGGTCTCCTGACCTCGTGATCTGCCCACCTCAGCCTCCCAAAGTGCTGGGATTACAGGCGTGAGCCACCGCACCCAGCCTGTTTGTTTTTTGAAATGGAGTTTCACTCTTGTTGCCCAGGCTGGAGTGCAATGGTGCAATCTCGGCTCACCACAACCTCCGCCTCCTGGGTTCAGGTGCTTCTCCTGCCTCAGCCTCCTGAGTAGCTGGGATTACAGGTATACGCCACCACGCCTGGCTAATTTTTTTGTATTTTTAATAGAGACAGGGTTTCTCCATGTTGGTCAGGCTGGTCTTGAACTCCCGACCTCAGGTAATCTGCCCGTCTTGACCTCCCAAAGTGCTGGGATTACAGGTATGAACCACCGTGCCCGGCCCTAAAGTTTTTGTTTTAAATTGAAATGTAACTTACGTGCAATTACGTGTACAATTAGAGAATGTTTTTCTTGTGTGTGTACCTGTGTAAGTGCCAGTCAGTCAAGATACAGAACATGTCCACATCCAGAAAGTTCCTGCATGCCCCTTCCTAGTTAGTACTTCTCACTGCTCTGACTTTTAGCACCATAAGTTAGGTTTTAGGACCATTTGTTGTATTGCAGAATGTCCCATATTCTAGGTTTGTCTCCTTGTTTCCTCATGGTGGCGTTTGACTTGTTCCTCTGTGCCAGTGTATGTCCCATATGCTAGATAGGTCCAGGCTTAAAAGTAAACATTTACATTTCTGGCAAGAACACATTGTCCTCCTTCACATTGTCCATTTTTTTTTTTTTTTTTGAGACAGTGTCTTGTTGTCACCCAGGTTGGAGTGCAGTGATGTGATCATAGCTCACTGCAGCCTCAGCCTCGTGGTCTCAAGTGATCCTCTTGCCCCAGCCTCGCAAGTCGCTGGGACCACAGGTGCGTGCCTTCACACTCGGCTAACATTTACATTTTTTGTAGAGACGGGATCTCCCTATGTTGCCCAGGCTGGTCTTGAACTCTTAGGCTCAAGTGATCCTCCTGCCTTGGCCTCCAAAAGTGCTGGGAATACAGGCATGAGCTATTGTGGCCCGCCCATGTTGTCTCTTTTTTTGTTTTTGTTTTTTTCTCCTGAGACAGGGTCTTGCTCTATCACCCAGGCTGGAATGCAATGGTGTAATCACGGCTCACTGCAGCCTCGACCACTGGGGCTCAGCTCCCACCTCAGCCTCCCAAAGTGCTGGGATTTCAGGCATGAGCCACTGACCCCAGCATTGTCTTTCTTGATGGGCTCCTCCTCTTCTCCTCCAGATGAGCTCCCCACACAAGAACTCTGTGCCATCATCCCTAAATGAGTATGAGGTGCTGCCCAATGGCTGTGAGGCCCACTGGGAGGTGGTGGAGCGGATCCTGTTCATCTACGCCAAGCTCAACCCTGGCATCGCTTATGTGCAAGGCATGAATGAAATCGTGGGGCCCCTCTACTACACCTTTGCCACCGACCCCAATAGTGAGTGGAAAGGTAAGAAGGCTCTTGGTGCCCACATCCCTCGTTGCTGGCCCGTGTCAGGCTGTGCACCTCACTTTCCCTCTCGGGCCTCTGTTCTCCCTCTGCCAGATGAGGAGTTGGCCTGGATCATCTCTGAGATCCTTTGCAGCTGTGATCTTCTAGAATGTTGGTTGTTTACTGATCTCTTGATATTTGTAATTTAATTCTGATAGAGAAGGTGGATATGTAGGAAGCCGAATTATAAGATTTAAATAATGATTTTTAAATTGTCATCAGGAGAGTGTGTAATAAACTGCTAAGTGAATGTACAGTATTGCCAGATGTGAGAAGAAAGAGGCGATGTCTTTAGCCTGGGGGTGGAGAGGGGTCAAGGACAGAGGAAGGACTGAGCCAGACCATGAGGATGGGGCAACTCGGCGGGGCTCAGAGCAGGGCAGATGTCTGGTAGGTGAGAGGTGGGGTGGGCCTGGAGTGCGCCACTTCTGCCCCCATCCTGCTCTCTCCCAGAGCACGCCGAGGCAGACACCTTTTTCTGCTTCACCAACCTCATGGCCGAGATCCGGGACAACTTTATCAAGAGCCTGGATGACTCGCAGTGTGGCATCACCTACAAGATGGAGAAGGTTTACTCCACCTTGAAAGATAAGGATGTGGAGCTCTACCTGAAACTGGTGAGGACCCCAGGAACAGACGGGTGGAAAGGGACAGGAGGCAGAGAGTTGCTGTGCCATCCCAGCCCAGGGCGAGGTCTCGCTTGAGTCTGGGGGTCAGAAGTAGCTGCTGCTGCTGCTGCCCGGGACGCTGACCCATGTGCTGAGGCAGCTGATGGTGGAGCCCAGCTGGGAGGGAAGGGGAAAGTTGAGAATGGTGCCCATTGTGTGCCAGGCATACTGCAGGGCATTTACTATGAACTAAATTGGTTAAGCTGTTAGTAGTCTTCTGAGGTAAGTGTTAACTTCATTTTTTTTTTTTTTTTGAGATGGAGTCTCGCTCTGTCGCCCAGACTGGAGTGCAGTGGCACAATCTCGGCTCACTGCAAGCTCCACCTCCCAGGTTCATGCCATTCTCCTGCCTCAGCCTCCCAAGCAGCTGGGACTACAGGCACCCGCCACTGTGCCCGGCTAATTTTTTGTATTTTTAGTAGAGATGGAGTTTCACTGTGTTAGCCAGGATGGTCTTGATGATCTCCTGACCTCGTAATCCACCCGCCTCGGCCTCCCAAAGTGCTGGGATTACAGGCATGAGCCACCGTGCCCAGCCCTTTTTTTTCTGTTTTTTTTTTTTTTTTTTTTTTTTTGAGAAGGACTCTCTCTCTCAGAGGCCAGGTTGGAGTGCAGTGGTGCAATCTCAGCTCACTGCAACCTCCGCCTCCCAGGTTCAAGCAATTCTCATGCCTCAGCCTCCCCAGTAGCTGGGATTACAGGCGTGCGTTACCACGCCTGGCTAGTTTTTGTATTTTTAGTAGAGATGGGATTTCGCTGTGTTGGCCAGGCTGGTCTCGAACTCCTGACCTCAAGTGATCCGCCTACCTCCCTCTCCCAAAGTGCTGGGATTACAGGCATGAGCCACTGTGCCTGGCTGGCCAGGAATAATGATATCTTTTTAAACAAATATGGGTTGAGTGTGATGGCTCACAGTTGTAATCCTAGCACTTTGGGAGACTGAGGCGGGAGGATCGCTTGAGCCCAGAGGTTGAGCAACATAGTGAAGCTTTGTCTCTACAAAAAATTTAAAAACAAATTAGCCAGGCATGGTGGCACAGGCCTGTAGTCTCAGCTACTCGGGAGGCTGAGAGAGGAGCCCTCGAGGTCAAGGCTGCAGTGAGCCATCCATGATTGTGCCACTGCACTTCAGCCTAGGCAATATAGCGAGACCTCATCTCTAAAAAAAAAAGGAAGTATGCTTTTGCTGTTTTGTAGCATGCTTTTTCAGTTAATATTCACTGTGGCTGACCAGAAGGCTTGTCTCTACTGGGAATAATTGCCTGTGGAATTGTTCTGTGGATTAAATGAGTGAGAGGACATATTTAATATTCTAAGCATAGCCCAGGCTTTTAGTAAGTGCCCTGTGATGGTCACTCAGCACATCCACAAACCCAAGGCTATCATCTGCAAAGTGTGTGAAAAGAGTTTGAGCCATCATTTATAAATCTGGAGAGCTTATTATATAAAGGTTTGGGTTTCCAGCTTCTCTTTAAAAAATAGGAAGATCTGAGGATGTTGGCTGGCAGCAAACAGGCTCCGCCCCTTTACCAGGCAAGGCTGTCCGGCAGCCTGGTGCCAGCCCTGGTGCTCACACCTGGCATGCTGGGCCCTGCTGTTCTGAATTCACTTCTGACCCACTGCGTGGTGCTCCATGGCCGGCAGCCAACACAGAGTCATGCCCCCCACCCCCCACGCTGTCTCCCCAGCAAGAGCAGAACATCAAGCCTCAGTTCTTTGCCTTCCGCTGGCTGACACTGCTGCTGTCCCAGGAGTTCTTGCTGCCTGACGTCATCCGCATCTGGGACTCCCTCTTCGCCGATGACAACCGCTTTGACTTCCTCCTCCTCGTCTGCTGCGCCATGCTCATGTGAGTGCGGGCATGAGCTGTCATCAGCTCACCTGGGCAGTCCTTGGAGAAGCCAGACAGGAGGACCCTCCGCCCCGAAGGGTGGGCAGGGCTGCTCTTTCATGGCTGGAGTGGGATTCTGGAGTCCTTGGGAGGGCGACAAACCAAACTTGAGGTGGGTAGGGAGGGAGGAGTGGGCAGGGCCTGCACTCAGAGCATCCCAGGTCCCAGCGCTTTTGCTGCTGCTTTTCATAGGCTGATCCGGGAGCAGTTGCTGGAAGGGGACTTCACTGTGAATATGCGGCTGCTGCAGGTAATGGGAGTTGGGGGCAGGCTCAGCCACTGCCATGAGGCTGGCACTCGCCAGGCACCTGCCCACGCCAGCTGCTGCGACAGGCTGGGCAGGGGCAGCGGAGTGTAGTAGGGATTAAAGTCCAGACCCCTGAGCAGATCTGGTTTGGATCTGGGTTTGAATCCTGGTTCTGCCACTGACCTGGAATGTTGGGTGGCCTTGAGCAAGTGACTTGGCCTTCAAACCGTGTACTCTACGTAGGTGTTCACACCTAGGACACAGCAGGTGCCCAGAACATGGCCGTGCTTGCTGGTGGCCATGCTCAGGCCCGGGGAAGGAGGGTGGGGTGTAGTGATTAAGAACATGGGCTCACCGGGCGCGGTGGCTCATGCCTATAATCCCAGCACTTTGGGAGGCTGGGGTGGGTGGACCACCTGAGGTCTGGAGTTCAAGACCAGCCTGGCCAACATGGCGAAACCCCGTCTCTACTAAAAATACAAAAATTAGCCGGGCTTGGTGGCATGCACCTGTAATTCCCAGCTGCTTGGGAGGCTGAGGTAGGAGAATCACTTTAACTTGGGAGGTGGAGGTTGCAGTGAGCCAAGATCGCATCACTGCACTCCAGCCTGGGGGACAGAGCAAGACTCTGTCTCAGAAAAAAAGAACATGGGCTCAAGGGCCTACAGCTTTAGGTCCACAGTTTTGCTCTGCTGTGCTCATCATGTGACCCAAGCCAAGTTACAGCATCTCTGGGTCTCAGCTTCTTCACCAGCACGTGGCCTTAGTGTTGCTTTGTTGTTGTTTTTTTTTTTTTGAGACAGAGTCTCGCTCTGTTGTCCAGGCTGGAGTGCAGTGGTGCAATCTCGGTTCACTGCAACCTCCACCTCCCAGGTTCAAGTGATTCTCCTGCCTTAGCCTCCCGAGTAGCTGGGATTACAGGTGTGTGCCACCACGTCTGGCTAATTTTTGTACCTTTAGTAGAGACAGGGTTTCACCATCTTGGTCAGGCTGGTCTCGAACTCCTGACCTCAGGTGATCCGCCCACCTCAGCCTCCCAAAGTGCTGAGATTACAGGTGTGAGCCACCAAGCCCAGCCTAGAGTTGCTTTTCCCTAACTTCATGGACCAGATCTGGAAAAAGTGCAGAATCACAGTGGCCACTCACAGGGCTGTTGGGACTTCGCGCTGATGCTCAGACACTGGCCCAGTCCTACTGGCTCCACACGAGGGAGCTCGGGTTCAGTGGCAGTAGTGGGAGAGCTGAGGCAGCACGGTCTGGTCCTGAGGAAAGGGCCGCAAGAGCCTGGGAGTGGTTGTGTTTGGATCGTTGAGTTGGTGCTGCATGGTGTAGCGTCAGCTGCATGCAGGGGTCTGGGGGTTGGGGAGTGTGGGATGCCTGGTGTTCTGTGCTCCTGCCCCTGAGGCCCAGGATCCAGCATGGCAACGGGTCCCAGCAGGGAGGGTGTGGGTGTGGCAGGGGTGAAGTGGCTTCAGAGGCAACTGTTGGCCTTTTCCTGTGCCCAGGACTACCCCATCACAGATGTCTGCCAGATCCTGCAGAAAGCCAAGGAGCTCCAAGACTCAAAGTAGCCCGGCGGCAAGAGGCCCATGTTCCGGAGAGAAGCCTCCCGACCCTGTGCCCTGGCTCCCGGGACACATAGAAACCTGTAGGAACCCAGCCTGAGGGGAAGCCACAGGATCGGCCCGAGACCCAGGCCATGCCCACTGGGGACACACTGTGCCGTGCTCCTTCTGCCGCCACGCCCAGCTCCCCACCTGCCCTGCACTCTGCCCTCTTTGCCCAGGATACTGAGGAGGGCTGGAGCTCGGGAAGTTGTCCTTCCTGGGCCAGGGCCGTTTCTGGCACTGGGAGGCTGGCAGGGGCCCCTCCCTGCCTCGGCTCTGCCGCCCCAGCCTCAGTTCCTGCTTCTGGTCTTCTCCTGGGCTCCACTCAGGGGAGGTGCTTGGCCAATGGGCCAGAAACCGCTTCTGAGCGGGGCACTTCGGCTGCTCCACAGGGAAGGCGACACTGAAAGCTGAGTCCTGCCGTCTGTCTCACCCACAGATGTCTGTAGTCGGTCGGTGTGAATGTGGGCCCAAGTCCCCAGGCATCTTCTCCGTGTGTGTGTGTGTGTGTGTGTGTGTGTGTGTGTGTGTGTGTGTGTGTTAGGGAGTGAGGGTCTCTCAGGCCTCCAGGTCTCCCAGCCCCTCCTTCTCTGTCTCTACCTCTCTGCCTGTCTCCTTCCACCTCCTTCCCAGAGTGGGACTGTGTCTTGCTTCATGATTCCTCTCTCCATTACTCTCCCTGCCCTTCTCTGTTGGGGTGCCTTATCCTGAGCCACCTCCTCTCCCCGCTTGCCTCTGCTCCCCTGAACCTGGGAGACAGATGAGGAGACTGGCTCAGCAAGGCCCCTGGAGGTCAAGCTTGGCCTTTGCCTCCTGTTCCCATCCCCCAGCCCTGGCTCCTAGGTCCTCCCAACTGGGAGGGAGTCCTCCGTGCCTCACTTAGAGGGTTCTGAACCCGTTCCCTACACAGAAATCTTGGAAACCAAATGCTGCTGAGTAAGGATGAAGCTTTGAGCCTCCTGCCCCTGCTTTCTGCCCAGGGAGGGAGAAGGAAGAGGGGGAGCTGGTTTTTCTGGAGGTTCCCCCAGAGGCCCTCCTGTCCGAAAAGAAAAGGACCTTGATTCTGAGCCCAGGGTCGGAACCCATTGCTTCAGAAGAGTTGTCATTCCCTCGGCTTCCAGGTCCCAACCCAGGGTTGGGTTGAGTGAGTCCCACAAAGGGCAAGTGGGGCCCGAGGAAGCCTCTCTGGGGCCAGGGGTAGCTGAGCTTAAAGGCCCTGGGTCCTGCCAGTTCCAGGAGGGCCATGTCTGTGCCTCTGTGTACCCCTCCACCCGCTGCGGGCTGAGGGAGGTGCAGGGCCTTCTCTGACCCCTGCCTGAGCTGTTCCCAGGGCTGGAGCAGGTGTACCCTGAGCAGGGGCAGCTGGCCACTCCCAGTTCTCACCAAGTCACCTCCCTCCTTGTACAAGGTTTGCGTCCGGAAGCCGGGTGCCATAGTGAGGACCCTCGTCCTCCAGACTGGCTGGCAGGAGTCAGGCCCCAGCAGCCCTCCTGCCCCCAAAGCTTTCCGAGTCTGGTGGGCAGGACTTCTCGCTGCCCTTCCAAGCCCGGCTTTGGGCCAGGAAAGGCTTCCCCAGGTGGCTCTTCTACCAGGCTTTTCCTTTGATGCCGCCTGGATTTCCGCACCTGCCTGTCTCCTCTCCCAGAGCACAGTATTTGGGAGACTTTGACTATTTATTCAGACTCCTGGCTATGTATTGCACATTGGCAAGTGCTCTGGGGATGAGGCATGGGTATAGGAAGGGAGAAAGGAGTTGGAGACAAGATCCTCTTCATTTTCCAAGATCAAAGTCAGCCTCTTCTCCCCATGCTTCTAGGAACTGCCTGGTTTTCGAGCAGGTCCTGGCTGAGCGGGCTCTGAGTTCTGTACTGGAATTGAGTGTAAAGATGGGAAGAGAACTGGGCTGACTCCAGGACCTCCAGGATGAGGCAGAGGCATGATGCTTCCTGCTCACCTGGGCCACCCTCTCTCCAGGACTTGTCAGCTGGTGGTTCAGCCCCTTCTCCAACCCCTTCATAAGCTTGGGCCACTGCCTGGGACCCAGCAGACACTGCCCAGGACTCTTTAGTGCACTCACTCTTGTCTGCCCCCTACCTTCCCTCCTGGAACCACACTACTTGAATCACCATTACTTTGCCTCGCTGGCAGAGTTGGGTCAAGTGCCCTCTCCTTGACCTTGAGATGAAGGTCAAGAGCACAGGGACCAGGCCTTGGTTAGGCTGAGCTCCCAGCAGGACACCGCCTGCAGAAAGGACCTGCCCTGATAATGTCCCTTCCCCAGATTCTCAAGCAGATGCCCAAGGGAGGTCCCCACAGAGCCAGAGTGCCTGAGGCTTCCTGCTTGAGAACCTGCCCCCTGGATCTTGGACACTTACAGATTGAGCTGTATGAATTCAGCGGGTCTCACTCCAGAGGGTCAGAACGTTTGCTTTAGTTTTTTCATCTGTTTTGTTCCTTGAGTCAGTGCTGTTGATGACGAGTTGTCTTGAATAAATCATGTGTTCTTTGCAATGGGCATTGGTGCTGTGATGAGCTGAAACTTTGGAGACCTCAGAACAGGGAAAAATGAACAGGGATGGAGTCAGAGTCTCTTAGAGTAGCCCTTCTAAGAAAAGGTCCAGGAAATCCTTCTGGGAAGAGCCTGTTGGATTCTTCCAGTTCAGCCTCAGCAGTCTGCAGCTGGGGGAGGAGGGAGTGAGTACTGGCTAAGGAGGTTCTGCATACATGATTACATAGCCTGTTATTTTTCAGATTTAAAAAAGCTTAGACCATCCATTATATGTGGAAAAAGCATTTGACAAAATTCAACATCTTTTCCTTATTTTTAATTTAATTTTATTTTCTTTGAGACGGGGTCTTGCTCTGTCACCCAGGCTGGAGTGCAGTGGCACGATCTCCACTCACTGCAACCTCCGCCTCCTGGGTTCAAGCGATTCTCCTTCCTCAGCCTCCCAAGTAGCTGGGATTACAGGTGCCCGCCACCACACCTGGCTAATGTGTATTTTTAGTAGAGACGGGGTTTCACCATGTTGACCAGGCTGGTCTCAACTTCTGACCTTGTGATCCGTCCGCCTTGGCCTCCTAAAGTGTTAGGATTACAGGTGTGAGCCAAGATCAGGAACAAGACGAGGATGCCCACTCTCTACTTTCATTCAACATAGTACTGGCAGTACTAGCCAGACTGGTTAAGCAAGAGAAAGAAAAAGCATCCAAATAGGAAAGGAAGAAGTGAAATTGTCTCTCTTTGCCAACAACATGATCTTATATTAGAAAAAACCCTAAAGACTTCACCAAAAAGCTGTTAGAACTAAAGTGACAAGAAACAAAATCAACAAACAGAAATCAGTAACATTTCTGTACACTAACAAACTATCTGAAAAAGAAATCAAGAAAAAGGCAGAAATAAAAAACTGAATTCAGAAAAAAAAAGACAAGAAATAGAGAAAATCTCATTCACAGTAAGTACCCCCTCAAAAAAATTATTTAGAGCCGGGCGCAGTGGCTCATGCCTGTAATCTCAGCACTTTGGGAGGCCGAGGTGGGCGTTTCACAAGGTCAAGAGATTGAGACCAGCCTGGCCAACATGGTGAAGCCCCGTCTCTACTAAAAATACAAAAATTAGCAGGGCGTGGTGGCACATGCCTGTAATCCCACTTACTCAGGAGGCTGAGGCAGGAGAATCGCTTGAACCCGGGAGGTGGAGATTTCGGTGAGCCCAAATCGTGCCATTGCACTCCAGCCTGGGCAACGAAAGTGTAACTCCGTCTCAAAAAAAAAAAAAAAAAAAAGGTTTAGTAACCATAACAGCATGATACTGGTGTAAAATAGACACACTGACCAAAGGAACAGAACAGAGGAGCCCAAAATGAACCCAGGCATTTGGGGGTGAATTGGTTATCTTTTCTTTTTTTTTCTTTTTCTTTTTTTTTTTTTTTTTTTTTTGAGACAGGGTCTTACTCTGTCACTGAGGCTAGAGTGCAGGGGCATGATTATGGCTCACTGCAGCCTTGAATTCCCAGGCTCTGGTGATCCTCCCTTCTCAGCCTCTCAAGTAGCTGGGACCACAGGCACACATCACCACGCCCAGCTAGGTTTTTATATTTTGTAGAGACAGGGCATCTTTGCATTGCCCAGGCTGGTCTCAAAACTCCTGGGCTCAAACAGTCTTCCTGCCTTGGCCTCCCAGTGTTGGGATTACAGGTGCGAGCCACTGTGCCAAGCTGTGTTTGTGGGGTTTTTTTTGTTTTTTTTTGTTTTTGTTTTTGTTTTGGTGCTGTTTTTGAGATAGCGTCTCGCTCTGTTGCCCAGGCTTGCTGCAGTGGCGCCAGCTTGGCTCCCTGCAACCTCCGCCTCCTGGGTTCAAGTGATTCCCCTGCCTCAGCCTCCCAAGTAGCTGGGACTACAAACCTACGCCACCATGCCTGGCTAACTTTTATTTATTTATTTATTTTTGAGACGGAGTTTCACTCTTGTTGCCCTAGCTGGAGTGCAATGTCATGATCTCAGCTCACTGTAACCTCTGGCTCCCGGGTTCAAGCAATTCTCCTGCCTCAGCCTCCAGAGTAGCTCGGATTAGAGACACATGTCACCATGCCCGGCTAATTTTTTGGGTTTTTTGTTTGTTTTAGTAGAAACAGTTTTACCATGTTAGTCAGGCTGGTCTTGAACTCCCGACCTTAGGTGATCCACCTGCCTCAGCCTCCCAAAGTGTTGGGATTACAGGCATGAGCCACCACGCCCTGCCTAACTTTTGTATTTTTTTAATTGAATTTATTTTTATTTATTTATTTATTTATTTATTTTTGAGACAGAGTTTTACTCTTGTTGCCAGGATGGAGTACAATGGCGCGATCTTGGCTCACTGCACCGTCCACCTCCCGAGGTCAAGCAATTCTCCTGCCTCAGCCTCCTGAGTAGCTGGGATTACAGGCGCCCGCCACCACACCCGGATAATTCTTTTTGGAAGTTTAGCAGAGATGGGGTTTCACCATGTTGACCAGGCTGGTCTTGAACTTCTGACCTCAGGTGATCCGCCCACCTCAGCCTCCCAAAGTGCTGGGATTACAGGCGTGAGCCACCACACCCAGCTGTATTTGTGTTTTAAGCTAACTGTTACTACAAAAGAGTCCAAAAGTTTAAAAAAATTAGAACATTTGTAGGCCAGGCACGGTGGCACGCCTGTAATCCCAGCACTTCGGGAGGCCTAGGTGGGCAGATCACGAGGTCAGGAGATGGAGACAATCCTGGCCAACATGGTGAAACCCCATCTCTACTAAAAATACAAAAGTTAGCTGGGTGTGGTGATGCCCGCCTCTATTCCCAGCTACTCGGGAGGCTGAGGCAGGAGAATCGCTTGAACCTGG
The DNA here is from genome assembly GCF_000001405.40 of Homo sapiens. Lineage (NCBI taxonomy): Eukaryota > Metazoa > Chordata > Mammalia > Primates > Hominidae > Homo > Homo sapiens. The sequence goes on from NC_000009.12 coordinate 128,813,279, forward strand.
GAGGCGGAGATTTCAGTGACCAGAGATGGCACCACTGTACTTCAGCTTGGTGACAGAGTGAGACTCTGTCTCAAAAAAAAAAATAAAATAAATAAAATAAAAATACAAAAATTAGCTAGGCGTGGTGGCAGGCACCTGTAATCCCAGCTACTCACTTGGAGACTGAGGCAGCAGAATCACTTGAACCTGGGAGGTGGAGGTTGCAGTGAGCTGAGATTGTGCCACTGCACTCTGGCCTGGGTAACAGAGTGAGACTCTGTCTCAAAATAAATAAATAAATAAATAAATAAATAAATAAAAACTCGTAAAGTAAAAGTTACAGTGGCTGGGCGCGGTGGCTCACACCTGTAATCCCAGCACTTTGGGAGCCCAAGGCGTGCAGATCACGAGTTCAGGAGATCGAGACCATCCTGGCTAACACAGTGAAACCCCGTCTCTACTAAAAATACAAAAAATTAGCCAGGTGTGGTGGCGGGCGCCTGTAGTCCCAGCTACTCGGGAGGCTGAGGCAGGAGAATGGCGTGAGCCCAGGAGGCGGAGCTTGCAGTGAGCCAAGATCGCGCCACTGCACTCCAGCCTGGGCAACAGAGCAAGATTCCGCCTAAAAAAAAAAAAAAAAGTAAAAGTTACAGTAAGCTAAGGTTTATTATTGAAGAAAGAAGTATTTCAAATAAATTTAGTGTAGCCTAAATATAGTGTTGATAAAGTCTACAGTAGCGTAGAGTAGACTTTGTTCTGGGCCTTCACATTCACTCCTCAGTGACCCACGCAGAGCAACTTCCTGTCCCAGAAGCTCCATTCATGGTAAGCGCTTTATACAGACAGGTGTATCATTCTTTATTTTTTATTATTATTACTTTTTTTTTTGAGACAAGAGTTTCTCTCTGTCACCCAGGCTTGAGTGCAGTGACACTACCTCGGCTCACTGCAACCTCTGCCTCCCGGGTTCAAGCAATTCTCCTGCCTCAGCCTCCCCAGTAGCTGGGAATACAGGTGTGTGCCACCACACCCGGCTAATTTTTGTATTTTTAGTATACACAGTGTTTCACCGTGTTGGCCAGGCTGGTCTTGAACTCCTGACATTGTGATCCACCTGCCTCGGCCTCCCAAAGTGCTGGGATTACAGGTGTGAGCCACCTAGCCTGGCATACTTTTTTTGGTTTGTTTTTTTTTTTGAGATAGAGTCTCGCTCTGTCGCCCAGGCTGGAGTGCAGTGGCACGATCTCAGCTCACTGCAACCTCAGCCTCCGGGGTACAAGGAATTCTCATGCCTCAGCATCCCAGGGTAGCTTGGATTACATATCTTTATGTGATGCATGATTATATTTGCAAACCATACATCTGATAAGGGGTTAATATCCAAGATATATAAGTACTTAAAACATCTCAGTAGCAGCTGGGCATGGTGGCTCATGCCTGTAATTCAAGCACTTTGGGAGGCGGAGGCGGGTGGATCACCTGAGGTCCGGAGTTCAAGACCAGCCTGGCCAATATGGTGAAACCCAGTCTCTACTAAAACTACAAAAATATTAGCCAGGAGTGGTGGTGGGTGCCTGTAATCCCAGCTACCCAGGAGGCTGAGGCACAAGAATCACTTGAACCCAGAGGCGGAGGTTGCAGTGAGCCGAGATCGTGCCACTGCACTCCAGCCTGGGTGACAGAGCAGGACTCTGTCTAAAAAACAAAAACAGAAACAAACAAAAATCTCAATAGCAAGAAAACAATGTGATTTAAACAACACGCAAAGGACCTGAATAGATATTTCTCAAAAGAAGACATACAGCACTTTGGGAGGCTGAGGCAGGCGAATCGCCAGGTGAAGAGATCAAGACCATCCTGGCCAACATGGTGAAACCCCGTCTCTACTAAAAATACAAAAATTAGATGGGCATAGTGGTGTGTGCTTGAACCCAGGAGGCGGAGGTTGCAGTGAGCCGAGATCGAGCCACTGCACTCCAGCCTGGTGACAGAGCCAGACTCTGTCTCAAAAAAAAATAAAAAAAGACATAAAAATTTCTGGCAACTATCTGAAAAAATGCTGAACAATGCATGGATCATCTGGGAAATGCAAATTAAAACCAAAATGAGATACCACCTCACACCTGTCAGAATGGCTTATAAAAAAAAGACAAGGCCGGGCGTGGTGGCTAACGCCTGTAATCCCAGCACTTTGGGAGGCTGAGGCAGGTGGATCACGAGGTCAGGAGTTCAAGACCAGTCTGGCCAACATAGTGAAACCCCATCTCTACTAAAAATACAACAAAATTAGCCGAGCGTGGTGGTGTGCACCTGTAATCCCAGCTACTCAGGAGGCTGAGGCAAGAGAATTGCGTCAACCTGGGAGGGGGAGGTTGCAGTGAGCCAAGATTGTGCCATTGCACTCCAGCCCAGGCAACAGTGCGAGATTCACCCTCAAAAAAAAAAGGAGATTCTGTCATTTGTGACAACATGGAAGAACCTAGAGGACGTTACGGTAGGTGAAATAAGCCAGGCACAGAAAGACAAACACGACATGGTTTCACTTATATTCGGAATGTAAAACAACTCATAGAGGTGGAGAGTAGAATGATGGTACCAGAGTCTGGGGATTGGTGGGAGTTGGGGCGGTGGGGAATGGGGAAATGTTGGTCAAAGGGTACAGTTTCAGCTAGACAGGAGGATTTTTTTTTTTTTAATTTGAGACGGGGGTCTTACTATGTTGCCCAGGCTGGTCTTGAACTCCTTGGTTCAAGCAATCCTCCCACCTTGGCCTCCAAAAGGGCTATGATTACAGGCCTAAGCCACCATACCCGGCCCAGGAATGTTTTTTTTTTAGAACTATAGCATGGTATGGCCAGGTGCGATGGCTCACACCTGTAATCCCAGCACTTTGGGAGACTGAGGTGGGTGGATCATCTGAGGTCGGGAGTTCGAGACCAGCCTGACCAGCATGGAGAAACCCTGTCTCTACTAAAAATACAAAAAATTAGCTGGGGATGGTGACACATGCCTGTAATCCCAGCTACTCGGGAGGCTGAGGCAGGAGAATCACTTGAACCTGGGAGGCAGAGGTTGTGGTGAGCCGAGATCACGCCATTGCACCCCAGCCTGGGCAACAAGAGCAAAACTCTGTCTCCAAAAAAAAAAAACACAAACTACAGCATGGTCACTATAGTTAATGTATATTTCAAAATTGCTGAAAGTAGCTGGGTATGGTGATACACCATAGCCTGTAGTCCCATTTACTCAGGAGGCTGAGGCCCACAGATCACTTGATCCCAGGAGGTCAAGAACAGCCTGGGCAACAAAGCAAGACCCTGTCCCATATTTTTTTTTGAAGCAGAGTCTCACTCTGTTGCCCAGGCTGGAGTGCAGTGGCATGATCTCGGCTCACTGCAACCTCCGCCCTCCAGGTTCAAGCAATCCTCTTGCCTCAGTCCCCCAGTAGGTGGGATTACAGGCACGGTCCACTATGCCCAGCTAATTTTTGTATTTTTAGTAGAGACAGGGTTTCGCCATGTTGGCCAGGCTGGTCTCAAACTACTGACCTCAGGAGGGCTTAGTGGCTCATGCCTGTAACTTTGGGAGGCCAAGGCAGGAGGATCACTGGAGGCCAGGAGTTCAAGACCAGCCTGGACAACATAGCGAGGCCCCATCTCTATAAAAAATTTAAAAGTTAGCCAGGCATCATGATATGTGTCTGTGGTCCTAGCTACTCGGGAGGGTGAGGCAGGAGGATGGCTTGAGCCCAGGAGGTCAAGGCTGCAGTGAACTGTGATCTTGCCACTGCACTCCGTGTGGGTGACAGCACAAGACCTTATTTTCCTTAAAGGAAAAAAAAATGCTAAGAGTGGCTGGGTTGGGTGGCCCATGTCTATAACCCCAGCACTTTGGGAGGCCAAGGTGGGTGGATCACAAGGTCAGGAGTTAGTTCGAGACCAGCCTGGCCAACATGGTGAAACCCATTCTTTACTAAAAGTACAAAAATTAGCTGGGCGTGGTGGCGCGCGCCTGTAGTCCCAGCTACTCAGGAGGCCGAGGCACGAGAATCGCTTGAACCAAGGAGGCGGAGGTTGCAGTGAGCCTGGGCGACAGAGCGAGACTCCGTCTCAAAAAAAAAAAAAAATTAGCTGGGCCTGGTGGTGCGCGCCTGTAATCCCAGCTACTTCAGAGGCTGAGGCAGGAGAATCACTTGAACCTGGGAGGCAGAGGTTCCACTGCGCGGAGATCACGCCATTGCACTCCAGCCTGGGCAATAGAGTGAGACTCCGTCTCAAAAAATAAAAGTCCTTAACCAGTCCATATTTCTGAATATTTTGCTTATTCCTGCCGGCAGTGTAATACTCTGGTGAATATTTGCGTTCGAGATCCTTGCATTCCCGAGATTTCCCCAGCTCAGCCCTCTGCGTGGGTTGAACGGTATGAACCTTTTTAAGGCTTCGCTTGTACTGTACTGTCAAGCTGTTTTTTGGAATATTCGCCCCAGGTTTCTGTTCCAGCCAGCAGCCAGCATCAGCCGTCTGCATCCTTGTCCTCAAACTGCTGTTAATTAAAATCTTTGCCAATCTGGGCCGGGCGCGGTGGCTCACGCCTGTAATGCCAACACTTTGGGAGGCCGAGGCCGGCGGATCGCCTGAGGTCGGGAGTTTGAGACCAGCCTGACCAACATGGAGAAACCCTGTCTCTACTAAAGATACAAAATTAGCCGGGCGTGGTGGCGCATGCCTGTAATCCCAGCTACTTGGGAGGCTGAAGCAGGAGAATCGCTTGAACCTGTGAGGCGGAGGTTGCAGTGAGCCGAGATCACGCCATTGCACTCGAGTCTGGGCGACCAGAGCGAAACTCCGTCTCAAAAAAAAAAAAAAAAAAAAAGAAACCTTTGCCAATCTGGTAGAATTGCGGGGCTTATTTTATGGTGTCATGGAGGATAGCCTAGGGCCAGATATACCTGGGGCCCTGTGCCTGCTCTGCGAACTAGGAGCTCACTCTCCGAGCGGTGTAGAGGGTGAGACTAAGCAGTGACAGTAAAAGCTTTCGACAGTGCTTGACCCTTCCGCGGAGCGTATTAAGCAGGAGCTCCCTGCGCAGGCGCAGAGGAGAGAGTGTCTCCCACCCCACGACCAGCAGGGGGCCTGCGAGGCGGGTGCGGAGCCAGGCCTGATGGTGGCCAATCGCGAGCTGAGGCGACGATGCCACGCCCCTCATACCGGCGTCTTAAATGCGCAAAGAAAGGACGCCGGGGACACCCGGTTGGGCTCTGCTGCTCCCTTCTGGGTTCCGAGGCCCAAGCCCTTGGCAGTGTTTGTGAGTGGAAGGGAGGTCACGCTATCGTCCGCGGCCCCAGCAGCCCTGTGCCCTCGTTGGATCCCGCGACGCGGCTCCTTTAAGAGCCTCGCGGGTCGCCCGCCGCTAGGTCGCTCCCCGGCCATGCGGGCGCTGCGGGCCGGCCTGACCCTGGCGTCGGGCGCGGGGCTGGGTGCGGTCGTCGAGGGCTGGCGGCGGCGGCGGGAGGACGCGCGGGCGGCGCCGGGACTGCTGGGCCGGCTGCCCGTGCTGCCCGTGGCGGCGGCAGCCGAGTTGCCCCCTGTGCCCGGGGGACCCCGCGGCCCGGGCGAGCTGGCCAAGTACGGGCTGCCGGGGCTGGCGCAGCTCAAGAGCCGCGAGTCGTACGTGCTGTGCTACGACCCGCGCACCCGCGGCGCGCTCTGGGTGGTGGAGCAGCTGCGACCCGAGCGTCTCCGCGGCGACGGCGACCGGCGCGAGTGCGACTTCCGCGAGGACGACTCGGTGCACGCGTACCACCGTGCCACCAACGCCGACTACCGCGGCAGTGGCTTCGACCGCGGTCACCTGGCCGCCGCCGCCAACCACCGCTGGAGCCAGAAGGCCATGGACGACACGTTCTACCTGAGCAACGTCGCGCCCCAGGTAGCGCCCGCGCCCCGGGCCGGTCGCGGAATGCGGGGCCGGCGCCTGGCCTCGCGGGGCCTCGGTTTGTTCTTCTGCAGAACGGGGCAGCTGCCCAACGCGCCCCCGGTCAGGCATCGCAGTGACATCCCGTGGCGGGAGGGAGGAGCACTGGGCTCCAGGCACAGGGTCTGCAGGCCGACCAGGGCTTGAGCTTCAACTGCGAACCCTGGGCACCTCCCTGAGCGTCGCTTTCCTCGTCAAAAAAATGGGGATAATACCGTTATTCACCTTCCTCCTGCGGTAGTGATGAGGCGCTGAGGCTCACAGAGGCAAAGTGACGGGCACAGTGTCACACAGCAGAAGAAGGCTGTCTGTTGTAGAACCGCAGCGCCCAACCTATTGGGCACCAGGGTGCGGTTTCGTGGAAGACAGTTTTTCCACGGCTTGGTGGGTGAGGGCGGGTTTCAGGATAATTCAAGTGCGTTACATTTATGTACATTTTATTTCTATTATTATTACATTGTAACATATAGTGAAATATACAACTCACAGTAATGTAGGATCCGTGGGAGCCCTGAGCTTGTTTTCCTGCAACTAGACAGTCCTATCTGGAGGTGATGGGCAACAACGACAGATCAGGCATTAGGTTTTCAAAAGAAGCGCGCAACCTCCTCACATGCGCAGTTCACCATAGGGTTCCAGCTCCTATGACAATCTCCAGCCGCCACTGATCTGACAGGAGGCGGAGCTCAGGCTGCTGTGGGATCAATGGGGGGGTGGCTGTAAATACAGATGAAGCTTCCCTTGCTCGCCTGCTGCTCACCTCCTGCTGTGTGGCCCGGTTCTGGTACCGGTCTGTAGCCCAGGGGTTGGGGACCCCTAGTCTATAAAACCGTGAGCCTCCAGACATTGTCCTACCCTGCCTGCCTTCAGGCAGTTTCGAGGCAGACACCTGGCCCACGATCAGGTTGTTAGTGCCAGGCACTGTGCACTGGGCCAACCACCCTCTCAGCCTGTTCCCAGCAGGTCCTGGCACCAATGGATGGAGACTGCCATGGGGCTCTGGGTGGAGCCCATGGGGCACCAACCTCTGACCCAGCTTCCTTCTGGGAAGACAGCCCCCTATCCACTTTCCATTGTCCCAGGCCTGGAGAGCTCAGGATGGAGGTCGATTCATGGCATTCCCCGCTAGGCTCTTCCTGTGGCTCAGACTGGGAAAAGGAACGGGTTGGTAGTTGGAAGGGCTGGTCTTCCCAGGAGACCCTGGGTGGGGCTGGGGACAGGCCTCAGTCCTCTCTGAAAGGTGGAGACAGGCTCTTCCTTCATTCGACTCTTGGGAGCTGAGAAAAGACTTTGACACCTGGGCTGTGGGAGGGACAGAGGGTGGTGGCTAGCACTCTATCAGCCCTGGGTTTCAGGGAGTGACTTTCATTCCTTGAGCCTCAGTTTCCCCCCGCTTGTCTCACTGGATATCTCTGAGCCTGTCCATCCCCTCAGGACCTGGGGCGGCCCTCTGATAGAGGAGGAAGGGTCCCAGCCACAGTCCTGCTAAGCCCTATCTCTCCTACCAGGTGCCCCACCTCAACCAGAATGCCTGGAACAACCTGGAGAAATATAGCCGCAGCTTGACCCGCAGCTACCAAAACGTCTATGTCTGCACAGGGCCACTCTTCCTGCCCAGGTAAGGTGGAAACCAGGGGGGCGGCAGAACCTCCCACTCACCTGAGGCCCCTACTGCCACTCACAGGGCCAGGCTTGCCCCAGGCTCTGGGTCAATACCAGTTCCCTACTCATCTGGTTTCTTGGCAAGCCTGTCAGCTTCCCTGCCTCGAGTCCCCTCATTCCACCTCCACAGCCAAAGACCTGTCGGGTACCCCTGACCATCTCTCCTCTGCCCATGGGCAGCAGCAGGCCCTGAATCTGCCCCCGCTTCTCCCTGCTGTCACCTCTTGGCATGCCCACCCAATCTTGTTCTGCCAATATGGAACCCCCCGCAGGTCTGCAGTGCACCAAGCTCTCCCACCTTCCCCCCGCAGGTCTGCAGTGCACCAAGCTCTCCCGCCTTCCCCCTGCAGGTCTGCGGTGCACCAAGCTCTCCCACCTTCCCTCTGCAGGTCCGAGGTGCACCGAGCTCTCCCGCCTTCCCCATGCAGGTCCCCAGTGCACCGAGCTCTCACGCCTTCCCCATGCAGGTCCCCAGTGCACCGAGCTCTCCCGCCTTCCCCATGCAGGTCCCCAGTGCACCGAGCTCTCATGCCTTCCCCCTGCAGGTCCGCGGTGCACCAGGCTCTCCCGCCTTCAGTCTCTGCTCTGCTTGGAGCACTTCCCTCCACCCTTCTCGGGAGTTTGAATCTAGATCTGCCTGACCCAGGGCCTCCACTCTTGCTCCTGTGCAGCCCTGCCTCTCAGGTGGAAGCAACTGAGCACCTCTGGGTGTGCTCCGTGGTTTTTCTGGCCTGCAGAGGGCTGGGGCTGAGAGGCAACAGGTCCAGGCTGAGCAGCTCACTCTGGAATCCACAGGCTCGGGATGGAGTCCAGGCCTCATCACCTAGTTCCTTGGTGCTGTGGGCAAATGACCTGTGTCCCCCTCTGCAAAACCTGTGACCTCTTGGTTGATGTCACATGCTTCCCCAGGGCCTGGTCCATGGTAAGGGCTCGGCATAGGCTGGCCAAGGCGGTGGTTGGGGCACTGATCAAATTTCATTAGCAGGTGCCTCCTAGGGCCTGGTGGAAGGGAGGAGACTCTGCTGAGGGGGAGCCCCCGTCCGGTGTCCTGGCACCTGTGCTGGTGCTGGGATATCACCTGTCATGGTCCTTGCCCACTTGTTGCTCACCTCTGTGGGGAGAGATGGACAGTCGTTAAGTCTCCCCTCAGACGAATGTGAATATTCAGAAGGCTCGATTCTCCTAGCAGCGTTTATTGTCGCCCACTCTGCCTGACCCAGTGTTGGGCATAAGGAAAACAGAGGGAAAGAGTTAACCACCCTGGAGAGAGTTCCAGCCTCAAGGAGGAGCCAGGCAGGCTACAGAAGTCTCACAGTGAGGGCGTGGTCCTGCAGGTTGACAGAAGTTAGAGGACAGATCAGGGAAGGCTGCCTGGAAGAGGTGGCTTTGGGTTCATCCAGGCCCCCTGCCCACGTGTGCCTGGGTCTGCCCACAGGACAGAGGCTGATGGGAAATCCTACGTAAAGTACCAGGTCATCGGCAAGAACCACGTGGCAGTGCCCACACACTTCTTCAAGGTGCTGATCCTGGAGGCAGCAGGTGGGCAAATTGAGCTCCGCACCTACGTGATGCCCAACGCACCTGTGGATGAGGCCATCCCACTGGAGCGCTTCCTGGTGCCCATCGAGAGCATTGAGCGGGCTTCGGGGCTGCTCTTTGTGCCAAACATCCTGGCGCGGGCAGGCAGCCTCAAGGCCATCACGGCGGGCAGTAAGTGAGGGTGGAGCCCAGTGAGACTGTGGGTGTGTGCAGGCCGGGGAGTATTAAAGGTGGTGATTTTTGGAGACAAGTCTGGTGGCGTCCGTCCCAAGTGACCTGCAGAGCCCCTGGTTTCACTGCTGCTTCACTGATGTCCTCGGCCCCTTAGAACTTTCAGGTGTGCCGGGCACCCGCCTGGATGAGGCCAGGCTGCAGGGCGGCCAGGGAGATGAGGATGGCTTCCTGGAAGAGAAGCGTGGCAGTGGGCTGGGGCCTGGGGGGCTAGCGGGTGCCCCCGCTCCCAGCCTGTCTTCAGTGCCTGGCTGCCCGAGACCTGGCCCACTGGGGTCCCCTGTCCTTAGTAGGGCCTGGTGAGGTTAATGACAGGCCCAGGTTCACACTGCACACTTGCCACCTGGAGGACCACACAGCCTGCTCCTCAGGCTCCTCTTCTGTAAAATGGGGGCGAAGGTAACAACGCCCACCTCCCAGGGCCAGGGGAGGGCAAGAAGAGGGGCAAGAAGTTTTCACCCCTCGTGCAGGGGTTGGAAGGGTGGCAGCCAGGGTTCCTGCTGGGGGGTATGGCTGTCAGGCTCAGAGTGCTCGGCTTGGGCAAGGCCTTAGGGATGGGTAGACAGGGCTGTCGGCCCGGCGAGACTGATGGGAGTACCAGCCTTCCCAGCAGAGTTCCCGTAGCACAGCGTCCTATGCCTGACCCCAAAAGTGGGTACACAGGTTCCATGAGGCCAGGACGAAGGCTCCAGCTGCACGTGGCTTCCCCCGTGGGACAGATGCAAGTGAGACCCCAAGGGGAGAGCTGCTGTGCCCACCGTGGTCACACACAAGGAAGTGGCAGAACCAGGGCCCTGGGAGATCACTGAGCGCACGGCTAAGGAACCAGAGGCCCGGAGCAGGGGTGGGCAGGGCCCCCTGGGTCACCCAGTCTGGGAGCACAGGACGGGCACTAGCACCCATGGTTGACTCCCAGCTACACTCATGTCTCGTCGCTGTGGCAAGAGGCCAAGGGGGATGAGAGGACCACCTCCAGACAAGGCAGCCACGGGCAAGGGTGGGTGACAGGGCAAGAGTAGCACCCGCCCCTCGGACAGATCCCAAGGCCCCAGTGGCTGGCAGTCGGGGAGGCAGGCGGGCTCACCTCCGTGCGGATGGTACGGCTACCCTGGCCAGGACAGGTATTGACGTACAGGTCAAAGAGGACACTGGGTTCAGCCACCTCCAGGTTGGGGTCAGCATCCGCTCCAGCTTCCAGACCCTGGAGGCCCCCGAACACCACAAGAGCATGCCTGGCCCATGTAAGAGGGGGTCACCTGAGCGGCCACCGAGGCCCCACCCAGCACAGCGCCCAGACCTCAGTCCCTCCCCACCCCAGACAGCAGGGGCCCATCTGTGCAGCTTCACCCACCAGGCAGGTTCCTGGCCACATTCCTCCTGCCCTGGCCGCAGCCCCAGGAGGTACACACCTGAAGTTGGGAAGCTGGGCAGAGGCCACATCTGAGCCGCGCTCTGACGTCCCGATGGTCAGGTCATACCCATCTTGGAAGGGGGCCTCAGCAAACACAGCACCTGGGGGTGGGGCCAGCTCAGTGCAGGTCCTGCTCCCCACAAGCCATAGCTCCGGGTATTATGTGTGTGTGTACTGAGGCGGGGGTGGGTGGGAAGAGCTGTGTGGTGTGTGTGTGTGTGTGTGTGCGTGTGTGTACTAAGGTAGGGGTGGGTGGGTAGAGCTCTGCCTGTGTGTGCATTGAGGCAGGGGTGTGTGTGTACCGAGCAGGGGTGGGTAGAGCTGTTCCTGGAAAGTCAAGGACTGAGCAGGGCAGACACCAAGCCTGTGCTTGGCTGGGGAACAGGGCAGAGACTGGATAGGAAGAGGCACCAAGAACATGAAGTGGGCCTCTGACTTCTCTGGCCCTTTTGCCTCCATTCCCAACCCTACAGAAACATTATTGATCAATAATGATACTTTTGCTCAGTAGTCCTTAACAGCATTCCAGGCAGTGCATCCAGGGAGAACAAGGCCCAGAGAAGGGGAAGGACTTGCCCAAGGACACACAGCAAGTTGACAGGACAAAAACCCTGGTCTGATATTTGGGTCAGGCAAGGCTCCCGGCCACCTCCCAGAGGGATGGATGGATATTCAGAGAAGTAAGGTCTGTCCTTACTGAGGCAGGAAGCCAGTCGGACGGTGTAGCCCCAGTAGAGACCAGCTTTGGTGCGAGGGTCCTGCGATGATACCACTTTGCCATGGTAGGTCTTGCAGTCTGGAGGGGTAACAGAGTCTGTAAAGATGGGGTGAGGGAATGGAAGCAGGTGGCTGAACCCTGGAGCTCATCAGGCCAACCCAGGGGTTGGGGAACCTTCCAGATACCTGGGTGCTGCTGCTGGTTCAGTCGCACAGTCACCCGAAGCCCGGGCTCCAGGTTCTTGTCAATCTTCACCTCCTGGGGAGAAGCCAGAAGAAATGGGTGCCATTCCTCTCAAGATCAGCAGGGGCCACGGCTCTTCCAGATGCCACCAGGGGAGCCCCGGGGCTGGCAAGGGACCAAGGGGTCCAGGTCAACCTGCCACCCTCCACCCCTGGCACCGGCTGAACCTGCTCACAAGAGATCATTTGTGCAAAACACAGGTCACTGGCCAAACATGCACCTTTGGGGCGCTCATGGCACAGGATAGAAGTAGATGAAACTCAGTTTTCTACATTTTGGTAGCTCTGCAACTTTTTTTTCTTTTTTTTCTTTTTTAAGATGGAGTCTGGCTCTCTCACCCAGGCTGGAGTGCAGTGGCACGATCTCAGCTCACTGCAACCTCTGTCTCCTGGGTTCAAGTGAATCTCCTGCCTTAGCCTCCCGAGTAGCTGGGATTATAGATGCGTGCCACCACACCTGGATCATTTTTGTACTTTTATTAGAGACAGGGTTTCACCATATTGGCCAGGTTGGTCTCAAACTCCTGACCTCAAATGACCCGCCTGCCTCAGCCTCCCAAAGTGCTGGGGTTACAGGCGTGAGCCACTGCGCTTGGGTTGTGCTTTCTGACAGGAAGGGACTCCATACATGTAAAGGTTTCTGCCTCTGATTTGAGGAGGCTTGAGGATAAAGAGGCGGCAAATTAATGCCCTCATCCCAGCTTGGCTCTGTGCCACATGGGAGCAGCTCCAGAGTGACTTTCAACTTGTTTCTGCAGGGTTTTGTTTGGAGCATGAGGACTGTCTTCTGTTGATTTGCTTTTTAAGCAACAGTAAATTCATTCCTGGCTTTATCTATTGAGCCCCATTTTGCACAATTCTCTGGCCCAAATTTGCATCAGTGAGGGATTTCGGGCAGGTCCAGGGCTCTCCGCAACATCCATCTGCTTGCCCTCCATTGCCAGGGTGTGTCCTGGAGGTGTGTCCTAGCCCATCTTTCTGTTCCTACCTTTTTCATGCCACAGTTGACAAAGGAGCCGTGGCCTGGCCGGGTGGGCCGATCCACCACGATGCCCTCTCGGAACTCGGATTCCTCATCCTGACGCATGTGGTGGGGGCTGTCCAGGGGGTTCAGGAGCCCTGTGGAGGCAGAGCCGGGAAGAGTCTGGGAAGTGCTAGGGCACACAGGGTGCAGTGGGGACCCTGGAGCGGAGTACCGGCTCTGCCACAGACCTGCGTCTTGGCATCAGACACAGGTCTTGCTCTCCCAGGCCTGCTTTCCCACCTGGACAGCGCAGGGTAGGACTGGGTGGTCTCAGTGTCTGTGGCATGATCCAGGGGAAATGGGGGGGCGGGCCCATACAGCGTTACCTGCAAACTGTAGATCCTGGTGCTTGGGGAAGAACGCCTTCCTCAGGTACCTAGGAAAGAATGCTGACCTCAGGATGTTCCCAGGGGAAGCCGCCTCCTACCTGGTCTCCACTTTGACACACCCCTCCCTCATGCTTAGGGGAGTGACCCCCTTACTGTGGACACTCCAGGTACTGCAGGATCCGGGCCAGCTGTACGCACGCCTGCCCCTTCTTCCCAACTCCTGTGAATTCCCCCTCCACAGTCCTGGAGAGAGAGAGATGGGGGCTCAGGATCCAGCTGTGGCCCCTTCAAGAGCTCCTGTCTACAAGTGCACGCGTATAATCCCAGCTACTCAGGAGGCTAAGGTGGGAGGATCATCTGAGTGCAGCAAGTAGAGGCTGCAGTGAGCCATGACCATGCCACTGCATGCACTCCAGCCGGGGTGACAGCTGAGATACAGGTTTAGGCCTTCTGGCTCCCAATCCCACCTCTGTAGTCATCACCCCCACCTGGCAACTCTACCCACTAAGGATTACACAGGGAATATTTCAGGCAGGGCACGAGGGAAGAGCCAGGCATGTGGACGGGGCCATGGTGAAGCCTCGGCCCATCCCGGCAGCCCCTCCCTCTCCCTGAACCCTGGCACCCTGTGGGATGGCCCCTTACTTGGCATCCTGGCCCTCCTCATCAAACACCACGATCTCATCCACACAGAAGATGGCACAGGCTCTGGCAATCTGACCGGCCAAGTAGGTGCGAAGCTCCGGCGACTGAGCATTGTCCAGGATGGAGCCCGGCAGGGCTACGCTCAGTGTGTAGGGCCGCCCTGAGCAGGGGAGGGATGTTCCCAGCCAGTGTGAGAGGCAAGGGCCCCCTACCTTTCTCTCCCTTCCTCTGTCCCTAGCGCCCATGGTTTGAGAATTTCCCAAGTGGGAGGAATTTTGAGATGAGCAAAATAGATCCAGCTCCCCTCTCTGGGCCTCAGTCTCCCAGCAGTCTCCATGGCTCCTCTGAGCAGGGCAAACCACTGGGCGAGGCTGTGGAGCGGTTAGTAGCAATGGCCTAAGTTCACATCCTGGCTCTCCCACTTACTGCCTCAGTTCTCCAGCTATCAAATGGGGATAAAATGAAAGCTGATATCTAATAAGTCTTTAGTGTGTGCACATTAACCCGATAGCCATTAACCTGATCCCTAGTGAGGATACTGCCATTATCCCCATTTACAGACCAGGGGCCTTCAGCCCCGGGAAGTCAAATACATGGCCCAAGGTCACACAAAAGGTGGCTCATGCCTGTAATCCCAGCACTTTGGGAGGCCAAGGCGGGCGGATCACCTGAGTGAGGTCAGGAGTTCAAGACCAGCCTGGCCAACATGGCGAAACCCCGTCTCTACTAAAAATACAAAAATTAGCTGGGCATGGTGGCGCATGCCTGTAATCCCAGCTACTCCGGAGGCTGGGGCAGGAGAATCGATTGAACTGGGAAGTGGAGATTGCAGTGAGCGGAGATCGAGCCACTGCACTCCAGCCTGGGCAACAGAGCGAGACTGTGTCTCAAAAACAAACAAAAAAGCCCAAGAAGCACATAGATAACATGGTTTCACTGTTGTAACATTGTATCTGTACTTTGCTACACATGGATAAGTAGCTATAATTGTTTGGACAAGCTTTTGCTACAATGTTTGCTGGGATTGTTCCTGTCTTCTTTGTAGTTTTCTTTCATTTTTATTATGAAATCAAAATAATTGAAAAATGAAATTAAAGCACACAGAAAATGCTCAATAAAAAAGTCAAAAAATCAGGAAGATCATGAAGTTCTAGAGGTCTAAGTTAAGAGATATGAGGCTTGGGCCGGGCACGGTGGCTCATGCCTGTAATCCCAGCACTTTGGGAGGCTGAAGTGGGCAGATCACCTGAGGTCAGGAGTTCGAGACCGGCCTCCCCAACATGGTGCAACCACGTCTCTACTAAAAATACGAAAATTAGCCAGGTGTGGTGGCACACTTCTGTAATCCCAACTACTCGGGGGGCCGAGGGAGGAAAATTGCTTGAACTTGGGCAGTGGAGGTTGCAGTGAGCAGAGATGGCGCCGTTGCACTCCAGCCTGGGCAACAGAGCAAGACTCCATCTCAAAAAAAAAAAAAAAGAGAGATAAGGCTTGCCTTCCATAGGCTTGAAATTTACCTAAGCAGGAGGTCAGAACTCAGTTTGCTGGCTCCCTCCCTTCTCTGGGCCTCAGTTTCTCCATCAGGACAAGATGTTTGGACCTACTGGTCTGTAAAGGCCCTTTCAGATAAGACATCTCTGCTCTGCCTGCAGGACAACTACCGTGGGCCACAACCTGTGGCCCTCCCCAAGACCCCAGCTCACCGCGGTCCTCCTTCTCTGCCGCTGCCTCCTCCTCTTCCAGGCGCTTTGCCTGTTCCTCCTGTGCCCGCTGCCGCTCCAGTTTTTTCATCAGCTTGAGATCCTTCCATTTTTTTTTCTCCTCTTTCTCTGGATAAAAGAACATCCTAATTGGCCAAGGAGACAGTTCCCACTCATTGGGTCAGCCTGGACTCTGGAGAGCTGCTGGGTGAGCAGCCAGAGGGCAGCAAGGGAGCCTCCCCAGGGCTCCCGGCCCCTGCCTCCCCACTTTGTGTGCTGCAGGACCCAGAGGGAACAAAGTTGGTGTCTTTCTCCAGGGTTTGACTGAGCACTGGTGGAGTGGCCTATGGGAAGATACTCTTACCCACCCTTACTTACTCTGTTGCTTCCATTTTCGCCACTCAATCCTTTGGCCGTGTTCACCCTGGAGAAGGAGTGGTAGGAGGATTATGAGTGTGAGGCTGATGGTCACACCTGGAGGGGGTCCGTTTGCTGCACCATAGCCAGCCCCTCCACACGGGGCGGCAAGGAAGCCAAGGAACCTCTGCGAACTGCTGCCCCAGAAAGCGGCAGGAGGGCAGGGACCCGCTGTATCCCCAGCGCCTGGGACCCAGCCTGGCACACAGAAAGCACTCAAGAAACTGTCGAATGAGTTCCCACAAAACAGAAGAGAAAACTGAGGCTCAGGGTACAGCACTGCCCACAGTCGCCCTGGAAGTCAGAAAAGGGCTCCAGAAGCCACGAAAGGGCTCCGGATTCAGCATCCGGAGGCGAGCAGGGTCCCGCCTCCGTAATCCAGCGGGGGCCAGGGAGCCGCAGGGGGTTCCGGAGAGGACACGGGCGCTGTTCCCATCCTGCTGAGGCTCACGCGGCACCTTCGGGGGCTTCCGGCCTGGGATCAGCGGGAAGCAGGCAGCAGGAGGCGCGGCCCGGCCCCGGCGAAGGCCCCCACGCCACTGGTTCTCACGCCTCCACCATGCTGCCCTGCACGGGGTCCCGCCGCCCGCACTTACCGGGCCGCACGGCCGCTTCCTGCCGCGCTCCGCCATGTTCCGCACACACCGTCGGTCCCGCCTCTGCCAATGAGACTCGCCTCTTCCGGCCACACCTCCATTAAGCTGTCCAATCGGAGAGCCAATATCGCCCAGGGGCGTGGCCTGGGCGCCCGACGGGCTGCAGGGGTACGCGGGCTGGAGTAGGTTGGGCAGAGTAGGTGTCCAAATAGGCGGCATCGCGGGTACTGTGCTGAATTTTGGATGGCTCGGAGCCCCCCTCTGAGTTGGGACAAATACAACACTCAGACCTCTGAGTAGTTCACTTGTTTAAAAATAATTTTTTTTGAGACAGGGTCTCGCTATGTTGCCGAGGCTGGAGTGCAGTGGAGCAATTCTAGCTCACTGCAGGCTTGAGCTCCTGGGCTCAAGGGATCCTCCCACCTTAGCCTCCCGAGTAGCTGGAACCACAGGTGCGCAGCACCACGCCTAGCTCCTGGAAGGCTTTATACATGGGGACCCTGGGGCCTTGAGCTGTAGTGTGATTCAGAGCTGAAAATGAGATAATTTACTCCAGGTTTCTTATAGATTCGTTCACGTACTCTTTCTTTTTTTTGAGACAGAGTCTCGATTCATTGCCCAGGCTGGAGTGCAATGGCGCGATCTCGGCTCACTGCAACCTCCACCTCCTGGGTTCAAGCAATTCTCCTGCCTCAGCCTTTCAAGAAGCTGGGATTACAGGAGCGTGCCACCATGCCCAGCAAATTTTTTTGTGTGTGTTTTTAGTAGAGATGGTGTTGATGTTGGCCCCGTGTTGGCCAGCCTGGTTGAACTCCTGACCATAAGTGATCCTCCAGCCTCGGCCTCCCAAAGGGCTGGGATTACAGGCGTGACCCACTGCACCCGGCCTTTTTTTTTTTTTTTTTTTTTTTTTTTTTTTTTTTTTGAGACAGAGTTTCGCTTTTCTTGCCCAGGCTGGAGTGCAATGGCTCGATCTCAGCTCACAGGAACCTCCAACTCCTGGGTTCAAGCGATTCTCCTGCCTTAGCCTCCCGAGTAGCTGGGATTACAGGCATGCACCACCACGCCTGGCTGATTTTGTATTTTTAGTAGAGATGGAGTTTCTCTATGTTGGTCAGGCTGGTCTCGAACTCTTGACCTCAGGTGATCCGCCCACCTCGGCTTCCCAAAATGCTGGGATTACAGGCATGAGCCACCACGCCCGGCCTCGTTCTCTTTTAATTAACAGACTATATTAGTTGGGACTACAAGTGTGAGCCACCATGCCCGACTAATTTTTTTTTTTCTTTTTGTACAGATAGTGTCTCACTATGTTGCCAGGGCTGGTCTCAGACTCCAGGGTTCAAGCAATCCTCCCAACTTGGCTTCCCAAAGGGCTGAGATTATAGACTTGAGCCATTAATGCCTTTTATTTTTTGAGATCTAGTCTCACTCTGTTGCTCAGGCTGAAGTGCAGTGGCATGATCTCGGCTCACTGCAACCTCTGCCTCCCAGGTTCAAGCAATTCTCCTGCCTCAAGCTCCCAAGTAGCTGGGATTACAGGCGCCTGCCACCAAGCCCGGCTAATTTTTGTATTTTTAGTAGAGACGGGATTCTCCATGTTGGTCAGGTTGGTCTTGAACTCCCGACCTCAGGTGATCCACCCGCCTCGGCCTCCCAAAGTGCTGGAATTACAGGTGTCAGCCACCGTGCCCGGTCTCGAACTTAGATTTTTTTTTTTTTGAGACAGTCTCGCTCTGCTCTGTCGCCCAGGCTAGAGTGCAGTGGCGTGATCTCCGCTCACTGCAAGCTCCGCCTCCTGGGTTCATGCCATTCTCCTGCCTCAGCTTCCCGAGTAGCTGGGACTACAGGTGCCCGCCACTGCACCCGGCTAATTTTTTATATTTTTAGTAGAGACAGGGTTTCACCGTGTTAGCCAGGATGGTCTCGATCTCCTGACCTCGTGATCCACCCGCCTCGGCCTCCCAAAGTGCCGGGATTACAGGTGTGAGCCACCGTGCCTGGTCTCGAACTTAGATCTTATACTAAATTTGTTGTGATTTTTGACAGGTTTATTTTGTAGGCATGACTGATTAAGACATTGGCCATTTGAAAAAACAAACACAAAAATCCCCCCAAAACAACAATAACAAACAGACATGGACCATGTGATTGGGCTCAAAGTCTAGTCCCTCACACCTCCATGGAGGCAGAGATGGAGGGGGCCCGATGGGCTAAAAGTTCTGACCCCGTAATCGTACAGTGCAGAGGGATTCCATGTGACTAACAAGACATGCCTATCTTCCAGAAACTCCAAGGATTTTAGGAATTCTTTACTAAGGACCAGGGGCAAACACCAAATATGTATTTTATTATATGATATATTCCTATCAGCTCCCCCAGTTAAACATATGATATGAGCCAAACCCATGCGCTTGCTATGCAAATGCAACTTCAAGACCAGGCCCCTAACACCACCTTCCAAAGAAATTCAGGAGCTACTATTGCTATCCAGTGAGACTCAATCGGGGCCAGCTAGAAGGCCTGGGCACACCACTTCACCTCACCTCCAGAGTGCTTTCCTCTCTTGTGAACTGGAGATAACTCAGGTCTCAGTCTCAGAGGGTTGTGTAAGATGATGTGCGTCTGAGTGCCTCGCAGGTAGGGCTTGCACGATCAACATTCAGTCCTCCTCCTGAGAATTATTTAAGTCCCTGGTCCTCCTGGCCCCCACTGTGCTGTTCTCTCACCCCTGTGGGAATGTCCATGTCTTCCTTGTCACGAACCCCAATCCTCTCCACACACACACACACACACAAACACATATGACACCCCCACCCCAGCCACCACACCCAGCACCAATAACTGCTACCATCAGATTAATATGAGAGGCCAGCTATGGTGGCTCACGTCTGTAATCCCAGCACTTTGGGAGGCCGAGGCGAGCAGATGACCTGAGGTCAGGAGTTTGAGTCCAGCCCAGCCAACATGGTGAAACCCCATCTCTACAAAAACACAAAAATTAGCCGGGCGTGGTGGCAGGTGCCTGTAGTCCCAGCTACTCAGGAGGCTGAGGCAGGAGAATTGCTTGAACCCAGGAGGTGGAGGTTGCAATGAGCCAAGATCATGCCACTGCACTCCAGCCTGGGGGACAGAGCGAGACTCTGTTTCAAAAACAACAACAACAACAACAACAACAACAACAACAACAACAAAGATTAATAGTGAGGAATTCATTTGAGGGCCTTGGGTGCTAGGCCTGGTTGTGCCACTATGTGACTACAGTAACCATTTGTACAAAGTTGTGGGGGTGTCTGAGGTTCTTCTGGGCATTCTTCACAAGTTAGATCAGCCATCAGCATGAGTGTGAAGCAGAGAGAAGCCGTCAATAAGGATCTTAATAACTTAAACATTTTATTATGGACGAAAAGGAGAGGCTTGAGGACTCAAGCCTAAAGGCAACTCCCCAAGGCCAAGATGAGCCAGGGAAGGTGAGGTTATACCTGAGCCTTAGCAGGGGCCATGCAGAGCTGGGATGTGATCGGTACATGGTGGAAGTCTACCGTCCGTCTCAGCCAAGCCTGGAGAGACCAGAAGCAACACAAGACCCTACAAACCCACCTATGGAGGGGCAGGGAGAGGCCCAGGTCAGGCCACCCTCACCTTTCAGACAGGAGGCACTTGGTTCTCTAAGATGAAGAAGGGCGGCTCCCACCCAGAACATTCTGTGTCACGGAGAAGAGGTTTCCCAATAGCATCTTCCCCAACCTAGAAATGTCTGAAACCTGGACAAAGACAGACACTCAAAGAGGATCTCTGCGGGCATGTGGGGATGTCAGGGCCAAGGCGTGACTTCAGGGCTAGAGTTCCACCTTCCACTTCCGCAGCTTCTCGTCCATGGCCTGGAGCGTGGCTTCATCCTGCGCCAGCACAGATTAGTCCTACACTCTCCCCATGTGCCCAGCCGGCCTTGGGAAGCTCTGTGAGGTCTTTCCTCCCCCAGCCCTGCCCTTTACCTTCACAAAACAGAAGCGGATATAGTGGTCAAAGTGCTTCTGATGTGGCACACTATAGAAGATGGAGACAGGGATGGCCACCAAGCCCTGGGGAGGAGGAAGGACATGTCTCAACACGGCCTCGTGGCCCAGCAGGCCTTGGCTCCGGAGGGGACAGAGAGGTTCCCACGACCAGGCGGGGAAGGAGAGTTAGCTCCAATCCAGCACCTAGAGCTGCATCAAAGTCAGAGGAACAAGGCCAGGTGCGGTGGCTCACGCCTATAATCCCAGCACTTTGGGAGGCTGAGACGGGTGGATCACCTGAGGTCAGGAGTTCAAGACCAGCCTGGCCAACATGGCTAAACCCCGTCTCTACCAAAAATACAAAAATTGGCCGGGTGTGGTGGCGCATGCCTGTAATCCCAGCTACTTGGGAGGCTGAGGCAGGAGAATTGCTTGAACCCGGGGGTGGAGGTTGCAGTGAGCCAGATTGCGCCACTTCACCGCAGCCTGGGCGAAAGAGAGAAAATCCATCCAAAACAAAAACAAACACAAAGTCAGAAGAAAAGAATCCCAGAACATCATTCCAAGTCCCTCCCTGGGTATAGAGGGCAGAGGGAGGCTGACAGAGGGAGGATCATGGAGCAGGTCAGGGCAGAGCCAGAGAAGAACAAAGCCTTAGAGTCACAGATCAAACCTGGATGAACTCAAGAGTTAATGGGCCAACTCCTCACTGTACAGATGGGAAGATGGAGATCCAAAGAGGCAGGAAATCCTGCCAGCCCACACAGCATCTCTGTGCAAGTTAGAAACAGGTTCCTCAGGCCAGGCACGGTGGCTCACGCCTGTAATCCCAGCACTTTGGGAGGCCAAGGGGAGTGGATCATCTGAGGTCAGGAGTTGGAGACTAGCCTGACCAACATGGTGAAACCCCGTCTCTACTAAAAATACAAAAATTAGCCAGGCGTGGTTGTACATGCCTGTAATCCCAGTTACCCAACTACTCAGGAGGCTAAGGGAGGAGAATCGCTTGAACCCTGGAGGTGGAGGTTGCAGTGTGCTGAGATTGCGCCACTGCACTCCCACCTAGGCGACAGAGTGAGACTCTGTCTCAAAAAAAAAAAAAAAAAAAAAAAGGCCAGGAGCAGTGGCTCACGCCTGTAATCCCAGCACTTTGGGAGGCCGAGGCAGGTGGATTACAAGGTCAGGAGATCAAGACCAACCTGGCTAACATGGTGAAACCCCGTCTCTACCAAAAATACAAAAAAAATTAGCCGGGCAAAAAAAAGTAGCCTGTGGTCCCAGCTACTCGGGAGGCTGAGGCAGGAGAATGGCGTGAACCTGGGGGGCAGAGCTTGCAGTGAGCCAAGATCGCGCCACTGCACTCCAGCCTGGGCAAGAGTGAGACTCCATCTCAACCAAAAAAAAAAAAGAAAGAAAAAAAGAAACAGCCTCCTCATTCTCTGAAGTGGATACAACCCTGCCCCAAGGTTGACGGCAGAGGCTGGACTAAGATCTAGCCCAGGAGCCTCTTGCCTGGGCACCCTTGAGCAGCACACAACCTGTGAAACCATACATGGCTGCCTGGCAGAGGCCCAGCCCACCTTGTTCTTGATCATCCACTTGACGAAGCGTCTGTCATAGGGCTCATCCACAGCTCCAGGCAAGTCAGGCATCTTCCTCTCTGGGAGACAGAGGCCACACTGAGCCCCCTGCAGCCTCCAGCCCCTGCGCCCTGCCCAGACCGGCAAGTCTCACTCACTGAAGTCTGAGATGTCTGTGATGAGGAAGTAGCTGCCCTGAGGGATGATGGGCTTCAGGCCCACTGACTGTAGGCTACGTATCATGTGGTCACGGCAGCGCTGCATGGCCTGCGGGAACTGCACAAAGTAGCTGCTGGGTTGGCGGAAGAGCAGCTGCTCCCGTTCAAAGCTCTCGGCTACTGCAGCCTGGGCAGGGCAGATGGACACACAGATAGATCAGCTGTTCCCTGACGCGGGGGCCAGCCTGGGCTCTTTTGTTGTCCCCCCACTCCCCCGTGACGTCCTGCCCCTCTTCACCTGGCTCTGCGTGGGGCAGTGGAAGACGGAGTTCTGGTGCACGGTCCGCAGGTGCTTCATGATGTGATCTGGACCCAGGACCCAGCCCACCTGCAGCAGGGGCGCAGGTAGGGGGAGAGGTCCTTCCAGACCTGGCTAAAGCCTTCTTCATTCTCAGGCCCACCTCACTTGCCAAGGATCTTGCAGGGGGTGGTGACCTCCCACCCTCAGCAACTCACCTTCCAGCCAGTGGCGCTGAAGGTCTTGCCGGCGCTGCCGATGGTCAGGGTCCGTTCCCACATGCCAGGGAGGCTGGCTGCCCAAGGCCGAACAGAACAGCTGCTGAGACTGGGGTGAGGGGGACGGGGGAGGATGGTGGTCTGGGCCCCAGGGGACACGCATAGGCTTTTGACACCCTGGATTCCTCTACATACTAAGTTATTTGCACAATTTTTTTTCTTTCTTTCTTCCTTTCCTTTCCTTCCTTCCTTCTTTCTCTCTCTCTCTCTCTCCCTCCCTCCCTCCACCCCCCATTTCTTTCTTTGTTTTTTTTTTTTTTGAGATGGAGTCTCGCTCTGTTGCCCAGGCAGGAATGCAATGGCGCCATCTTGCCTCACTGCAACCTCCGCCTCCCAGGTTCCAGTGATCCTCCTACCTCAGCTTCCTGAGTAGCTGGGACTACAGGCACGTGCCACCATGCCCAGCTAATTTTTGTACTTTTAGTACAGACAGGGTTTCACCATGTTGGCCAGGCTGGTCTCAAACTCCTGACCTCAAGTGATCTGCCAGCCTCAGCCTCCCAAAGTGCTGGGATTACAGGTGTGACCCACCATGCTCGGCATAGGATTTCTTTGACCTCATCCTTTCGACAACCAGGGAGGCAGGTGCTACTGTGACACTGTGTACTCTGGGAGGCAAAGGTCACAGGATCTGCAGGGCTCCATAACCCTGGGTTCTAACTACCAGGCCTGCGCTGACTCTCAGGTGGGGTCAAGGCCCTCCCACCAATGTGCAGGGGAGGGGCCCCAGGCTGGCTTGGCTCACCAATGCTGATGTGCTGGTGCCCGTCGTAGACCATCCACTGGTAGACTTCATCAGTGATACACACCACGTCATGCTGCTGGCAAAGGCTGGCCACCAGCTCCAGCTCTTCCCTGGAGAACACCTGCAGATGCCCAAGGAGAGCACAGACCTGCAGCTGGGACCGTCCCCAAACACAGAGGCCTACTCAGAGAGGTTAAAGAACACAGCTGCGGCCAGGTGCGGTGGCTCACGCCTGTAATCCTAGCACTTTGGGAGGCCGAGGCGGGCGGAACACTGGAGGTCAGGAGTTTAAGACCAGCCTGGCCAACATGGAGAAACCCCGTCTCTACTAAAAACACAAAAATTAGCTGGGCATGGTGGCGGGTGCCTGTAATCCCAGCTACTCGGGAGGCTGAGGCAGGAGAATTGCTTGAACCCAGGAGGCAGAGGTTGCAATGAGCCAAGATCACACCACTGCACTCCAGCCTGGGAGACAGAGCGAGACTCCGTCTCAAAAAAATAAATAAATGGCGAATACAGCCAAGCCCAGTGCTAAGGGCTGTTCTGCACCATCACATTGGATCCCTGCAACACTGACCATGAGGTCAGTTCCCTCAGGTTCCCACATTACAGATGAGATACTTCGAGAGGCATAGTCACTATTCCAGGGTCACTGGGAAGTGATGGTGGCTCCCAGCCCAGTTCACTGTCCCAGCCCTCAGGCCTTCCCTGGGGATTCTTGCCCCTGTCCTGGGACCTCTGGAGTCTTGGTCCTCAGTGCTCATTGTGTGTGGCCCTCCCACACACAAACGAAGAAACGGAGGCCCCACAGCAGCAACTCAGTAACAGTGCAGGAGACATGACCAGGTCCGCAGGGGGCCAGGGAAGGAGGTCCCTCCAGTACCTTGCCCAGGGGGTTGTTGGGGGTGTTGAGGACCAGGGCTTTGGTGCGTGATGTGAATTTGCCGGCCAGCTCCATGGGGTCCAGCTGCCAGTTGCTGCTGGAACCCAGTTCTCCATTCTGGATGGGACCCTGCAAGAGCAGGTGGCATGGGGTGGTACCACTTAACCACCTGACATGCAGGTCTTCCCCAGCATCTATCCCCACCTTCTCTCCCCTGGGATCCCAACACACACACCTCCCCTCTGCCCTCCCAGCTTAGAGGAACTGGCTTCCTTCACTTCTTTCCTCCTTTTCCAACTCCCAGGGTCCAACTCAGCCCACGCCTTGGATCCCTCTGCCCATCCATCCTCTACCTAGCATCCTTACCGGCTTCAGGGACACAAACACAGGACGACCCCCTGCCATCATTGTCATGGGCTCGTAGCAGTCAAAAAAGGGTTCGATGATGATGACCTGATATAAGGGTCAAATCAGCTGGAGTCAGCATGGCCCTGACCTCTCAGTCCCACTCAGCCCAAGTCTTGCCCACTCACCTCGTCTCCTTCGTCCACCAGGGCCTGGAAGGCTGTGAACAGGGCCCCATAGCCACCAACAGTCACCAGCACATTCCTGAGCGGGTCTATCTCCTGACCCAGCAGCTCCCCAAAGAAACTTGCCAGGATCTTCGTCAGTGGTGGGTAACCCTGCCAGGACAGCAGGGGTTAACTGTCCAGCTCAGCCTGGGCCCATCCTCCGGCCCAGCTGTATCCAGGCAATTCTAGCACCTTCCAGCAGCAGGCCTGGGGGCAAAGTCAGGTACTGGTAGCCTGGGCCCCAGGGGACGTGGAATAGATCAGCTTTCAACACTCTGGATTCCTCTACACACCAAGCTATTTGTGGGATTTCTTTGATCTCATCCTCTCAACAACCCAGAGGCAGGTGCTATTGTGATCCTGTGTACTCTGGGAGGTAAAGGTCACACAATCTATATGGTCCCAGACTCCAGGGTGCCAACCACCAGGCCTGCACTGACTCAGATATCCAGTGCTAAGCTCTTCCATCTCCTCCACCAGCATTTGCCACAGGGCCTGTTCTGTGCCAGGCCCGAAGCCCAGGGCGGGGATTTAGCAGAGAACCAGAGGAAGTGCTTGCCTCCATGAACCTCAGTCCAAGAGCCCACAAGGCAGTAGAAACTCCCCACTTTCCACATCTGTAAGTTTAAGAAGCATGTTTGTGCCCACTTGATCCTCCCAGCAGCTTTGCGGGAGAGGCTTTTATTTATTTATTTATTTATTTATTTATTTATTTATTTATTTTGAGACAGGGTCTCACTCATGTCACCCAGGCTGGAGTGCAGTGGCACAATCGCGGCTCCCTGCAACCTCCGCCTCCTGGGTTCAAGTGATTCTCCTGCCTCAGCCTCCCAAGTAGCTGGGACTACAGGCACGCACCACCATGCCTGGTTAATTTTTGTATTTTTAGTGGAGACGGGGTTTCACCATGTTGGCCAGACTGGTTTCGAACTTCTGACCTTGGGTAATCTGCCTGCTTTGGCCTCCCAAAGTGCTGGGATTACAGATGTGAGCCACCGTGCCTGGCCTGATGCCCACTATTTGACAGGTAGAAAAATAGAGACCCAGAGAGAAGAAATTACTTGTCTAAAGTCACACACAGTTGACAGTCAGGAACCTCATGTTGCAGCTTTGTAAGCACCCCTTTTTGAGAGGAAGATTAGATCCAGAAACTTGTTTGCTGAGGACACTTATAAAATACTCAAGGTGAAACCCCGTCTCTACTAAAAATACAAAAAATTAGCTGGCATGGTGGCGGGCACCTGTAGTCCCAGCTCTACTCGGGAGGCTGAGGCAGAAGAATGGCGTGAACCCGGGAGGCGGAGCTTGCAGTGAGCCGAGATCGCGCCACTGCACTCCAGCCTGGGCGACAGAGCGAGACTCCGTCTCAAAAAAAACAAAAACAAACAAAACAAAACAAAAATACTCAAGGCTAAGCCAAGTGATTGAAACTTTATCTAGAACTCAACTCAGTAACTCACTAAACCAGATTTGGCCACACAAATATAAAAATTTTCTGTACAACAAGAGGCACAGGCCAGGCACCGTGGCTCACGCCTGTAATCCTAGCATTTGGGAGTATGAGGCGGGAGGGTTGCTTGAGGCCAGGAGTTTGAGAACAGCCTGGGCAACACAGAGGGACTCTGTCTCTACTGATGGAAAATCAAAAAAATTATCCAGGTGTAGTATCACGTGCCTGTAGTCCCAGGTACTCGGGAGGCTGAGGCAGGAGGATTGCTTGAGCCCAGGAGATCAAGGCTGAAGTGAGTTATGATCACACCAGTCTGGGTAATAAAACTGAGACTCTGTCTTAGACAATAAATTAATTAATTAAATAAAAATAAAAGGCACCATGAGCAAGGTCAAAACAGGAAGAGAAAAATATTGCAACATACAAGAAAGAGGTAAAATATTTAATGAGGCTGGGCACAGTGGCTCATGCCTGTAACCCAGCACTTTGGGAGGCTAAGGTGGGAGGATTGCTTGAGCCCAGGAGTTTGAGACCAGCCTGGGTAACATAAGGAGACCCTGTCTCTATTTTGTTGTTGTTGTTGTTGTTGTCACCCAGGCTGGAGTGCAATGGCACCACCTCGGCCCACTGCAACCTCCGCCTCCCGGGTTCAAGCGATTCTTGTGCCTCAGCCTCCCAAGTAGTTGGGATTACAGGCACCCACCACCACGCCCAGCTAATTTTTATTAGAGATGGGATCTCACCATGTTGGGCAGGCTGGTCTTGAACTCCTGACCTCAGGTGATCTGCCAGCCTTAGCCTCCCAGAATGCTGGGATTATAGGCGTGAGCCACCATACCCAGCTTTTGTCTCTAGTTAAAAGAAAAAAAAAAGAAAGAAAGAAAGAAAAGAAAAAGATACATACCCAAATGATTTTTTTTTTTTTTGGATCAAAGAAGGAACTTTCCAACCAGCTCTGAGACCAGCCTATTGGCAGGGATGTAAATGAGTAAACCTTACTGGAGGGCAATTATTTACTTAGTTGTTTGTTTATTTTTCAGACAGGATCTCACTATGTTGCACTGGCCTCAAACTCCTGGGCTCAAACAATCTTCCTGCCTCAGACTCCCAAGTAGCTGGGATTATAGGCACACACTGTTTCTTAACAATATCCACCTATTGTATTTATAAATATTTATAGTCTTTCTTTTGCTAGTTTTACCTCCAGGAATTTATCTTAGAGAAATACATATGTATACAAAGATGTCCACACAGGGATATTTGCTGTGGCATTGCTTATGATATTGAGATAGCAGAAGCAGTCCATCAGTGCAGAACTGCTTAAATAAATTATGGCACATCCAGGCAACAGAACAGTATGCAGCCATTAAAAAGAACGAGTGCGGTCGGGTGCGGTGGCTCACGCCTGTAATCCCAGCACTCTGGGAGGCTGAGGTGGGTGGATCACGAGGTCAAGAGATCGAGACCAACCGGACTAACATGGTGAAACCCAGTATCCACTAAAAATACAAAAAATGGCCAGGTGCGGTGGCTCACGCCTGTAATCCCAGCACTTTGGGAGGCCGAGGCAGGCGAATCACGAGGTCGGGAGTTTGAGACCAGCCTGGCCAACATGGTGAAACCCCGTCTCTACTAAAAATACAAAAATTAGCTGGGCATGGTGGCGGGCGCCTGTAATCCCAACTACTCAAGAGGCTGAGGCAGGAGAATGGCTTGAACCCAGGAGGCGGAGGCGGAGGCGGAGGCGGAGGTTGCAGTGAGCCGAGATCGTGCCGCTGCACTCCAGACTCCAGCCGGGGCGACAGTGCGAGACTGTCTTAAAAAAAAAACAAAACAAAAATTAGCTGGGCGTGGGGGCGCACCCCTATAGTCCCAGCTACTCGGGAGGCTGAGGCAGGAGAATCTCTTGAACCTGGGAGGGGGAGGTTGCAGTGAGCCGAGATTGCGCCCCTGCACTCCAGCCTGGCGACAGAGGGAGACTCCATCTCAAAAAAAAAAAAAAAAAAAGAATGAGGGTTCAGTGGCTCACGCCTGTAATCCCAGCACTTTTGGAGGCCGAGGTGGCAGGATCACTTGAGCCCAGGAGTTTCAGACCAGTCTGAGCAACATGGTGAAACCCTGTCTCTAAATTAGCTGGGTGAGGTGGCATGCCCCTGTTGTCCCAGCAACTCTAGAGGCTGAGGTGGGAGGATCACATGAGCCCCAGGAAATGGCATATCATGTGAGCCCCATGAGGTACAGGCTGCAGTGAGCCGTGATCATGTCACTACACTCTAGCCTAGGTGACAGGAGTGAGACCCTGACTCAAAAATAAATAAATAAATATATAAATAAAATTAGCTGGGCATGGTGATGCACACCTGTAGTCCCAGTTACTCCAGAGGCTGAGGTGGGAGGACCACTTGAGACTGGCAGGGTCAAGGCTGCAGTGGACCATGATCGCACCATTGCACTCCAGCCTGGATAACAGAGTGAGACCTTGTCTCAAAAAAGAAAAAGAAAAAAAGAACCACTGTTCTAATCCAAGCAGTGTCACATATTTACTATGTGGTCCTTTCCGGAAAACGTTTGGATTTATTGTGTAATCCAACCAGTAGCTCATCTTTCAGGACTTGGTTTAAGTGTCACCTCCTCCAGGAAGTCTTCGTGCATCTCTCCAGCCCCCTCCCCAGGTTTCATTCCCTCTTTCTTACTCGCACGATATCCCATCCTCCTCCATCACATCATGTATCAACTGCCTGTCGTTACTGGCTTCTTGTCTGCCATCCCCACTAGACCACGAGGCGAAGGCTCTGGGACAGAGGATACGCTCAGTAAACACTGAACTATGGTCATACAGAATCCCCTGGCTCTGTCCCCTGAAGCCTGACAGCTGTGTGGGCTTGAAGTCCAGAAAGCCCTGTCCCCTTCCTCCCCCAGTGCCTCCACGAGAGATGGGGAGACTCACAAATGTCTTGGTGTACTGGTTAAGCATGAAGTCTCCACTGACAGCGTGCTGAAAGGCTTCCACGGCAAAGTCTGGTGGTGGGAAATCCGGGAAGCCCTGGCCCAAGTTCACGACGTCATGCTCACTGGCCAGTTTCACAAACTCCACCCTGGGTAACAAATGGAGAATCAGCACCAGCCCAGCCCTCCATGGTGACCTGGACTTCGGCCTGTTTAGAAAAACTGGACAACCGGCCAGGTGTGGTGGCTCACGCCTGTAATCCCAGCACTTTGGGAGGCCGAGGTGGGCGGATCACCTGAGGTCAGGAGTTTGAGACCAGCCTGGCCAACATGGTGAAACTCTGTCTTCACTAAAAATACAAAAGTTAGTCAGGCATGGTGGCAGGGGCCTGTAATCCCAGCTACTTGGAAGGCTGAGGCAGAAGAATCACTTGAACCCGGGAACCGGAGGTTGAAGTGAGCCGAGATCGCACCATTGCACTGCAGCCTGGATAACAAGAGTGAGATTCTGTCTTAAAAAAACAAAAACAAAAAACAAAAAACACACACATACACACACAAGAAAAACAAAAACTAGACAATCAGCAACTGTCCTGGCCTGAAGATCTGCCTAAGTGTCACAGCTGGTCCCCTACATTGAGATTAGGTCAGTCAGGCACATTGTTAATCGCAGGAATCAGCCCAGGGGCTTTCCAAGTTCTTCCACCATGACCCATAGGAAGAAATCATCTTTTTTTTTTTTTTTTGACAGAGTTTCGCTCTATCCCCTAGGCTGGAGTGCAGTGGTGCAATCTCAACTCACTGCAACCTCCGCCTCCCGAGGTCAAGCGATTCTCATGCCTCAGCCTCCTGAGTAGCTGGGATTACAGGCACCCGCCACCACGCCCAGCTAATTTTTGTATTTTTAGTACAGATGGGGTTTTGCTATGTTGGCCAGGCTGGTCTCGAACTCCTGACCTCAGGTGATCCACCGCCCCCCTTGGCCTCTCAAAGTGCTAGCAGTACAGGCGTGAGCCACCACTACCGGCCAAGAAATCACCTTTGCATCATCAACCCTGTGGAGCACAAACATGGAATGGAAGCTTCATCCTTCTTGGTGCAATCTACTGCAGTATTTTCTGTCCTGTCCTATCCTACTCTATTCTTTCCAAATACTAGTTGAGACCCCCTGTACAGATTGCATGACTCCTCCTTGGATTCGTCAACACCACAGTTAAACGCTCTGCTCATATAGCCTTCACAATGGCCTGTGAGGCACATCTTGTTCCTGGACCACTGTGGGGATAAGGAGTGGAGTGACTTGCCTAAAGCCTCCCAGCTAGTACAAGGCACAGCCAGCCAGCCTTTCTACTTCCATCTCAAGCAAAGTTTGATGCTCTTGACCCTACTCTGGGCAGAACAGGGCCCCACCAGCCCAGGCACACATCATCTCTGGACCCATAATCCTCTGTTCTGGCCCTGCCTGGGGGCCACCTCTCCAGGTGGGAGAAAGGCTGGGAAGCTGGATGAAGAGGCTGGTATGTGGTTTGGGGCTAGTTTGGAGCAGAGTGAAGACCTGGCTGAGTTGAATTTGCATACCAATAAATATGTCTAAAATGTGTCATTTTTGGCTGGGCCCGGTGGCTTATGCCTGTATTCCCCAGCACTTTGGAAGGCCGAGGAGGGCAGATCCCTTGAGGTCAGGAGTTTGAGACCAGCCTGGACAACATGCTGAAACCCCATTTTCTCTAAAGATATAAAAATTAGGGCCAGGCACAGTGGCTCATGCCTGTAATCCCAGTACTTTGGGAGGCTGAGGCGGGTGGATCACGAGGTCAGGAGTTCGAGACCAGCCTGGCAAACATGGTGAAATCTCATCTCTACTAAAAATACAAAAAAAAAAAAAAAATTAGCTGGGCGTGGTGGCGCACGCCTGTAATCCCAGCTACTTGGGAGGCTGAGGCAGGAGAATTGCTTGAACCTGTGAGGGGGAGGTTGCAGTGAGCCGAGATCATGCCACTGCACTCCAGCCTGGGTGACAGAGTAAGATTCTGTCTTGCGGGGGAAAAGAAAAAGAAAAAAAATTAGCTGGGCGTTGTGTTGCACGCCTGTAATCCCAGCTACTTGGAGGCTGAAGCAGGAGAATCATTTGAACCCAGGAGGCAGAGGTTGCAGTGAGCCGAGACCGCACCATTGCACTCCAGCCTGGGCGACAAGGGCAAAACTCCGTCTCAAAAATAAAATGAAAATAAAACAAGTCAAAAAAGAAAACAATATCAACCTCTGCAAATGTCTGGTGAAGAGCTGACTGTATCTTACTTGCTTATTTTACTTATCTTAGTTTATCTGACTCTATACCAAGTGAGAAAGAGTCATCCCTGGAAAGGCCTTAGCTTGGTGCCTGGGTAGAATGGCTTTGGACAGCATTTTACTTTTTCCTCCCCAACGCTCTCCAGGTGGGTATAACTCTTCATTTTGCAGCTGGGGAGATGAGGCTCAGAGCAGGTATGTCACCTGTCCTAGTGGCACAGTCATGCAGAAGAAAGCTGAGATTTGAACCAAGCCTACTCCCTCGGGCCCTGTCTCTCCTGAGCTATGGCTGGAATCTGGCAGTCTGTGTACCGCCACCATCTGGAGTACTACTGAGTTGCTGTAAACCCAGGGATGGCCAACCCATGCCCGAGGGGACACCCACACACCTCCCCAGCCCAGCTGGCTCACCAGGGGTTGTAGTCGATCCCGTCTAGCCTTCGGGCCTGCAGCTGTTTGGCCATGGCGAGCTGGAGACGAACAAGTGGAAGGTCAGAGATGGAATCTGTCTGGGTGCAGCAGTCCGAGCTTGCACACAGGAGGGACAGCTGCTTTCAGGCCACAGCGCCATCCTGTCTGCTCCCAGGAGGGGGAAGAGATAGAGTTTGCAGAAGGGCAGGTTTCTGCCTGCCTCCCAAGCCTGTTATGCTCCAACACCCTCACCTGGTTCCTCTTGACTCCAGCAGCCTCCACCTCCCCAACCTGCAGGGGCTGCCTGGCGCCTGCCCAGTGGAGACTTCCAGCCCTGGCTCCATGCGTCCTGAGACAGAGCCCTGACTTGGCCAGGTTAAAGTCTGACTCAGGAAGGGCTGAGGGTTAAAGAAGAGGAGCAGGAGGTGGGTGGAGCGGAGAGGGAGGATAATGGCAACAGTGACAGCAGCAGCCTCCACTTACAGAGGTCTTGCTAAGCACTTCCATTTCATTCCCTGAATGACCTGGTCAGGCCTATCTTATCAATGAGAAAACAGAAGGTGGAAAACAGAGGCTGGAGGGTGCAGGAGGGGGAGTGATGTGTTTAAGGCCACACAACACACACACTCAGACTTAGGCCTGTTGGACCCAAGGCCATGTCCTAACTCTGAGGGAGGCACTAATCCGCTCCTCGGAGGGTCCCGGGGTCCTGGCTCCTGGCTCGCCCCTCCCCTCCCGGTGTTCCTCCCAGGCCAGCTCCCTCCTCAGCCACTGGTGTGCAGAAACTGGCCAGGGGCTGGGCACAGTGGCTCACGCCTGTAATCCCAGCACTTTGGGAGGCTGAGGCGGGCAGATCACCTGAGGTCAGGAGTTCGAGACCAGCCTGGCCAACATGGTGAAACCCCCATCTCTACTAAAAATACAAAAATTAGCTGGGCGTGGTAGCACGCACCTGTTATCCCAGCTACTTGGGAGGCTGAGGCACAAGAATCACTTGAACCTGGGAGGCAGACATTGCAGTGAGGCAAGAGCACACCACTGCACTCCAGCCTGAGCATTAGAGTGAAACTCAGTCTGGGAAAAACAAACAAAGAAACTTATCTGGGCGTCATGACACATGCCTGTAATCCCAGCTACTCAGGAGGCTGAGGCCTGAGAATCACTTGAACCTGGGAGATGGAGATTGCAGTGGGCCAAGATCGTGCCAGCCACTGCACTCCTGCCCGACCCAACGAGCAAGACTCTACCAAAAAAAAAAAAAAAAAAAAAAAAAGAAAGAAAGAAATTGGCCAGACCTGAGAGCCACCAAACTCAGGTCCTAACCCACCTTGGCTGGGTGACCCTGGATAGGTAATTTGGCTCCTCCTGTCCTCAGAATCCCTTCAGCAGCAGGGACCTCACATGGGCTTTGTGGTCCCTGAGGAACCTTCCGTTCCTGTGGGTTTGCCAGTCCCAGATGGCTGGTGGGCCGTGGAGCTGGGGATCCAACATTCTTCTCAGCCACCTGCTGTGGTCAATAGTGAACCCTGGCTCAGGATTTTGCTCAGTTCCACCTCGCTCAGTTCCCACTGCACTCTCACTAGAGGTGCCACAATAGTCTCCATCTAACAGATGAGGACACTGAGGCTTGAAGAGGCTCAGGTACCTGCCCAGGGTCAGAAGAGAAGCTGGCAAGGACCTGGTCAGGGTGGCAGCCACAGTAATCTCAACACCAGGCCCCCCTGTCCTGGAGGGGCCTTGGGACCATTTGAGTAAGTGCCAGGTCTTCCATGGCCCAGGAACCCCACCGCGCCTGGCTCAGTTGACATTTATTGAGTCCCTACCAGGTACTGGGTTCTGGGATGGGCACAGGGGATCATGGGAAGCAGCACCCTACAGCGCCCAAGCTGACTATTCAGATGCAGAGCTACAAGTTCTAGACTAGAGAAGCAGGGGCAAGGGAGAAGCCCACATACAGGCTGCAGTTAAAGAGGGCTCCCTGAAAGAGAAGGCTCATGCACAGCTTTGAAGCCAGGAACGAGCCAGACCCCAGAAGCCCCAGGCCATGCAGGTGGCAGAGTATTGGGGTTAGGGCACTTACAGTCTGGTGCAAGAACCAAGTGAGTGGGGCTCCAGCCTTCCTTCCCTGAAGGGGCCCCACCAGGTGCACAGAGATGGCTGCTGCAGTCCTGAACATGCCTCCCAGAGCCTTGGGGCACTGCAGACTTTTCCAGAGGCAGGGGAGAAGGGAGGAAACAGCCCTGGCCAGAAAATGCCTCCGAGCTCAGGACTTGGGTCCCCCACACACAGCTCTAACAATAACAACAACAACAACAACAACAACAACAACAATATGGTCATTGCGTGCCAGGAATAGCACCAAGTGCTCTGTTGCATGATTATCCGACTCCGTCCTTATAAGAACCCTGTTACTCATATACAATACACCCCCCAGCAACCCAAGTGACCCTTTCAAAACACAAATCACCTCTAATTAAAAAATGATCCAGGAGAGGATCACTGATAGCCCTGAATATCACCAAGAGCATAAACCAAACATGTTCTGACTCTGGAAACACATACACCACCTGCAAATTATTCCTGCTGTAAAAGTGGCCCTAAATTAGATCACACTGTTGAATGACTAAAATACAGGGACAGAAGAACATGTTAAATAACACCATGGAGATGCAATCAACAAATTCAAGCAGGGCAATGTGTCTCACACCTGTAAACTCAGCACTTTGGGAGGCCAAAGCAGGAGGATCTCTTGAGCCCAGGAGTTTGAGACCAGCCTGGGCAACATACTGAAACACCGTCTCTACAAAAATACAAAAATTGACCAGGTGTGATGGT